>NC_000006.12:22181212-22484242 GCF_000001405.40 Homo sapiens
TTAATCTAGCTAATGGTATATGCTAGTCGATTCTCGCACTGCTATAATGAAACACCTGAGGCTGGGTAATTTATAAAGAAAAGAGGTTTAATTGGCATATGGTTCTGCAGGATTTACAGAAAGCGTGGTGCTGGCATCTGATCAGCTTCTGGGGTGGCCTCAGGAAGCTTACAATCATGGTGGCATTTGAAGTGGAAGCGAGAGAGAGAAGAGGAGATGCAACACACTTTTAAACAAGATTTCAGGAGAACTCATTCACTATGGTGAGAACAGTACCATGCTATGAGGGATATTCCCCCATGAACCAAAAACTTCCCACCAGGCCCCACCTCCAACATTAGGCATTACATTTCAACATGAGATGTGGGTGAAGATAAATATCCAAACTATATCATGATGTGTTTGATTTTATTTTAATTAATTTAGAGACAGTGTCTGCCTCTGTCCCCCAGGCTGGAGTGCAATGGTGCAATCTTGGCTCACTGAAATCTCCACCTCCTGGGTTCAAGCAATTCTCATGCTTCAGCCTCCCAAGTAGCTGGGATTACAGGTGTGTGCCACCACACTCAGCCAATTTTTGTATCAATATTTTTAGTAGAGACAGGGTTTCACCATGTTGGCAAGGCTGGTCTCGAACTCCCAATCTCAGGTGATCCACCTGCCTCAGCCTCCCAAAGTTCTGGGATTATAGGTGTAAGCCACCTCACCTGGCCTATTTACTTTATTTTTAATTTTTTTAACTTTTATTTTGGGTTCAAGGCTACATGTAAAGGTTTGTTTACATCGGTAAACTTGTGTCACAGGGGTTTGTTGTACAGATTATTTCATCACCCATGTATTAAGCCCAGTACCGAATAGTTATCTTTGCTCCCCTTCTCCCTCCTTCCACCCTCTACCCTCAAGTAGACCCCAATGTCTGTTGTTTCCTTCTTTGTGTTCAGAAGTTCTCATCATTTAGCTCCCACTTATAAGTAAGAACATATGGTATTTGGTTTTCTGTTCCTTCATTAGTTTGCCAAGGATGATAGCCTCCAGCTCATCCGTGTTCTTGCAAAATAAGTAGTCTCATTATTTTTTATGGCTGCATAATTTTCCATAGTGTGTATGTACCACATTTTCTTTATCCAGTCTGTCATTGATGAGCATTTAGGTTGATTCTGTGTCTTTGCTATCGTGAACATTGCTGTAGTGAACATTCGCATGCATGTGTTCTTATGGTAGAATGATTTATATTCCTCTGGGCATATACCCAGTAATGGGATTGCTGGGTTGAACGGTCGTTCTGCTTTTAGCTTTTTGAGGAATCATCATACTGCTTTCCACAATGGTTGAACTAATGTACGCTCCCACCAACAGTGTATTGTGTTCCCTTTTCTCTGCAACCTCTCCACCATCTATTTATTGAGTTTTTAATACTAGCCATTCTGACTGGTATGAGATCATATCTCATTGTGGTTTTGATTTGCATTTCTCTAATGATCAGTGATACTGAGCTTTTTTTCATATTCTTTTTGGCCACATGTATGTCTTCTTTTGAAAACTGTCTGTGTCCTTTGCCCACTTTTTAACGGAGTTTTTTTTCTTTTGGAAATTTAAGTTGTTTATAGATGCTGGATATTAGACTTTTGTCAGATGCATAGTTTGCAAATATTTTCTCCCATTCTGTAAGTTGTCCGTTTACTCTGTTGATAGTTTCTTTTGCTGTGAAAAAGCTCTTAAGTTTAGTTAGATCCCATTTGTAAATTTTTGCTTTTGTTGTGATTGCTTTTGGTGTCTTTGTCATAAACTCTTTGCCTGTTTCTATGTCCAAGATAGTATTGCCTAGATTGTCTTCCAGGCATTTCAAAAAACCTGCTGTTTATTTTGTTGATCTTTTGCATTTTTTGTCTCTTTCATTTATTTCCACTTTGATCTTTTTTTTTCCCCTTCTAGTAATTTTGGGCTTGGTTTGTTCTTGCTCTTCTGTTTACCTCAGGTGTACTGTTAGGTTGTTTATTTGAAATTTTTCTACTTTTTGATGTGGACACTTATTGCTATAAAGTTCTCTCTTAGTACTGCTTTTGCTGTATACCATAGGTTATGGTATATTATTTCTATTTTCATTTGTTTCAAGAAATTTTTACATTTCCTTCTTAATTTCTTCCTCAACCCATTGATCATTCAGGAAGATGTTGTTTAATTTCCATGTGTTTTTATAGTTTCCAAAGTTCCTCTTGTCGAATTCTAGTTTTATTCCATTGTAGTCAGAAAAAATACTTGATATGAATTCAGTTTTTAAAATGTTGTTAAGGCTTGTTTTGTGACCTAGCATATGGTCTATCCTGGAGAATGTTCTATGTTCTGATGAGAAGAAGGTGTATTCTGCCTTTGTTGGATGAAATGTTCTGTAAATGTCTGTTAGGTCCAGTTGGGCTATATTGCAGTGTAAATCTGATATTTCTTTGCTGGTTATCTATCTAGATGATATGTTTGCTGAGAGTGAGGTGTTGAAGACCCCAGCTATTATTGTATTGAGGTTTCCCTCTCTCTCTTTAGAGCTAATAACATTTGACTTATATAACTGAGTGCTCTGGTTTTGGGTGCATGTATACTTAGAATTATATCCCGTTGCTGATTTGATCCCTTTATCATTATATAGGGACCTTCCTTTTCTCTCTTGACAGTTTTTTACTTAAAGTCTAATTTATCTGATGATATAAGTATAGCTACTCTTGCTTGTTTTGGTTTCCATTTGTTTGAATAATCTTTTTCCATCTCTTCACCCTCAGTCTGTAGTGTCTTTACAGGTGAGATTGAGTTTCTTGTTGGCAGCATATAGTTGCATCTTATTTCTTCATTAATTCAGCCAGTCTACATTTTTTAAATGGGGAATTTAATCCATTTTCATTCAAGGTTATTATTGATAGGTAAGGACTTACTGTTGTCATTTTGTTAGTTGTTTTGGGTTTTTTTTTTTTTTTTTTTTTTGGTATATCCTTTGTTTCTTCTTTTATTGTTGATCTTTGCAGTTTTCTGATTTTTTTTTTTTTGTAGTAATAGGATTTGATTCCTTTCTCTTTCTCATTTGCATATCTGTTCTACCAGTGAGTTATATATTTTCATGTTGTTTACGTGATGGTAGTTGTTATTTCACTTCCAGTTGAAGTACTTCCTCATGCATTTCTTGTAAGGCTAGTCTACTGGTGATCAATTTCCTGAAGTTTTGGTTGTCTGGGAAGGACTTTATTTCTCCTTTGTTTCTCAGAGATAACTTTGCTGGACATAGTATTCTTCTCTGACAGCTTGTTTTCTTTCAGCACTTTGAATATATCATCCCATTCTGTCCTGGTTTTTATGGTTTTCTCTCCTGGTCTGCTGAGAAATCTGCTGTTAGTCTAATAGGGACTCCCCTATACATGACTTGACACTCTTTTCTTGTTGTTTTTAGAATTCTCTATCATTTACTTTTGACAGTTTGACTATAATATGCCTTGGAGAAGAACTTTTTGGGTTGAAACTTTGGGGAGCTTTAGAGCATTGTGTATCTGGCTTTGCATATCTCTCCCAAGACTTGGAAGCTTTTTAGCTATTATTTCATTAAATTTTCTATGACTTTTCCCATCTTTTCCACTTCTGGAACTGCCATAATGCAATCATTTGTTTGCTTAATAGTGTCTAGTAAGTTTGACAGACTTTCTTCATTCTTTTCTATTCTTTTTTCTTGTTTGACTGGATTATTTCAAAAGGCATCTCTTCATGTTCAGAGATTCTTCTGCTTGATGTAATGTGTTGTTGAAGCTTTCAATGATAATTTTTATTAAATTCAGCTCCAATATTTCTGTTTTTTTCATTTTTGATACCTATCTTTTTGTTGAATTTCTCAAATGATGGTTTTTTCATTTTAATTGAATTGTCTTTTTAATATTCCTTTGCCTCTGAGTTTTCTTAAAGTTATTATTTTGAATTTCTTTTCAGGCAATTTAAAATTTTCATTTTTGAGGTCAATTACTGGAGAATTACTGGAGAATTACTGTGCTTTGTGGTGTTATACTTCACTGCTTTTTCATGTTCTTGTCTCCCTTGCTTGATATCTGTGCATTTAATGGAACATTCACGTCTTCCAGTTTTGTAGTGTGGCTTTCATGGGAAAAAACTTTCTTCTACAGATATGTCCTAGGGTGTCAGTTGGGTAGGGTGCGTTGGCTTTTCTTTGGGTGGGTGCAATAGTGTAGTCTTTGTACAGTTTCTTCAGCTATAGTCAACATCAGCAATGCCTGTGTGTGCCTCAATGGCTTAGGCTGTAGAGATTTGTATGGCTATTCCACCTACTTGGGCTCTGCTCCTCGGGGGGTTGGGTGCTGGGCTGGTCCACGCTTTGGAGAAGTGAGGGGCTGGTAAATCAGTGGCTTGAGTCAGCTCAGGCTCTGCTCCTCACATTAAATCTTGAAAGATGTGAATTTCATTACCTCTTAGTTACATAAAGCCATATACAAACTCTTTGTTGTTTGTTTTAAATCTTATCTCTGACTTGGTTATAAATGATTGCACTTTTCTACTATTTCTAACTACAGTATAGCAGTGCTGAAACATCTGGGGGGCAAAAGAAAGTTAGATAGGCTAGTAACACCAAAGTAATGCTGAAACCTGGAAGGAAAGAAAACACATTACTTTCCTCTCCATTCTTCTTTGCTCCCCTTTGAATATATGCTTATTATAATAGCAAGCTGTGTGACCTTGAGCCATTTATTTGTCTGGAGCCACAGCTTCTTTACTTACAAAATAAAGTTAATGCCATTTACATCTCAGAAATTGTGAATATACATGAGAAATATGTTTATAAAATCTCATGATATGCTTGTCACACAGTAAGGTTTGGTAAAGTGAATCCTTCAACAGCGTTCCCCAATTCTTTCTCTTGTGCTGAAAGTGGACTATCTATCTTAGAAAAGACCATGCAAACCAAAATAGAATGACTTGGCTACAGAGCAGTTTCACTGTCTACTGATTACCAACCTGTCTTAATCCAGTGAGATAGAACACTCCTCCACGCAGGTTACCTGAAGCCAGTGTATTACTTACAGATAGGACAACAGAAGCCTATGATTCGTAAAAGCCTCAAGAAAGCTAGTTTGGCAGATGGGGTTTCATCTGCATGTGCCACATTTGCACTGCAGTCGAGGGTCCCAAGAAAGCACTCCACCCTAGGTTTTATACCCCAGCATAACATGATTCACTGTGCTAATGTGTTGAAGGACATGCTGTTTCTATGAGGGATTAGAACAGAACCTAGGCTGTTCAGGCTAGTTTCTCCCTATCTTAAGATGTTGCATTCTCAGCATATTCTATATTTATTCTTGAGAACTATGAGTAAAAAAGAGGGGTAACTGTGTCAGTCCAAAGATACCTGAAGAATTGTCCTGTGCTAACAGCAGAAAAGTTTCCAGTTGATTTAAAATCAAGTGATTTGCAATGTAGTTACAAACAAAATTATTAAGTGCCTATTTTGTATTTGACCCCATGGTAATACTGATTATGATAATAATAAAATATATTAAGCAATTATTTTTACCTGTCATTCTTTGAAGCATTATCTCATTTACTTCTCCCAGAACCCAGTGAGGTAGTTAGTATTATTATCTCTCATTTACAGATGAGGATATACTGAGTTTGCATGTTTAACTCATCCACAGTCACATTACTATTTGTGGTGGAGGAGTGATTTGAACCCAACCTATCTGACTGATTTTTTTAACCAGATTGTTAAGAAAATAAACATCAGCCATCCCAAATCTCCCCATCTAATCCAGAGGGGAAGTTTACAGCTTGAAATAATTACTCTCAAGAGATTTCAGAGAAGTGGTAGAAAACCAACATGGCCTTGGTCTTCTACCACTAAGGTTTTATTTTTAAAATTAATGAATAAGTAGGTCTTGAGTTGCCATTTTATAGCTTTGTTCTTAGTTTAACAAGAAGGAGCAAGTAGGAAGACTTTTCATAGCCCAACCCCCAACACAGTTGAAATCAGCATTAGCATAGAGCATTAGAAATAAGATTCAGCATGCATCTTGCCATGTGACCAATCCTGGCCTCCATCACAGAATTCTAGTTACGTGGTGAACCTGGGAGACCACTCTCTGTCCCCATCCTGGACGCCCCCTATACTGCAGATCCTCCCTGACATGGGACCCCGGACCCTAGGGCTCAGGAAGGCTCAACCAGGACTTAACAGCAGTTTCCGAAGGGCCTTCTGAGCCCCTCACCCATCTCCTAAGTCTGGCCAGACTGACAGGACCAGCAAGGGATGGGGCATGGGAAAGATTAGAAATATAGAATAAAACAGCATCGTGGAGAGCCTTGAAAACCAATTTAAAATAGTTTTATCTTCTAATAGTAGGTCCTAGCTTAGCATCCTAGTTTAGCAGCCTTTACGCTTTGGATCTTGACTCCTTAGTAGGTTGTAAAATTTGTTTATTGGGTCACAACCAACATACCTGTTTTAATGAACTGGGATAGGGTAAAATGGAAAATAGAAACGTGTCTTGCAGTTAATAAGGGCTTTTGTGAAACATTTGTTTTAGTTATATACAGTCAATTCTTGTTATGTGTAGTAGTTCTATTCTATAAAGTCACCACCAACACCGAATTAGTAATTACAAAACCATTGCTCCCTGTGTAAATACAAGATTAGGTTCCTTTGTTCCTCTGGTCACAAAATTTTCATCAACAGATTAATACATAACCTTATTTTATGAGTGTTTCTGTATAAGGACACCTCATTTAATATATATTGTTGATTCATTAACATTAAACTCTAGGCTAAAAGCACTATCACTCATACCTGAATGAAACTTCTCGAACACATGTATTTTTCTCCCTGAGGTCCATCACAGCCTTCTTACGCTGTCGAACCCAGTTACCACTTTAGCACTATGCTTGGGGGCCATTTTAAACATGAAATCACCAATTAAAAAAAGCACAAAAATGCAAAAAATGTGACATCAAATAGGCCTTGAAAAGAACACTTTTTGAGCTGAAATAAGAAGACAGAGCATCACTTTTTTCAACCTCAGCTGGGAACACATATGTCAGGTACTAACATTTTCATGACTCTACATATGTCTGTGACTGACCACAAACATGCTTTGAGTATGGATTTGGGAGCTACAAATAAATTTAGCAAATAGGTGAATTTGCAAATATAGAATTTGTAAATAATGAGGATCAACTGTTTGTGTACAGACACACAAATACACAAATATGTTTACTAGGTCTACGAGCTTGTAATGTAAAATGTATTTCTCAAAAGAAAGGATTTTTGGTTTGTTTTTTAGACATACATCCCTAAATAATCAGATTGCTGAGGAATGACACAGTGGACATTGCTTTAAGATGTAAACAGTAAGCAGAATGGGGTTTCGAGGCAAGCAGCCTAGATTAGAAGACTTCTATAGTAATCTAACCCCTTGAAGCAATGAGTGCAAAAGTGGGCCTGGGGACTAGGGAGAATTAAGCCAAGAAAAAAAAAGATGATAACTTGGTTACAAACTGAATATGTAAATAAAGAAGGAAAAATTGATGCTTATTCTGAAAGTATCTGGTGTAGAAATTAGAAGGGTGGTAGGTATAGTGAGATATGTTATATCTTGGAAAGAATAGAGCTTTGAATGCTGGTGGAATCCAGTTTCAGTCTTGCCTCTATGACTTTACTAGACATGTGATCTTTGGCAAGTCACAAAGCCTTCTGCCTCATTTTTACAATCATGCCATTTAAATATCAGTTAATTGCTACAGTTAAATGAGTCAATATACTATATATGTGACATTCGTAGAATACACTAACACCCAGGATGTAGCTGCAATATAAATAGGTGATATATCTGTATTATGTGTAATTATTCATAATATGTTTATTATATCTACATATTTATATATATACATGCAAACTATAGTATAATTACACCTGAAGAAATATTGGGACATCAAAGAAGAGTTACTCATCAGGCCATGAAATTAGGAGATGGCAATAAAGTTGAAAGGCCAGGATTACTATATATGTGGATTATCAGTTTTTCAAAGCACTAGAGTACAGGTAATATATATTAAAATTGCCTGACAAAATTTAAACTTTGTTTGAGAATGCATGCTAGGATCTTGCAACCGCCATAATCATAAATATCAATTTTTACCATATTGGCACAGCTCAAAATTGCTAGTAGAGAGGAACTTCTGATTGATGGACTACCAAATACGTAGGCTTTTACTGTAATTTGTTCTACAGGTTACAGTTAGTATTGTCAAAGCACGGCAGGCAACATTATAGATTTTAAGGCTGCAGTATCTTTATATCTCCCATGATATTAAATATAATTCAAACACAGAAAAATGCTCTTCTCTCATTATGTCTTTTCTTTTTGATGAGAGATGAATAGGTCCACTTGAGAAATGATTATATCGACTGTTGTACTTTAAATTTTCTTTAGCACTACAAAACTGGCAAGAAGTGGCAAGTCAGTAAGTCCAAATACACAGCTGATATGTGATTTCATATCACAGATATTCTGTCTGCAGCACAACAGAACACAGGGTATTGAGTTATCCCCCAATGAATTAAAGTCCCTCTTGCATCCTTTACATACCAATTTCATTAATATTAATAATTACTAATTCTAGCTAACACTTGCCAATGCATAATGGGAACTGCGTTTTTAACAAATGTTGCCTAACAAAGACTGTTATTTTTTTCTATATCTTGGTTGTGGTACAGTCTGATAGCTTTCAAAGAACAAGCCAAATTGTCAAACGCTGTTGGTTTGTAATGTCATGTTCGATCTGGAGCTGAGAAGTGCGGCCTCAGGTTTCTGGCCTGTCTTTTATGTCACAGAAGCACAGAATTGTTAAACAATCTGGGGAAATTGAAAGCAGCAAATGCGCAATAAAATTTTCTCTGTAGTTCAGTGCTACATAACAAAAGAGACCCATAAACTTTGTTCCATTCTGGCATTGGATGGTGACTTCTCTTTGGGAACGGCGGCCACAACAGATGTAAAGAAAAACAGAACTTTAAAAAAATAAACTTCAGGAAATAGTTTTCAAGTCTTTATTTTTCCCTGTGTTTCAGCTAATGCTCAAAGCTTTCCTAAAATGTTCTGTTGGAAATAGTGGGACTGGAATAAGCTCTATTTTCCATTTTGTCCCCTTGTTTCAGGGCTTTCAGATGTCCTTAATAACCCTGAACTTGTAGAATGTTTTAATTAAGAACTTCACTGTTAGAGTATAATAACATAAACCTAAGATCCCCCTGTGATAATCATGCTTTGTTTATGGTTTTACAACAAACTTGTGTTTTATCCTGTTGGTATATTTATTGTATCTTGGCATTTCTTTTGATGATGCCAAAAAAATCCCAGAAGCTTAAAGAGGGAGAGACAACCTTTGAAGCCACTTTGACTTTTGTTTTTTTTCTTGACAAAGTGTTTTATCTCTGAAGAATTCAATTCAGTACATGGGTCTTATGAGTACATTTATTGTACTAAAATGTCATATTTGCTTAGATCAAATGAAGATCAACTACACTGAAAATAAGATAGATAACTATTTTATAAAAGAATTCCTATCTTTCTCTGCCAAGAACACTGTATGTTTTTTCCTTGCATTAGGAAATGGGGATAATTTTGACACTTTTCACTTTATTTTAGAAAGAGCTTGTACTTTTGTTTTGTAAGGAAAATAAAAAAGGTAAGCATGGTAGGGCACAGTGGCTTGTGCCTGTAATCCCAGCACTTTGGGAGGTCAAGGCTGGAGGATCACTTAAGCCCAGGAGTTCGAGGCTGCAATGAGCTATGAATACACCACTACATCCCAGCCTGGGTGATAGAGCGAGACCTTGTCTGTGGGAAAAAAAAAAAAAAGTGTGAGTGATACTGTTTATTACGAAGCTTAATTTGCATTGAGGTTAAATGTTAATGGGATTCTCCTCTCTTCTTTTTCTAACTCTGAAATCCCATTCTAAGCCTTGAAATGGGCAGAGCAAGGTAGGAGTCTCCAGCAGGGAGGAGGAGGGGAGTTGTGGTGGCTCAGAGCAACATGTCAGACCCGAGAGGGTCAGTACTGATAGGGCACAGCCTGTCAAGGGCTGTCAGAGCCTTGGCAGGGTGACAAGGATGTTCACATGTGGGGACAGGCTGGTGTGGGGTTTTGGAGGACAAGCTGAGTGAGGCAGGTATCTAGAGGTAGAGTGGATTGGAATATGGACCCCCAAAATATTTGTCCAAGTGCTAACTCCTAGTACCAAACTCTGTATTAATTTCTCAGAGCTGCTGTAACTAATTATGTTTAACTTGATGACTTCATTCAACAGAAATTTATTCTTTCACAGTTCTGGAGACCAGAAGGCCAAAATCAAAAGTATGGGCAGGCTTGATTTCTTTAGAAGACTCCAGCGGAGAACTGTGTCTCCTTGCTTCTGGTGGGTATTGGCAATCCTTGGAGTTCCTTGGCTTGTAGGCACATCGCTTCAATCTCTGCTTCTGCTTTCACGTGGGGCTCCTCCCTGTATGTGTCTGTGTTGCCTCCTTTTCTGACTCTCATAAGAACACTTGTTATTGGATATAGAGCCCTCCCTAATCCAGGATGGTCTCATCTTGAGATCTTTATCTTGGTTATGTCTACAAAGACCCTTATTCCAAATAAAGTCACATTTTGAGATTTTGGGTGGACATGTGTTTTGATGTGCCACTATTCAACACACTACCAAAGAGGTCACTCATCACGTGGTTTCAGAGATCAAGAGGAGTGAGAATGGCATCCCTGTGAAGGGGTGGTTTCTTGTGGGGCATGAAAGCTTATGCAGGATAGGAGAGTATCTATGCTAGAAGTCACCCAGCATAAATGTCAGACCCCAAGTGGGGTGATGAGGCGAGATGAGAGATTGGTTACATATGGTAGACTGATCCAATAGGCAAGTAAGTATATTGAGGGTGAGAGGAGCCAAGTTTCT
Organism: Homo sapiens; assembly: GCF_000001405.40. Lineage (NCBI taxonomy): Eukaryota > Metazoa > Chordata > Mammalia > Primates > Hominidae > Homo > Homo sapiens. The sequence continues at coordinate 22,192,188 of NC_000006.12, forward strand.
GTCATAGAAGCAAATTACAAATATAAAAAAGGAGAAAATTATGGAGTTGAAGGTACTGGTGTGAACTTGTAATTTGTAATAAATGAGCTATATTAATACATGGAGATGTAAATGTATGTGGGTGTATGTGTGTTTTATAATACCTAGCTCTGTTCACTGAAATAGGCTGGCAACATATCCACTGCGATAGCAACTAGCACATTTAGCATCCATATCTTGGCTTCTAAATACTGGTCTTCACCAGAAAGAGAGAGTTTTTCTTGGGAAAATGACCAGATTTCATAGAGGGAGTACATTGTATAGAGGGAGTACAATATCAAGCATTTTATACCAGAAAGTAAGGAAGTCCTTTAAAAAAATAATGGAGTCGTGTCAAAAGGGCGCAAAAATCATCCTGAAGAAGCTCCCATAAGCCAAATTGGGAATAATTTGACCATCAAAGTAAACGATAGTAATGTATTACCGCTCATTAAAGTACAAAACCGTTAAGTCCATCATTATCAAAGTAAGTGAGTAAATTGAAAATTTGGAATGAATGAGATATTTACATACTTTCAAATCTATCCCCCACAAAATATTTACTAATCACAAGGGGGAAAATGAATACATTTTGAATGGAGAAACATGCCGATGCCACCTGAACTGAGTGATCAAAGTGAACATCGTCAGTGATAGCATAAATCAAAATTACTTGTCACCCACCTGATAGAATGCAATGAGAAACATCTGTGATATTCCTGTCAGATGCATCATCTGAATCTTATCATGAGAAAGCACAATAAAGCCAAATTGAGGCATGTTCTACCGAATAAATGGATGGTAATTTTCAAAAGTCTTAGAGTTTTGAAAGCCAGGGAAAGACTAATGAACTAATGAAGGCATCTAGAGAGACATGATAACTAATTGCAATGTGTGTTTCTGAACTGGACACTTATTTTGACAATCAAATCTGAAAATTAGAGAGTAGTAATATCTCAACATATCAATTGCTTAATAAATACCCAGAGCAGAGTAAGCACTCAGTTTAACTATGATGATGACAATGATGACACTGACAATGATTACTGAAGGACCGCATGAAAAAATACACCTAGCAGGGGTGGGGGGAGCGGGGAGGGATAGCATTAGGAGATATACCTAATGTAAATGACAAGTTAATGGGTGCAGCACACCAACATGGCACATGTATACATATGTAACAAACCTGCACGTTGTGCACATGTACCCTAGAACTTAAAGTATAATAAATATATATATATATATATTAAAAAAAAAGAAAAAATACACCTATCATCTATCTACTCAATATCCTGGAATTCTGGAACAGGAGTGTTCTGGATTCATTTGCAAAAAAACTGGTTCCCCAGGTCTAATCAAATTAAATTGAGAGGTAAATTTAAATTATATGTATTTTTTATCCAACAGAGAAATAAAAAGCACTTTGCCAAACAGTTAAACACTTGCGACCCAGATAACTAAACTCTTCAGACCTAGGAATTCTAAAATTAAATTGCTTTCATGAAAGTAAAAAATTCAGTCTTCTTCCAACAACCAAAGAGGAATGAATATGAAAAGAGAGGCTGAATTGTCCCAACACTGAAGAGTTGGGAGCAATTCATTGAATTGTAGAACTGGAAGAGATAGTGTAAGTGTGCCAGGATCTTTCTATAATGCTAGTTTGGAAGACTGATCCCTCATTTTCCAAGGGAAAAATAAATCCCAGTGTCATAGCTGCATTCCTGTGTAGATCTTTGCTTAGGTTTTCTAAAATTCAGAGCTCAAAGTATATCATCCTTTGTATTTAAGGAAGTCTTATGGGTATCCTCACTTACTCATGGTGCAATAATATTCCTGCAGATTCTACATCTCCATCCATGGGCCACTGTTTCAGCAACCTCAGCCAGTGCAACACAACCTCAGCCAAGAAGAGTATGCAGAGAAAGGAGTCCCCTACCTGCCACAAAACTGTTGTCTGAAAACTGTCTCATATTGTCTCAAGTTGTCATTCATTGTGAATTAGACCTGTTTAACATGTAATCTGCAACATGCTTCACTGTCTAATTTTCCAGAGCCCCTCATATAAGGAACTGTATTATTGGTATAATCATCATGGTGAAGAAGTTGGTATGTGGGGGAGAGATGACAGAAACAGAGAGTAAGTCAGAGCTGGCTGCCTGACAGATAAAAAGGAAATGACCAAAAAAAAAAAAAAAGACACAGAAGAATACTTTGTTGTCCACACAGAAAAGGGAAGTGTAGGTAAGACAGCAGTAGACTAAGATTCTTAAGACTCAAGTTCTAGTCTTATTTATTAGCTATGGGAGGCCTTGAGGGAGTTCTAGAATTAAGTGATCTCTCTTTATAAAATAGGAACAGTAATAACTTCCTGGCTAACTCCCTGGCTGTCTCACAATGCTGTAGTAGTAAGAAATAATTTTATAATTAAAGACTATTTTAGGGCTGATTACATTTTTGGGCAGTGGCTCATACATGTAATTTCAACATTTTGGGAGGCCAAGGTGGGCGGATTGCTTGAGCCCAGGAATTCAAGACCAGGCTGGGCAACACAGACCTTGTCACTACAAAAGAAAAAAACATTAGCTAGGCGTGGTGATGTATGCCTGTGGTCCCAGCTACTCAGGAAGCTGAGACAGGAGGATCACCTGAGCCTGGGAGGTCGAGGCTACAGTGAGCCATGATCACACTACTGCACTCCAGCCTGGGAAACAGAGTGAGACTCTGTCTCAAAAAAAAAAAAAAAGGAATATTTTACACTTCAAGGTTCTATACAAATGTAAAATATCATTCTATTACTTATTTATAATGCTGATTATTCTTTAAATGACTTTAAAATGTTAATCTCTGCTTGAGCCTACGGAGAAGTATGTAACAAATTTGTGAAGGATTGGCATTAAACATAGTCAAAATAAAACATAGAAATTATGGTAAATAATTTAACTGGTAAAATAATCTAAGTGGTAGTTCTCAGGTAAGTGGAAATTCGATTAGCTGATTGTTTAGGATTCTTGGTTATAAGTGACAGAGACCTGACTAAAAGTACATGAAGCACATAACTGAGAAGGTTGTGGTATGGCTCAGCAGAAATGGGAAAATCTTGGGACTGGTTCGTGTTTTATTTACATTATCTTTGTTCCCAGGCAGTCTCTGCATGTAAGTGGCAAAGATGACTGTCTGAAAATATATACCTACTTTTTTAAAGGGCTATCTCAAGCCATTCTGGAGAAGCACCAAAAGCCACTTTGCTTATACTGGGAGAATAGTTTGCTTTCCCTAATTTGTGATGAGTGAAACACTGAACAGAGACATAGAATAATATTCTGTAGTTCAGGGTTGGTGTAATATGGCCAGTGGGCGGAATCTGGTCCTCAGACTGATTTTGCAAATAATCTTATAGAAACACAGCAACACCCATTCATTACATGTTGTTTATGGTTGCTTTGGGGTTACAATGGCAGAGTTGAGTAGTTGTGACAGAGATCACTAGGCTCACCACATCTGAGATATGTACTGACTGACCCTGTACAGAAAGTTTGCTGCTCTTAGAGGAATGTGTGTTTCTAGTGTCAGCAATAAACTTCTTGGATTTGTTTTGTTTTCTCATCTTTACATGATAGTTGCAGACTAGTTGATCCTTGTGACCTGTTTTTGAATGCCACTGTGTATTCTGTCAGGGCCCTCTGATTCTGTTTCTTATGGTGCTGAATGCACAATTTAATGCCCTGGAATTTCCTTCTGTCTTCTGCTAAACTCATGCCTCTTCAGATAGTTAAAATCCTGTTCTACCTTAGAAGTCTCCAGAGTTATTTTCCTAAATTAAGAAGAACTGGCTTTGAAGTTACTCATTATGCCACACACAATGGTTGAAAAGAGCATCTCTTATGTACTGTGTATATTTCAGCATCCACTCAGCTTCTTAGGTAGAAAAGGAAGAGTCTTCCACAGTGTATTTTATCCATATTTGGGTCAGAAACTCTTCTTTACCACGGAGCGTGATGGAAGAAAGATATGGGATGGTAACAGTAGGCCAGGGATGTAATAATCACAAAATTTGAGATATTTTGTGACTGGTGACTCACGCCTGTGATCCCAGCATTTTGGGAGGCCAAAGCGGGCGGATCACCTGAGGTCAGGAGTTCAAGACCAGCTTGGCCAATGTAGTGAAACCTCATCTCTACTAAAAAAATATAAAAATTAGCTGGGTGTGGTGGTGCACACCTGTAATCCTAGCTACTCAGGAGGCTGAGGCAGGAGAATAGCTTGAACCAAGGAGGTGGAGGTTGCAGTGAGCTGAGATTGTGCCACCACTGCATTCCAGTCTGGGTGACAGAGCGAGACTCTGTCTCAAAAAAAAAAAAAAAAAAAATCTAGAAAAAGATCTCCAAGATTCAATCATCTAATTATTTCTTTTAAAAATGAGAAAAATGACTCCTGGTCAGCTTTTACCTTCTTTTTCCAACTGTCTTGACAATACTTTCATATTGGGCTTTTAAAGTCTCAAGTAATAGGTTTTTAAAACCTCAGCTGATAAAAGTATAAAAATAAAGTTAAAACATATTAAAGACAAAACCCAAGAATCAGCTTCCTCTTCCTTCATTACTCTTGCATGGGTGTTGGCTCTAATTTCTCCATCTAGTTAGGCAGTCCTTTGCTTTTTATTGCTTGTTTATTGATGACATTTGCCATTTGTAGCAATAGTAATAGAATCATCTATATATTTGTGGCCTTGTTGAATGTAGAAAAAGGATAGTGGCATTTTCTAATTGTGTAACCCTATAACACCTTGACGGGGGACTACAGTTCATATGCTGGACCTTTTGTGTTTGTTCATGGCGGGTGGGTTGCTTTAATATACTTAGCACATTGTCCTAATTGCCATCCTTTTGGGGAGGGCTATATATCCAAGCTAATATGGTAGCATTTTTGTTTTAACATAGAGCTGACCCAAGGTAGACGTAAGTGTTGTTCATTTTTGCCTAATACTAATAAAATTACCTAATTGTTGAAGCTTGGAGCTTGAATCTAGGCATTTTATTTCATTTCAAGTACACCCTAGTATTTTAAAGCATAAATATCCTACTATCCTCAACAACTTTAGAACAAAAATAAATATTTTAACAAGAAAAAAGCATGCCATGACAAGCTGTAACTTAGTAAAGAAAGACAAGGAATGGTCTCTATAGACCGAGAAAAAATAGGTCCTCAGATATATTTATACCAAAGGAATGTTATGAATGTAAAAAACAGTTTGACTCCCCCCCCCCCGCCAAAAAAAAACTCCACAACCCTATATTTTGTTATCACAAGACTGTTTTAGTGAATAAAACAGTATGAATTGGTTTTACCTGTTTCCATTTAATACTTATTAACTTTATAATCGTATAGCCTGAGGGTTTTAACTTCAAGTACAGCATGATGACTATAATAGTTTTACACAAGGCAAATGTGAAAAACAGAAGTAATTTCTTTTAAAAAGTGTGAAATATCTAAAAGGTATGACTTCAATACATCAACTCAGGTGAGACAGACATGTAACTTCTTTTTCCATGTTTAAACCTAATATTGCTTTTGTGCCTCTGAAGGCTCGGAGTTTCCATGCCTTCTTAGGACATGCCACCCTCTCCACACCTGGATGTGTTCACCAACCCAGAAGCTCTTGGAACCCCATCATTTGGGGTTTTTATGGAGTCCCCATTAAGTAGGTATGACTGATTAAATCACTGGCCATTGGTGGTTGACTCAATCTCCAGCCTCTCTTCCCTCTCTGAAGGTGAAGGGGTGGGAAGGTGAGGCTAAGTTCCAACCCTCGGATCACAGGGTTGGTTCCTCTGCAACCAGGCTTCATCGTGAAACAATACAGGGCCCACCGAGAGTCACCCCATTAGCAAACTCAGATGTGATTGAAAGGGGCTTATTATGAATATCAAAAGACATTTCTCTTTCTCCTATTACTCAGACAGTTACAAGGGTTTCAGAAGCTCTTGCACCAGGAACTGGGAACAAAGACCAAATATATATGTCTTCTTCTATTACAATGTCACAGGTGTGACAGAGTAGGTAAATGGAGTCTCAGAGAGTCCCCAGAGTATTCCATGGAGCCACAAAATGAAGAATAAATGGATGGTTCTCCCCATGATCAAAAGTGGCCTGAAAATACTTGAGAATGAGTCATAACTTAAAAGGCTGTATAGTAGAAAAGAATGCACAGAGGACCGAATGTAAAAGAAGGCACCCCAGTCTCAGCTAGTGTGGATGCATGCCAGTGTAGAAAGATGCTAGTGTGGCTACATTGGTGCACTGAAGACCAAACTCCTGCATGGCCCCACATCCTTGATACCTTAGATCTATATCATCCCCTAAAACTTAGGTGTTATGACATTCAGGATATGCTACCCCATCATTTTTTAGGCTGAAGGAATTTGAGAAAACAGAAGCAGGAATGTAATTGCCCAGTGGGTTCTTCCTGCCCTGTGCACAGACAAAACCAGTTCACTGAGACCATGGTATTGCAGTTAAGAAAGAGTTTAACAGGAGGCTGGCCACATGGAAGAATTACAGTTATTACAAATTAGTCTCCCTGAAGGCTCAGAGGTCAGGGTTTTTCATGGATAGTTCGGTGAGCAGTGGATTAGGGGTAAGTGCTGCTGATTGGTTGGGGATACAATCATAGGGGTGTGGAAAATGGTCCTTGTGTGCTGAGTCACCTCTGGGTGGGAGGCCATGGGACCCATTGAGTCATGAGTCACGAGGCTGGGTTGGGTCAGTGTGAAAAACATCTCAAAAGACCAATCTTAGGTTCAAAATAGGTGATATTACCTGTAGGAGCAATTGGGAAAGTTATAAATTATATGACCTCTTGGCCCCATGACTTCTGAGCAGTAAGAGATGATAGAAACTAAACCTACATTTTATCAGCACTCAGGCCTCTTCCATAATCCTAATCTTGTGGCCTTTCGTTAGTCTTATAAAGGTGGTTTGGTAACTGCCCTCAAGCAAGGAGGGGATCAGTTTTAGGGAGGTGCTATTATCATCCTTGCTTCAAAGTTAAGCTGTAAACTAAATTCCTCCCATAATTAGCTTGGCCTACACCCAGAAATGAGCAAAGACAGCCAGCCTGTGATGTTAGAAGCAAGATGGAGTTAGTCATGTTAGATTTCTCTCACTGTCATAATCTTTGCAAGGGAGGTTCCAGGAAGGTCATCCTACCTTTCCCCTCACCCTTCTCATGTGACACAGGTCATAAAGCCTAGGAAGGATTTTCCGACCTTTCCCTGAAGCAGGTCGTAAGACCCTCATTGGGGAGGTGCCATTTCTAGACCAAGAGAAAAGGCACATCCTTATGTCTGAAGACACAGGGACACAGAGAAGAATCTGAACAAACAGGTCTTGCTAAGTTCCCCCCAGTTTGTTTTCATTAGATCATGCCCCTTTATTCAATGCTGTTTCTCCACAACTATCCATTTCTTCATCAAGCCTAGCATAAAAAATACAGGTTTCACGGTTTCTTTGGGTCTTCATTTCCTTATAAAGTCTCCTGTACCATGTAAAACTTAAATAAGTTTCTCTGCTTTTCTCTTGTTGATTCTGTCCTTTGTTTTATAACCCTCAGACATGAACCTAGTGATGAGTGAGGGGAAGATAATTTATTTTCCTCTACAGATGCAAAAGGGAAAAGGGAACAATCCCTAAACGGAAGTTATGATCCAGGGATCAGAGGCTCAAAAGCAAGATTAGGTTTAAATGTAGAAAAATACATTCCTCTTTCATTTTAGATATCCCAAATGCCCAAATCAACCCAGCTATTTCTCAGAAGTCTGTTTCCCCTCCACCCTCTGCTCCTCTGTGTAGTGAAACTGTCTCGTTTGGGAGTAAAATGGCCTGGCTTTCCTTACTGAGTATACTCTCAAGACTATTGCCTATTACTTTTTTCCATTCCTTCTTGAGAACTACGCTTTTTAAAACAAGAATTGACTCCATTTATCTTTTTCTTTTAGCCTTCTGCTGGGGTATGCCTTCTCTAAAGCAATGAATAAAAAATGCTTTAGCTGAATAAATGGGGCAAGGATCAAGGAGTACAAGCTAATATTTCACAATATTATCCTGCCATAAATAAAAGTATGGTTTAAATGACAATGGTGGGGTTAGGAGTTACAGGTCACTGAAACACCACCTTATTCATGCTACCAGCCCCTTGGCTTTCCTGATGGCAGCAGGGAAGCAACACATAGGTAGAATTATGAGCCAACATCGTGACTGGAGAGGGATTGAAAATCTTATTTGTTGTCTTCCTAGACTATTACAGTTATCTGTTGAAATTAGACTCAATTCTTTGGCGAAAGTACTCATTTTTAAGGTCCATAATAAATTGTAACTATGTAGCCTTTGTTGCATGAGTTTAGTATGAGCTGATTGGTGGGCCACAGTGAAAGGCAGAGGGAAATGGATGTTAACTAAGAGGTAGAAGTCCCCTTGAAGTTCTGACCCTGTCACTAATGAAGTCTTTATTTCCGTATTTAGTAATTGCCTTTTTTTTTTTTTTTTGAGACAGAGTCTTGCTCTGTCGCCAGGATGGGGTACAGTGGCACAGTATCTGCTCACTGCAACCTCCGCCTCCCAGGTTCAAGCAGTTCCCCTGCCTCAGCTTCCTGAATAGCTGGGACTACAGGTGTCTGCCGCCATGCCTGGCTAATTTTTGTATTTTTAGTAGAGACGGGGTTTCACTATGTTGGCCAGGATGGTCTCGATCTCCTGACCTCGTGATCTGCCCACCTCAGCCTCCCAAAGCTAGGATTACAGACGTGAGCCACCATGCCCGGCCAACTGCCTTCTTTATATCTCATTTTAAAAATTTATAACAAAGAAGTGGGTTGATTTTCAAGACCTAGTTGTGTTAGTTTGAATGAGATGCATACATTTGGCAAGTCTGGGGTCTAAGAAAAGATAAAGATCTGAATGCTGAAAATCTAGAGAATTCAGGTTACTGGGGGATAACTTAAAGTCACTAGGGAATTCGGGTTACTGGGGGGATAACTTAAGGTCACTAGGGAATTCGGGTTACTGGGGGGATAACTTAAGGTCACTAGAACCCAAATGCAGGGAAGAGTTGGGTGCTCTTTGGCAAATAAACATTCCTGACTTAGCATTTTTCTTAAACCCGAACGTGCCAGCTGTTTTTTTGTTTTTTTGTTTTTTTGTTTTGTGACCTCAGCCAGGCTTGCGTGTTTATTCATCACATATTCTAAGCTCATATACAACTGTGACCTGATCCAGCCTTCAAGGAACTCACTCTTGATTTTAGGAATCTTTCCACCACTTCGATTTCATCTTACTCCTGAAACAGTCAGCCAGAACTGTCTAATTCAGTCTATACTTCTGATACAAAACTCTACCCAGCAACCACTATGGTTTTGTTGCTTTAGGTACGTGTTAGAAAGCACCCACATCAATTTACAGAAAATCCTTAACTGAATCTCTAGTCCCAGAGGAGTCATATTTTATTATATGGTGCTTTTTATTTAAAGAGATCGGTTTAATAGAAATTACTCAGGCATTTGAAGTGATAGCTTTAAAATGTGGGACTGGGGAAAATAAGAACACTTGACCTCTCTCCATAAAATTGAATTGTTCTTTAGGTTTAAAGTTTTGACAGACAAAGAGAAAGTGAGAGCAAGTGAGGGTGAAAATATATCCTTATTTGGTAATGAGTACCCATTAAGAGGACAGTATATTACATTTCATCTTCTTACTTCACATTCCTGTTTTAAGGATTTGTGAGCAAAGTGCTGTGAGACCTCTAGAGTTAAGAGGCTGGAGATAGGTAGTTTTGATGGTATTTTAAGGAGTGCTCCATAATGTGTAGTGTCTGAGTGCTGAAGCTTAATCAGCTTCAATTAAATCCAAAACATACTGAATAGCTCCTATGTGTCTGGCATTGAGCTGTGTGCCAAAGTGGTGGAAAGATGTAAGAGCCACTGAGGCTTAGAGATGAAAAGGATCTTGGAGCCACTGGTTTCCTGCCTGCTGGAGTTTCACCATCAAGGACCCTTTCGTTATTTTCCTTCTCCCATGCATTTTATTAAAATTTTTGGTTTAGTAAACCAAATTCACTAATGGGATGTTATTTTCATATCAAAGAGTATAATTCTGCCAATCAAGGCTTCTGATCAGCATAAAATAATTAGGTTTCATACTGAATGCACAAATTCTAGTCAAAAGCAAAGCCATTTGATGACATGTCTGCTATGTTGCCATTTGCTTTAAGAGAGGTAAAGGTAGCCTGACTTCTGTTCACTCTGTAGTACAGAATACATTGTTAACAAGTCATAGGTATGTTCTTTTAGGTTTCTAATTACTGTCAGCCTCTCATTTCAGACAGGTGATGTGATAAGGTGAAATGATTACTATATTTAGACTCAAAAGTCCTGAGTTTGAGTCCTCGTTTAACGATCTAGTCCATGAGCTTCAGTTTTCTCACCTGTTAAATGGAAATGATGATTATTTCCTGGAAATTGCATTTCCAGGTTGTTTTGAATGATAAATGATATGGTGTATATATCAGCTGTTTGCAAACCAGAAAAAGCTATTCTATGGTAAACACATGCAGTGGGCTGAATTGTGTCTCCCAAAATTCATATGTTGAAGTCCTCACCCCCAGGGCCTCAGAATGTGACTGTATTTGGATCTAGGGTCTTCAAGAGATAACTAAGTTAGAATGAGGTCATTTGGGTTGATCCTAATCCAACTGACTGATATCCTTATAAGACGACGAAATTTGGATACAGAAATACACAGAAGACAGGGAGAAGATGGCCATCTACAAGCTAAGGAGAGAGGCCTCAGAAGAAACACACCTGCCACACCTTGAATTTGGACTTCTAGCCATCAGAACTGTGGGAAAATAAATTTCTGTTGTTTAAGCCAGGAGTCCTCAACCCCCGGGCTGTGGACCTGTACCAGTCGGTGGCATGTTAAGGACTGGGCTCCACAGCAGGAGGTGAGTGGTGGGCGAGTGAGCATTACTGCCTGAGCTCCACCTCCCGTCAGATCAGCAGTGGCATTAGATTCTCATAGGAGCACAAACCCTATTGTAAACTGAGCACGCAAGGGATCTAGGTTGTGCGCTCCTTACGAGAATCTAATGCCTGATAATCTGAGATTGAACAGTTTTATCCCCAAACCATCCCCTCCACCACCCCCGTGGTCTGTGGAAAAATTGTCTTCCACAAAACTGGTCCCTGGTGCCGAAAAGGTTAGGGACCAGCGGCTCAAGCCACCCAGCCTGTGGTACTTTGTTACGGTAGCCCTGGCAAATGAATACAACACGTTTTAGACTATGATGTTACACATGCAGTGTGTTGAGAGCCAAAGAACCCAAATGATTCGTGGTATCTGCCCTTGAAGAGTTTTTAATCTTTTTGGGCATGATGAAACATACACATGGAAAATAAAATAGCATATAACCAAGTGCCCAAATCAGTAATAAATACAGTTGACTCCATAAACATTTAGGAACCTTCTATCCCATGTTTCCACATTCTATCCCAGTGGCTTTTGCCACTAAATTTCTTCACCCACTATTAGACTGATGTTTTCATCTTTCAGTATCAGACTCAAGCTTTAATCTAGAAAGAGGGGGTGGGGGGATAAATGCTATACTTTGGAACCAGTCCGGATATTTTAAGTATGTTTTTAAAAAGTATAATCCTCACAACATGAAAGTTATTAGTTCTATTTTTCAGGTGAGAAGAGTTAAGGTCAAACAGACGAAAGCTAGTTAGTGGAGGGACTGGTATTCCAAGCCCATTCTGGTTAAACTAAATCTTGTGTTCTTTCCACTAGAAAACTGCTTTTTGTCTTAATTATAATTTTGTGACAAGGATGTATAGTCCATTAAGGAATATATACAACAGAAGAAGCATTTAAGTGGACTTGAGGTTTGTGAATCTGAACTAGTTTCTATCGACTTTCACATCAGCAGCTCCTATTCTGGGGAAAGAGAATGGAGGCTGGGAGTGATCCTGACAAACCTTGATGTGCAGGCTTGTGGAGAAACTGGATTCACACCCAGGCTCGTGGAGTGTGGGAGAGGCTGGCCTGTCACAATATCAGGACAGCCTCTCTTAATAACACTGCAGAAGGAATCGAGGGCCCTGTGGTTTGCGGTCAGTGTGCCTCTTGTGCCAACTTTGGCACTACAATGTCTTCAATCACATTATCTTCCAAACCGGCTCTTCATCCTATGTCCTTATTTCTGCTAATGGTATTCATTTCTCTTATTCATGGACTCTGGGAATCTTGGTGGTATTAAAACCTGTCTCTTCTTTCCCCCTCGATCTTCCACATTCCATTTCCTTTCAGCAGAATCCCAAGCCTTCACCATTTTTCATTTTTGGTGCTGTTTCAGAGTTGCTGTGAACTTTACCTGGGTCCTCTATCACCTTACCCAGCCATTTGTCATTCTGCCTGGTAAAGGGTTGAGCAGATTTATCTATATGAATGATCTTATTTAAGCTATTCTGTACACCTTCTGCTACTTAAACAGGCTCTATGCTTCCACATCTGCTCTCTATCTGCCTATGTGACTCAAACTTCAATTGTCCATCTCAGACATCACATCCTCCATGAAGCCCTCTTGGGTTATTTGAAGTAATCTCTCTTCTGGGCTCTCATAGCATTACTGCTTGTAACTCTTTCAAAAGATGAATTTTGTGCTGTTGTTTACTTAATGAGTACAAATTTAGTGATAAATTTGAAAAACTTGTGTCCATGTTTGATAAATATGAAAATCTCATCATTTTCAATATTTCTTAGAATTTCAAAATGTACTAAATATTATTAAAAACCAATCATGGCAATTTTAACATTGAGTATTCTTTTTTGAAATATGAATGCTCCTCTCTCAAGACTGGTATACTTTCTCACTCTACTCCCTTTTCAAGTGCCCTTATCGAACTTTGCTGATGAAATCATCTTTTCTTAGTTTGTTAGACTTTGGATGGTGGAGACCTGTGCCTGCTACTTCTCTCATCTCCTGATACCTAATGCATAGTGTTCAGTAAGTATTTATTTGGTGATAACAATATCAAAAACTAGATAATGCTTAGAAGATCCAACACCTTCCAAAATCTCTGTTAACCAGGTACTGAAATATGGTCAACCAGATGAGCTGAAATGTCAAGAACTTATAGACACACATGGTTTCATGGTTGTGAAACTAGAAGATGTGGCATATTTTACACAATGGAGGGAAGAGCAAAGGTTATGCATGTGCGGAGGCAGAGCCCCTAGGCAGGTTTCCCTCTTTTCCTTCCTGTGCACTGATTTTTATTTTGGTGAACTGAAACAGGGGTCTAACAAACTGGTATCTCATTTGTCTTTATAAACAGAACTGCCAGATTGGCTTTGCAATTCAGGGCCCTGTAGGGTGCCCACCTCCTCAGTTTGGGCAGCAGCATTACATCTGAGTCTTAGAATAAAAATGGAAAGCAATGGCTCAACCCATTGGTTTGTCACCATCCACATGAAGGATCTCTATTGGTAAAAAAACAGACTCCCGTGTTCAAGGCCCTGGGGCTGGAATCAAATCCATCATTCATTTATTTCGGTTTTTTAAGGCTAAATACATAGGGAAGAAAATGAAATGTGAGAAAGCTGTGCATTTTCAATGTCATCTTGAAAGTGAGTATCTTTAGACACATAAAGTAGATGAGTGGTTAACTTGGGCTGGGAGAGGGAGTGAGGAGTGGTTGTACATGGCACAAGGTTTCTATTTAGTGTGATTGAAATGTTCTATAATTTGATTGATGATTGTACAGTTCTGTAAATAAACTAAAATGTATTGAATTGTATAATTAAAACATGCAGATTTTATATTTAAAATATACTTTGATAAAAGTGTTTTAAAAATGAATATCTCATAGGGTAGAATGAAATGAATAAGAGAAACAGTGAGGCATCCAGGGGACTTTCTGCACAGTGGGTCTGTCATTAGGCAGGTACGTTGCCACAGCCAGTTCTAATGCCCACTCATAGGCCAATGCCTAGGACAATTGCTCAGATATCGCCTCTGACAGGCAAGTGTTCCATCAGTAACAGCAGGCATCGGAAGATGATGCCATTCCCTGCTGTTAGTATGATTATATTGACTTAGGTTTTTAATTTTCTTTCTTGCTGTGTTTTTTTTTTTTCACCTTCTTAGCCTCTAAAGCATGAACATCTGTGTTTTTCAGCTGCCTTTTCAGAAGGCAATAAAAAGGGTTTGTTCGATTTCTCTCTTCTGGATCTTCTGGATTATCAGCGCTCCTTACTGGCTTAACCAAACACAAACATGAAACAACTTGGAAAGGATCACAAAATAAAAGATTGCAGTGTGTCTGCTGTGGACTGAACCGTATCCTCCCTCAACCCCCAAATTCATACATTGAAGCCCTAACCCCCAATGTGATTGTATCTGGAGATAGGGTCTTCAGGAGATAATTAAACTCAAATGAGTTCTTAAGGGTGAGGCCCTAATCCAATAGGACTGTGACCTTATAAGGAGAAGAAAAGAGATCATCCCCCTCCCACCACCACTGTGGGAGGACACAGCAAGAAGGCAGAGAGCCCTACGGAACCTAGCGGACAGCTATACATTGATCTTGGACTTGCCTACTTCCAGAACTTTGAAATATAAATTGTTGTGTAAGACACCCAGTCTGTGGTATTTTATGATGGCAGCCCAAGTGAGTACAGTGTCCTTCCAGAAAAAGAACTATGTCCCTAAGTTGAGGGTATTCACTTCTCCATAATAATAGATGCTCTGAAACATTCATGCCAGTTTGCTCCTGTTGCAGAAATAAGGACAGGATTGTTTTCTTTTTGTTTTGTAATGCCTCCCCAACTAATTTCCCTTAGGCTCTTCTCATTCATATAATCTCTCAAGCCAGACTGGGTAGAGTCATCCTTGTCTCTGTATATGTCATCCAAGTTATCTTTTCTCTATACCTCAGTCAGTCACTAGATGTGATTTGATTTTACTTCCTATATGATCCTTTTATCTGTTCTCTCATCTCATTTTTTATCCCCCATGCTTTTGTTCATTTCAACATCATCTCTCATATGAGTTATTATAATTACCTCCAAAATCTACTTTGGTGATACCTTTGCCTGTCAATAACTTCCGGTTACCTCCAGAAATACAACCTACTTCAATGTCTCTCATGCTCTGTATTAGTCCGTTTTCACACTGCTATGAAGAACTGCCTGAGACTGAGTAATGTATAAAGAAAAGAGGTTTAATTGACTCACAGTTTTGCTTGGCTGGGGAGACCTCAGGAAACTTACAATCATGGTGGAAGGGGCAGCAGGCACGTCTTACATGGCAGCAGGTGAGAGAGAGGGGATGTGTGGGGGAACCACCACTTATAAAACCATCAGATCTCATGAGAACTCACTCACTATCACAAGAAAAGCATGGGGGAAACAGCCTCCATGATCCAATCACCTCTCACCCGGTCCCTCCCCTGACATGTGGGGATTACAATTCAGATTACAATTCAAGATGAGATTGGGGTGGGGACACAGCCAAATCATATCACATTCCAATCCCTTGCTATGTCTTCAGACCTAATTC
This sequence comes from Homo sapiens, assembly GCF_000001405.40. Classification (NCBI taxonomy): domain Eukaryota; kingdom Metazoa; phylum Chordata; class Mammalia; order Primates; family Hominidae; genus Homo; species Homo sapiens. Next base: position 22,207,816 of record NC_000006.12, read on the forward strand.
TACTCATTGCTCTTATATTAATCTCCATTACTGCTGTACTTCTTGCAGGATATGAGCATAGCATATGGCTTCATTCCTATGTGTCTTTGACAGGTCTTTTTTCTTCCTGAAATGTCTTCACTCCTGTATGTCCTCATCCATTTTTCTGTACAGCTTAAGTGGTATTTATGGCCAGGGTGAATTTATATTTTAAACTGGGATACTTTTGAGAGTAAAAGTAAGCACTTGTTAATTATTACTCCAGAACCACAGATGTAAACTGAAATTATTTTAGGTAAATAGTAACAAATGTTATCCTAATCTCAGCTAAAATTTTATACTCTGCCTACTTTAGAAATCTATAACACAATCAGTAACACATCATAACTCCCCTTTTGTTTCGACATGGTCATGGTCATTTGCAAATAGCAGCTGAGAGGCTGACAAGCTGTGCAGAACTCTAGCAGACTTACAGGGCTGAGGAGATTAAAATTAAATTTCTGGGACTTCCAATATAAAGGGACCTGGAAAGACCCCAGGTTTTTGTCTGGAGCCTCAAAAAAGTTGCACAATAGAAAGAGAAGTGAAAAGAAAATAGAAGAGCATCTATAACAACTCCAACCCAGATTCAAACAGCAAAATACCCCATCAAACGAAAGTGATTTGCTTTAACTTAATTGAATATCTGAAGCAAAATTAAACCCAAATCTCAGAAAATATCATCTGGAGCCTCAAATTATCTCTCCAGTTTGTTTTTATTACAATGCCTTGCATGTAATAAAAAATAATTAGGCACACCAGAGGACTAAATAGATTGAACACAAATAAGGAGAAATAATAAAAAATAATAAAAGTAATCCCACAAGTCATCCAGATATTGCAGTTATCAGATGTGGACTGATTAACATGTTTAAGAAATTATGTGCTAAAATGAAGGATAATAGCAAACAACTGAAAAATATTAAAAAACTGAAATCAAGATCAGAATATAGGGGTTTAATAGCCAATTAGACATAGCTTAACAGACAACTGGGATTATAGGTCTGTTTCTGTTCCTTTTCTCTGAAAGTAAAAAAAAAAAAATACTAAGACTGGAAAATGATACAAATTTGTAAAAGAAGAAATATATGAAAAACAGTGAATTGGTCTAATATATATGTAAGTAAAATCTTAGAAGCGGAGAAAGGAAATGGCACCAAAACAATGTTAGAAAAGATGTTTAAGAATTAGCAAAAACTGATGAAACACATCTAAACACAAATTTAAAAAGCCTTACCAACCCAATGTAGAAAAAACAGAAAACCAAAATAAGGCACACCGTAATACAATACGCAAAACAAAGGACAAAAAGAAAATCTTAAAAGTATTCAGAGAGGATTTCTTGTTTCAGCCAAAAATGAGTACCTTGTATCACATTAACACTTTTGCCAAGCACAGTGAAAAGCTAGATAAATTTTAAAAAAAGAAGGTCAAAGCCATTGGAGTATAACTAATGCAGGAAGGATGTAAGGTGCCACAATTACCAATGGAAGGGTAGCACATTAAGATGAGCTTCACAGTCACACTGACATTTTCCTCAAGGGCATTTTTCAGATCATGGCGTTGGGGGAATAGTATCTGAGCAGAAGACAATAGTATCATTGACTTAAGAAGACAGAGGTTGTAACTTGGGGCTGTCAAAGTTGCTAGGACATGAAGGCCAATATCTAGAGAGGAAAAAACTGTAATAAAATGAGGTCAAATGTTGCTATATCTATGTTGCACATGTACAAAATAAAAAAAATCATGCTGAAAGCAGCAAAGATTTGAGCAGTTGTGACTGTTAGGGGGATAAATATTGGAGTTTCGAGTCAGCTAAAGCGGACGGACCCTGGTAACTACCTCAGACTTCTGTCTGAGAATTGGGAAATGCCACATCTTAGGAGAAAGGTCTATACCAAAGGGTAAGGGAAAAACCTATCTATAAACGTAGAACAAACCTATCACAGGATCAGGGTGATGTGCCTATATTCTGTCTGCCACAGAAAAATTTTCTCTTTTCAGATGAAGGGGTCATTATCCAGAGCCTCAAAATTTTTTATTCATAGGTCTATTACCAAAACTTTTTAAATTGAGGCATACTATATAGTACAACCCAGGCCAGGCGTGGTGGTTCACAACTGTAATCCCAGCACTTTGGGAGGCCGAGGCAGGCAGATCATTTGAGCTAAGGAGTTTGAGACCAGCCTGGCCAACATGGTGAAGTCCCATCTCTACTAAGAATATAAAAATTAGCCAGCGTAGTAGTGTGTGCCTGTAATCCCAGCTACTCGGGAGGCTGAGGCAGGAGAATGGCTTGAACCCAGAGGTGGAGGTTGCAGTGAGCCAAGATCACGCCACTGCACTCTAGCCTGGGTGACAGAGCAAGACTCCATCTCAAAAAAAAAAAAAAAAAGAGAAACTGCCTGTAATGTGATTCAGATACTGAAGTCATCAGAGTCTTCAAAATAATTTTGAATAGTATATTCGAGAAAATAACATGAAAAATGGATCTTTTCAGCAGAGACATGAAATCTGTAAGAAGGAATCAAATTGAATTTTGGAACTGAAACATACATTATCTGAAATTAACAATTTAGTAGATTGTTTCTATTAATTATGCAAAGGAAAACAGGATTAATAAACAGGAAGACAAGTCAATATAAAATGACCATATTGAAGCACTGAGAGGAGATATGGAAAATATCTAAAGAGTCATATGAAACAAAAATAATATGTAAATAGATACTGACCAAGAATTTTCAAACTTATCAAAAGTGTTCAAGATACTCCATGAATTCCAAGCAAGAGTATCGGCACCTAGGAGAAACTACATCTAGGCACTTCATAGTCAAATTGATTCTTTTTAAAAGTCAAAGAGGAAATTTTAAAAATACTGGAGTAAAAAGTTACATTAAAGGAAGCAACAGTGATACTGATGAATCCCTTTTCCACAGAAATGAAGTGAGTCTGATCGTTGTAGTATAAAATCTTTGAATTATGGAAAGAGATTATGTGCCAACCCATAACTCAATATCCAGGGAAAATATACTTCAAATGTGAAAGCAAAATGAAAACACATTCAGACAAAAGGTGAGAACTTTTCACCATCACAAATTCTATATTCTTCATATAGTAGAATATTGATCTGGAGGAAGCACAGAGATGCAGAAAGGAAAGGAGAGCGTAAACATATGAATGATAAAAACAAAATTGATTAATCCAAAATAAGGCCAGAAAGGTAAATAATGGAACAGATAATAAATAAAAACAAATGGCAAAAAGGTAGATTTAACCAAATGTATTAGTAATGAAATATGAATGGATTAAATTCTCCAATGATAAGACAAAGATTGAGAGATTAGAATAAAACAATAAAAACTGGACATGCTGTTTACAAGGAAAAAATTTCCCTCTGTTTATTAAGGCCAATGAAAACTAATTTTAGACTGATTTTATTTTTAAAAGTTTTGATGCTGTCTGAAAAAAATTAATCATTCAATATATTTAAATATCTGACAATGTTGCAAATATCCAGTTCTTACATATTTTTACTCTAGTCAATCTTACATATGGCTAAAGTAAAATCTGTTTAAATCAGGGATTCTTAATATGTTGTTAAAACTAATTAACAGATGTATATAACTATTTCATCTTATAGCTGTATTCTGGTTTCTCAGTAAATAGACTGAGTTAGCTTTGTTGCAGTAACAAAAAAGAAATTCCCTGATAAACCCCAGTTCTGCTGTCTGAGAGCTCAGTTCACTGGTTTCTACAGCTCTTGGTTTTATTTTCTGGGGTGTTCTTCCTGTTCCACTGTTGTTCTTGAATATCTGAAGGGAACATTGGAGAATATGTCCTTTTTAGGTACTAAGCAGATTTATTAATATAGTAACTCATAGTAGAAATTCTGGGCCCCCCAAATTCTTTTAACTCTTAATTTGTCATAATGTCTCTTACTCTTGGTTGGTGAAACTTTTGCCAGTACAGTCAGTCCTCTGGATCTGTGCACTGTACATCTGTAGATTCAACCAACCACTGATCAAAAATATTTTTTAAGTGTCTATACTGAACATGTAGACTTTTTTTGTAATTATTGCCAAAACAATACAGTAGAACAACCATCAAAACAGCATTTATACTATATTGTTAATAGACATTATAAGCAATCTAGACATGATTTGAAGCATATGGGAGGAGGATGTGCATAGGTTGTATGCAAATACTATGACATTTTATGTAAATAATTGAGCAGCTCAGATTTTGGTATCTGGAAGGAGTGCTAGAACAATCCCTTATGGATACTGAGAGATGACTGTACGATCTGTCAAACTTTTGTGTCCAAACAGTTCTATGTGCCAAAAGCTATACCCACAATTCTTTTTGAGATACTCCTCTCTCTCTAGATTTATCTTGAGTTTACTGGCCTCCTGGATGAGCCATGTGTACATTCTCTTTATCCTAAGCATTTTTCCCCCAATAAAAGATTTTCTATGGGCAATTTTGAACCATTCACAGTGTTTAACTAAGGAGGTGATGATCATACAAAAGATTTCGTTGTTTTCTTGAGATATAGTATAAGTTTTGTTGCCCAAGCAGTTAATTTTTTCTCTCACTGGTTATAGATAAAAAAATTAACTGCATCTTCCAGTTCTGCTAGAACTGAAGTTTCTAGATTCCCTCTATATACTTTCATCCCAGGATCATCTCCATACTTTCATCAAAATTCTATTGAGCTTCTCTTACTCTTGTAATACCTAATCAAAGACAGCTAAAAATAACAACCCAGGCACCCCAGCAAAATTCTTACATTGCAATCTCTTTGTCTAAAACCACAAGTTCAACAGGTATATTTGCTCACTTCCATGATATCACAGATGACATTTAACCCAAATATGACATCACTGCGTAATATAGATCATCATTCTTCTCATCTTCCAATAATATTTTCCCCATTACCTACCACCTGGCTCTGAGGCCAGTAGCTCATATTTTATGTCTTTTTGAAGTCATCACCCTACTTCTGGTACCAACTTCTGTGTGCTGGTTCAGATTTCTGTGTTTTCTTAGATTTGCTTCAGTAGCAGCAATCATAAAATCCCATTAATTTACAATAACAAAATTTATTTTTTGTTCTCATTACATTTGGGAAGCTAGCAGATTGGTAGCTGCAGCTCTGCTCCCCAGGTCGTCTCAATTTAGTTTCCCAATTCCCTCCCCAACATATATTGCAGGTATCATAGAAACTGATATGGGCTGGTTTGCAGCATACAGAAAGACCAAGCAAAAAGGGGTAAAGATCTACAGGGGTCAGCCTGGGAACAGTGCTCCAAGAGGTTTGAATCTATCTAAGCACATCTTTCCTCCCACATTCCAGGCTCATCACTTCCTCCTATTTCAATGTGGCTAATCCATACACAGATATTTAGACAGCTCCACATATTCTTGTCCAGCTGTATTGAATGAGACATTTCCCATAAGCTAAGCCCCAGCTCAAATTCTGTATAGGAAGCTCCCGATGCTGTCCCAGAACTCACAGGCCAATGTGCTCTACTTTGTTGCTGAAGTTTGGTCACCTGGTTCCCTTAACTTCAACTCCTCCAGCTCCTCATCATTTGGCAATCCATTGCTGACAGTCGTTCTGGGCTTCCCAATCACTGCTGGAGTACTTCAGCCCTTTATGCCTAAGGCTGCAGCGACAGGCATAAAGCTCTCCTCCAGGCCCTGGATTCCATTTTTCCTTCCCTTCTGTAACCTCGCAGTGTATGTACTGTGAGTTTTCGACACTCTCAGTTTAAAGCCATGCTCTGACTCTGGCCTTTCGATGAGGCATCATCCTCTCGCTTCAGCAAAGAGCCTGATACAGAGTGCCCTGCAGAGAATAGTTTCAAGATGTCTCCAGAGCCCTGGAGCTGCCTGAGTGAGAGGGCAACCCAGCTGTCTTAAGGACTTTTTTTTTTTTTTTTTTCCAAATCAGGATCTTACTACCTGGCCCAGATGGGAGTGTAGGGGCATGATCATAGTTCACTGCAGCCTCAACCTCCTGGGCTCATGCAATCCTCCTGCCTCAGCCTCCTGAGTAGCTAGCACTAAAGGAGTGCACAACCAAGTCCAGCTAATTTCTAAAACCATCAAGGTCCTGCTATAGTGCTCATGGTCCCACTACATTGCTGGTCTGGAACTCCTGGTCTGATGCAATCCTCCCCCTCCACTTCCCAAAGTGCTGGGATTATAGGCAGGAGCCACTGTGTCCAACCTCATAAGGACTTTTTGATCCAGCTTCAGTTTCTGCTCCAATGTTGGTACAACCCTGCTTTTGAAAACCCTTTGGATCACATTGGTGCTGCATCAAAGCCTTCAGCCAACCTGGGAACTGACCAGGATGCTACAAATTCCTTATGTAAATACCAGATCTGCTTTATGGACAGGGCACCTGGCGCCTCCATTTACCTCCAAATTTGTTGATATCAGATTGCATTTTTCTGTCATTTCAGGGCACCGAGGAAGAGAACCAATGGCAGAGGCCACATGTGCAAGCAAGATGGGAGTCTGGAGAGCCTCAGGCTAAATCACGAGTGCTCAGCCCTCTCCTCTTTGTAAGGGCAACCGGGTCATATCTGCCAGCATAGAACTGCTCTGTCCACAGCCCTAAAATCTAATACCTAGAACAATAAATGCACTTAAGCACGTCAAACTCTCTCAACCAGTGATGAAATCTGTCACTAGCGAAGGGACTTGTCCCAAGGGAGCTGAACACCTGCCGCTGCACCCTGACAATGTATAAGAAACAAGCACCACTGTGGATGCAGCCCCAGAGGCCTAGTGTCATGGGGGTGCAAGGCCCTGCTTCAGGCTGGGGGCCTGGGGAGGGGCTGGTACCTCTCTACCTCCTGCAGCTCCTGTTCCTCTGGCTCCTGGTGAAAATCTGGGTCTGAACCCATAGCAAGTGAGGGCCACAAGGCTTCACCTTCTGAGATGCAGCTAGAAGAAACAGCTGGTATAATATATGGTCATGCACTACCTAACTACGTTTCCTCAACATGGGACTGCATATATGACAATGGTCTGTCCCGTGAGATTATAATAAAGCTGAAAAATTTCTATCACCCAGTCATATCATAGCCATAGTAATGTCAAGGCCCAAGGTATTGTGTGTCTGTGGTGATGCCGGTGTAAACAAACTTGCCACACTGCCAGTCATATGAATAGAGCACAAACAATTATGTAATATATAGTACTTGATCAAAATACACAACTATATTTCTGGTTTATGTATTTACTATACTATACTTTTAATCATTATTTTAGAGTGTACTCCTTCTGCATCTATGTGTCAACTGCAAAACAACCTCAGGCAGGTCCTTCAGGAGGTATTCCAGAGGAAGGCAATGTAATCACAGATGACAGCTCTATGCAGGTTATCACCCCTGAAGACCTTCTACTGGGACAAGATGTGGAGGTAGAAGACAGTAATATTGATGATCCTGACCCTGTGTAAGCCTAGGCTAATGCATATGTGTGCTGTGTCTTAGTTTTTACCAAAAAGTTTAAAAAGTAAAATAAAAATAGGAAATAGCTTATGGAATAAGGATATAAAGAAACCATTTTTGTACAGCTGTACATGTGTTTGTGTTTTCAGCTGTGTTATTACAAAAAGGTCAAACTTTAAAAATAAACAAGTTTATAAAGTAAAAAGATTTCAGTAAAGTACAGTAAGGTTAATTTATGGTTGAAGAAAAACATTTTAAAAATAAATTTAGTGTAGCCTAAGTGTCCAGTGTTTCTAAAGTCTACAGTAGCGTGCAGTCATGTCCTAGGCCTTCACGTTCACTCACCACTCACTCACTGACTCACCCAGAGCAAATTCCTGTCCTGCAAGCTCCATTCATGGTAAGTGCCCTACACAGGTGTACCATTTTAACCTTTTACATCATATTTTTATTGTACTTTAAACATATCTACATTTACATGTTTAGATACATAGGTGTTTACCATTGTGCTACAATTGCCTATGGTATTCAGTACAGTAACACGCTGTACAGGTTTGTAGCCTAGGAGTGATAGCCTATACCATACAGACTAGGTGTGGTAGGTTGTACCATCTAGGTTTAAGTAAGTATACTCTATGATGTTCCCACAACAACAGAATTGCTGAATGAAGCATTTCTCAGAATATATCCCCATGGTTAAGCAACCAATGAGTGTATTTTCTGTCTACCTTTCACCTCCATAATATATATATTTTTCTACATTTCTCATGGTAGAGGGAAAGAGCAACAGGACTTCCAGAAAAAAAACTAATGTGTCTTCAGACTTCTGCTTGTATGTGGCTCATGTTATATCTGAGCGTATGCTACTGGACAAAGTGAGTCACATAGCCAAGGCTTACAATGGGATGGGGAAGCATACTTCATTTCTGTGAAGGCACTCTAAGTCACATGGCATCAGTGGGGTCATCTTGTTCTTTTATAGTGAAGAGGGGAGTAAATAATAGAGGACAATAATACAGTCCACCAAAGATACTGAGGCCAATTATATCCAAAAAGCAAGATCAGTTTGGTGGAATGACTTACTAATGCACTGAGATGCCCATATGCCCATATTCCCTGCCAAACAGTCTAAATGGAAAACTAGAATCCTAATTAAAATGAGAAAAGGCGTGTCACAAAGCTTCCTTTATTGTAGAGCAGTTGAGTTGTGATGTTCGTTACTAGATTTTTTTTATTAGCCTGTTGTTAGTTGTATGTATGCCTTCTATTTATTAAGCACTTATTATGAGCCAAGCATAGTAGTAAACCTTTTTCTGACCTTATTTAAACCTATCAACAGTCTCAAGTTGGAACTAGGTCTCTTTCCATTTACAGATAAAAATATTAAAGGACAGAATAACTAAGCAACTTGCCCAAAGTCACAGGTCCCTGCTCTTATCTGCTATATTTTCTTTCTCTATTTTTCTTTTTCGTGTAATACAGAAAGCCCATGATCATCCTGATGCCTCCTCTGTGTGGATATCGCAGGAATGGCAACTTACGACCTTATGAAGTAGTTTATTCTAATTTAGGGTAGCTCAAATTACTAGAACAAATATTTAATGGGCCTTTAATCTTCTACCCCTAAAATTTTTTCCAGTTGGTTCTAGTTTTATCTTATGGAGCTAAATGTATGGAAAATGATTCAAAGAACCTTCCTTCAAGTAGTAGAAATCATCTTCTAGATTTTATCTTTCCCAATCTAAAAATACATTGTTGTTTCAACAATTCCATGAATAACATGGATTGTGGATTTTTATCATCCTGGTTACTTTTCTCTTGGACTGCCAAACATTTAAGTGCGGAACAAGAACTGTCTGCAATAAAACATAATGAATGTTTATGCTAAATTTTTAAGCATCGACAGCTTCTATTCAACTGATGTATCTCAGAACACAAAAGAGTACTTGCTGTTTCGGGAAATTTGGTTCCTGTCTCCTTCTCTGATCTGAATTGTTATGTTGATAAATTTGCCATATTCTGCTGAAGAACAAATTCTGGCATCTTCACTGAGGAATCAGTGTCTGCCTCTAATACTTCTTTCTGTGAAATCCTGACCTGAAGTCTCCTCTATCATCCCAAAGATTTAAAAAAGATTAAAGGTGAGGCATGGGTTTCTCTGGCCTGCTTTGGTAAATTTATGTGCTCACATAACTCATTAATTGTTTAGGTTTAATTCAAGACAAATACCTGCACGTTTATGTTTGACACTAGTATTTATCAAATCCCAAAGCTGATCTGAACCCTAAACAAACCATATTCTTGGCAGCTCCTCCAAATAACACACATAGCAAATATATTGACATCAGTTGTACTTTAAAATGTCAACTCTGCTTTTCCTTTTCTCATGGTGCTAATAAAAGATTTTATTTAAAAACGCTAAACTTGGGAATGAATGCCAAATTCCTCTCTTACCATTCAGTAGGTCTTTTCCTGTTTTAGGTGTAGGCTATGGATTATTTCATTTGACCTTCTTGCTGTTTACCTGGTTATAATATGTGAAAATACAAAATTTAAAGTCTCCATTATGCTATGGGAACGTAAAACTTTTTTATTTTTTAAGAGAATCTGTAAATATGTACATTTCAGAGCTACCACAACTAGAATTATCTTTACTGTTAATTAATTAATCAAAAATATGGTGGACATTATTAACAATAAGCCCTGAAGCAACATTTTTGGAAATGACCTAAAAGAATTGCTGGACTGTCATTCAAAGTTCAATAAAAATGCCTTATAGGAACTTTTCTCTTGGACTAACACGTCATGATGGAGTTGAACAAGCAGTAGATTAACATCTGAACACCAATTTTAAATTACAGTGTTGTGTGATATTAATAGAGTGATTGTAATTAAGTAACTAGGCCTCCTTTGATCTTGTTTGCCTTATCTGTTAAATAATCTACTCTTACCATCACCATCACTAATGATAAAAACATTTAAAATATTGCTACTTGTGCTAGGCAGAATCATGGCCTCAAAGATGTCTATGACTTAGTCTCTGGAACCTGTAACTATGTTAGCTCACATGGTACAACGGACTTTTCAGAGGTGATTAAATTAAAAATCTTGACATGGGGAGATTATCCAGGATTGCCTGGGAGAATGGGCATTGTAATCACTTGGGTTCTTAAAAGTGAAAGAGGGAGGGAGGGAGGGAGGGAGGGAGGGAGGGAGGGGATATGAGAATAGAAGCAGAGTCAGAGTGATGCAGCTTAAGAAACACCTGACTGTATATTGCTGCCTGGCTTCGAAGGTGGAAGGGACCATGAGCTAAGGAATGGAGGTGGCGTCTAGAAGCTGGAAGAGGCAAGCACACAGATTCTCCCCTAGAGCCTCTGGAAGGAAGGCACACCTGCCAACACCTTGATTTTAGTCCAGTGAGACCTGTTTTGGACTTCGACTTCTGACAATGTAATACAATCAATTTGTGTTGTTTTAAGCCACTAAGTTTGTGGTAATTTGTTGTTGCAGTAATAAGAAACGAATACACTACTTCATTAGATTACTGTAATGATTCCAAAATTTAATAGATTATGAGAAAGCACTTTGTAAACTGAAGTACGATAGAAATGTTAATTATTATTGATAAAATTAAAGTAGGTTCTAACAACTCTAATTAGAAGGATGAGGTCTGTTTCAAATAAAATCCAGATTAGAGATGGGCTAGTGAGTCTTTGCCATTTTCATAAACTTTCATAGGGATCCTCCCCAAAATGAATTAACAGAACTATTAAAAGCAACCCCTCTGGGACCAATCTGAAATTAATTTTTCAGCTTTATCGCTGAAACATTCTCTAAACCATAAATTAATAGGAAGCAATAATTCTCCCCTGAGCAGAGCAAATGCTTAAGTTGCAGGTCCACTGGTATAGCACACAAGCGGCCTGAGGATAAATCCATCTTTGGTGGTGGAAAATTCTTAAGTCAAAGAAAAATATATTATATGTCATAGCCCACTGTAGTGTAATTCTAATGGTAAGTTATTTTTCAGTTTTGTAGCCTGCATACATATATAGAGGAAACATCTTCCAGCTCAAGAAAGAACTCTGTTCTCGCCTTCTCCCTTCTAATCTCAGTCACTAGTTGTTACCATTAATTAACCCTCATGAGAAAAACCTGATGACATCGTTTATTGGCAACAGACTATAATGATATTCCAATTGAAACAAATTAATAGGGGTGATCCCTTTTTAGCCAGCAGTTTCCTATTTTTTGTACCTGAAAACTATTTTGTATTCAGGAACAATAATATTTAAAATTTAAGTCAACTGATATGTTTGTTTTAAGCTATTTACTTATTTAGCATTGTGTAGAAAATTAATTGGCTAAAAATCTTCACTGTTATTCTAGATATCTTGTTATCAAAAGGAACACTTCTGTATTCTCAAAATTATTAGTTTGTCCTTGCAGTGATTTTCAAAAGCATATCGATGGTTGAAATTAAAACTAATTTGTCTATTACAGACATGACCTTGGTTTCAAACAGGTTCTGATAAATCTAGCCAGTGCAGCACAAACGGGAAAAAAAAAAGACATTGGAAAGAACATGGCTTAGCTACTGAACATTGTAGGGACACTGAGTCTATAATTTCACTCTGGACCTTGAATGAAAACATGTTTCATTTAAATTTATTGCTACACAAAATTATTTTAATCTGGCAATTACGTAACAAAAAACTCCAGGGGAAATTTGAGCCACTAGACTTCTGGTAGTTGTAGTCGTTTACAAAAAGAGAGGACTGGAATGATACTAGGGTGAACGTGCAGTTCTGCCTCCAGGACTTAAAGGATGCCAGGGGAATATGGATTTTATTTATAAGGAATTCTCCTTGGGCCCAAACCTAAAACAGTCGGGTGTGGCATGCATTTTAGCAGCACGATGCGAACAGAAAATGAACAGAATTTTGGTTTGCTTTGGTGTATTTAGTTTTTTGGACTTTGTCCAATAAAACTAAATGATTTTTTTTTTTTTTGCATTTGTAACTCTTGTCCTAAACTGCAACAGCTTTTGCAAAAAGTAGATTGGCACCTACAGTTGACTTGCCAGTGGAAGTTCTTGGACACCTTTCTACAAGAATGCAGTCCCCTCTGACCATTGGATTCATCTTACTCTACCCTAGGGGGCCTAGGAAACTTCAGGCTTTCCAGTGCCTAGACGGAGCATCCCTGCTTCCTAGTATCAGCTTCCTTCACTGTGTAGCTGCCTTAGAACCAAGCTAAGCACAGGAATGCCTCTGCGGAGGCAGCCTTGCGTGGCACCAGGGAATGTTGCTTTGTTTATTCATACTCCATCTCCTAAATTTTTTTTTTTCCCCAGACAGGGTCTCAGCGCAATCAAGGCTCGCTACAGCCTCAACCTCCTGGGCTCAAGCAATCCTCCCGCCTCAATCACCCAAGTAGCTGGAACTACAGGCATGCGCCACCACATCCGGCTTTTTTTTTTTTTTTTTTTTTTTTTGGTAGAGATGGGGTCTTTCTGTGTTGCCTAGGCTGATCGCAAGCTCCTGGGCTCAAGTGATCCTCCCATCTTGGCTCCCAGACTGCTAGGATTACAGGCACGAGACACTGTGCCCAGGCCCAAATTCTGTACTTCTCCCAGCTATTGTGAAGCCTCCGACATGGTCTGTTCTGATTCTGTCACCTTTCTCTTCCTTCTCAAGCCCCAGTAGGGGCCTTGCCTCTCCAGCGTACCCTGCTTTTGGAGATCTTGCCTCCATGTTTCCATTATTGATGGAGGGACCGTGGCAGGACTTTGCTTTCCAATGTCACTATTATGTCAGCAGGCTAGCCCTGAACCCCACACAGTAAGACCCCTTATGTGAGGGTTTTACACCTACTTGATCTTATTCCTCTTTCCAGGTGAGCACCACACACTGACCTAGCTAGGCTCAGGGTAAGGTAGCTCTTGCTCATTTTGGCCAGGTATTTAATTACGTGACATTCACAGTGTGCCTTTCTACTTATCTTTTTATCCTTTTCAGTTCAAGAAACGTGGCTATACCAACTTGCCACAGTGCCCATCCCACTTTGTAGAAGACTTTGATATCTGACTCACAGAGAAACTCCTGCCAGGAGTTTATATTGTGTGCAGCTGATTCAGGCAGTAACTTCCACTCAGCGAGGGGGTCCATTTACAAAAAATTACTTCTCTTCCTTTTATGCCCAGTATGGTTCTTAAAATCAACCAGACCTATCTTTCACCAGCACGACTTGGTTCTTTTAAACCACAGTATTTCTGCTTCTTCTAGTTGGAAAACTTTAATATGAGATTGAAGATATGATTTGCTTTCTGGATTGTTGTATGCTACTAAAACCGAAGAAAGAGAAGGAAAAATGGATGAATCGACGGACCATATCACCCTGGCACCTATATCAGCTCAAAAACTGAAGGAAATACCCCTTTCCTGCCCTCTCTTTGACTAATGCTATAGACTCTGAGTCAGTAGTTCCTGGTGGGACCTGAGAGTCCACATTCCTGATGAGCTCCAGGTGTTCCCATGCTGCTGCCCCTCTGACCACACTTAGAATAAGAAGGCTTGAAATGAAATCTGAGAAATCAGCCTCTTGATTCCAATTTTAAACATGCAATTGATTCTTGTAATTTTTCATTCTTGTCAAAATGCATACCAGTAAGTTTGTAATCAGTATTGGCATGCTTAAAAGAATTTAAGACTTGTTATATTTGTCATTTTAATTTATTTAAACTTTAAAGATTTGTTCAGAACTTGGAAAGATTTTGCTTAAGCTCATAAATTTACCCACTCAGGCATATGAGATAGGGTACTTTGATTTATAAATGAAGTTTAAAATTAAGGGAATTTAATTAAGTTTTCAAAATGAGATTGGTTGTTTTAAGGGGAATTTACTTTGTGTAACTTGAGTTCATCAAACGCTAATCCAAGTTCCCTGCAAAACCTGTTCTGTTTTATATAACATTTACTCGTTTTAGAAATAGATGAGATTTGCAAATTGAACCTAAAGACTTAAGGCAAATTATGTATCTTTTTATACTTTAATAAAGAAAAATAAAATAAATTTGAAACACAAATAACTCTAACTGGCCCTTTTTATGTAAAAAGAAGTCCTTGAATAAAATTTACCTTGACAGCACTAGCAATTCCGCAACTCTGGCGTGTGTCTTTGAAAATGTCTTATTTCCTCTGCGTTGCCCAGCCTCCTCTCTTGATGGTTCTGCTGGGGGTGGTGGGGAGCGGTTGGAGCGGGGGAACACACATCTGGGAATACTTTTCTACCTCATTCAGGGCATCTAGCTGACTCCTTAGTGGGCGGGCTTCCTAATGGATTCCTGGGGCTTCTGCACAGTCTTTTTCTACTGGTAAATCTGAACTCCTCCCCCAGCTAGTGTCTTGCTCCTCCTCTTCCCTTCCTCCCTCCTCCTTTCCCCACCCCCATTCCCCTATCCTCACAGCTTTCCCCGCAAACTCTTCAGTCTTTTAAATCTCTTACACCTGTCTCCTGCCTCCCACCATGCCCCTTGCAGGCACCTACTTCCTTTTGTCCTTAGTTCTTTGGTCCAGTTTCAGTTCCATCTGGTATTCCATGGTGGAGACAGCAGGAGATTTAGATTCATGAGGTTTTAAGAATGGGATTAAGAAAGACGAAACATCTATAAGACAAATAAGAATTTAAGTAAATCCTTTATTGAACTAAAAACATTCTTTGACTCGTTTTTGTGAATTAAGTTGCGTTACAAAAACAATCTCCTTCCGTTATCCTAACTTGAATATTGGCCTAGCCTCCAAATAGAGGAGCAGAAGTACAGCCCTTGGAAAACAGATTGGGTGGGGTATGTAATCCTGCAGCCTCTAAAGAGAGCACTTCCATCTGGCATTCCAATAGAGTAAATCAGAATTTTCCTTGCCTTTTATTTCTGCATGTCAGTTTCTTCATTCTCCAACCTGTCCCTCCCTCCCTCTCAAGAAAATGAGCTCTACGCTAAGCCCTACCCAAAGCCAACCAAGCCATTTTCTCCTTATTTTCCTCTGTTTCCTTCTCCTTGAAACCATAGTAGAGGCCCCCATCTAATCTCCAGGTGACCATACTCTGTAATCAACATGCTTGCTGAAGCCTGAGATCTGGGATGCTCATCAAGTGGAGGCCCTTCTTCCCACCTCTCCTCCTGTGCTTAACTCCCTGGTTTCCTGGTTTGCCTTTCAATTTCCTGCTGGAATCAGACCCTTGTCCTGGACCTCACAATGATTAGCAGCTTGTTTGGCCTTTGAAAGGCCCAGCGCCAGGTTAATAAACCACGACTTAGAAAGAAATCCCAATAGCTGGATACTCCACATCTGCTTCCAACTAATTAGCCTCTTAGATTGGAGACATACGATCTGCCTGCATGGTAAGGGGAGATTTCTGGTCTTGTGTTACCAGCACCTGGAGGGTACCTTCTGGATGTACATATCAGCCCTGATTGAAACCCAAGGTCCCTCATCTCCTTGAACTTTATTATTTCAACTGCTGGTTTTACTCTTGAGAGTAAGCCCTGCCACCTGGTTAGTTTCCCCAGCTCTTGACCCTTCCATTCCCCACTGTCATTACTCTTCCTGCGGCCCTGCTTGAGCTCCAAGTGTGCAGAGAGGTCACATGAGTTATTGCCTTGCATATCCGCAGTTCAATTGTAATCGATGTTCATAGGAATGTCCCTAAGTCACCATAGGAGCTAAAGGTGCCTTCTAAATCATCAAGGAAAGAATAAATTATGTTTAGTAAGGTTTTATTATTCCCATATTTTCATTCTTTAAAGCCTGGTAATCCACTAAGGAAATATGGCTAACTCTGTATTAATCAGATTCATCAACAGCCCATTTCTGAGTAGCTTAAGATTTAATGCCTTTGGAAAGATCTAGATGATTGAATGTTTCATTAATATCCAGATATTTGATGTCATGTACACACATTTCAGACAGTTTAGTATAAAGAGAAGGTCATTTCTAGCAGATGAGCCCGCAGTGCCTTGGCTTCTTATGCCAACAGTCTCCACTACCTGCTAATTGTTTTGTTGCAGTCTCATCTAACCTTCTGGGTGAATTCCCTTCATTCTTTGAGAATTTAGCACCCAGTTCACCATCTTTCCCTCATGTGTTACTCCTTGATAACTCTTAAGGAGAAATTGTGGCAGCCAGACACACTCCCCATGTTACTGGACATGGTACAGGTAGTGAGGGCTGTATGACTGGTTCCAGGCAATGATATGGTGAGTGGAAATAATGAGTATCATTGCTGAGGCAAAGTATTTAAGAGTCCATGTGCCATCTCTATTCTCTTGCTTCCCTTTCAACAGTGACTATAGATGCCACATGTTGAGATGCAGAGCCCAAAACTGACTCCTTAAGTCACTCAGTGGAGAGACCAGCCTTGGAGAGTTGCTGAGCTTCAACTTTGCATGCATTAGAAACGTGGGGGCTTGTGACCACTGAAACACTGAGGTTGTTACTGCAATATAGCGTCACCTCTCTTAACGTGTACATACATGTAGTTGATCCTGTCAATACCATGAACTGTTAGTTCCTTGACTTCTCCTTCAGTGATTTTGTCTCTCAACTTACTTTAGCCATCCATTCCCTTGGTTATATATTGGTTGCTACTGATAACTGTACCCCTTGTGTAAACTAAATCTTGAGTAGCCCTCTTTCCAAATACCATCCCCTATATTTCCAATTTATTTCTGCTAGTATCTCAACTTCAACAATTCTGCAGACTCTAGTTTTTGCTTTTCCTCAGAACACACATCCTTATTTTTCTCTGTACACAGCTTAGCTTCCATAGTTTAGCACTGTAACCATTTTTGTGCACACAACCTCAAGTACTTTGCCCTCTCTCTCTTCTTGGCAGAGCTCTAACCTAAGTAAAATCTGATGTTCTTGAAACACACTCATATTTGTGAACAGGCAAGTGGATATTGCTGGAGAAAAACATAAAACCCCCTGAATGGATCCTACTTATCTAGTTATTCCCATTATATCCCTCCCAAGCCTTTCACTCTTTCACTGTCTTGGATGAATATTTCATTTTCTCTTCTCAATTTCCTGTCACTTTCTCCCCAATTGCATTCTCAGCTGACGACTTTACTTTTTATTTTATTGAGAAAATATCAGCAATCTGAAAAGCACTCCCACACACTTTCCCTACTAAATCTACCAACCTACCAGCATCTTGGCCCATCTCTTCTACTGTCCCACCTGCTACTTCAGATGAACTGTTCTTACTCCTATCTAAGAACTATTCGGTGATGTGTGCACTGGATCTTGTTCTCTATGCCTACTCAAAGTTATTCATCCTGCAATTGGCTTCCCTTTCTCTTGCATTATAAATTTCCCCTTCTTTACTGGATCATCTCATTAGCATCAAAACATGCTCTCATATCTTCTGTCTTAGAAAGACAGAAAAACTTCATACACCATACATCTCCTTATAGCTACCTCCCTATTTTCTCTTCTCCCCTTTATAGTTAAGCTGATATAATTGACAGGCTGCATGTCCTCTCCTCCCATCTTCTCCTGAACCCCTCCAATTAAAGTTGTATTTATATCACTCCTATGAATTAGTGCTTGTCAAGATCTCCAACTCCCACAAAGCCAAATCCAAAAATCAATTCTCTCTTTTCATCTGACTCTATCTTTTGACATAGTTGACCACTTCAAACAAATCAAAATTCTTTCTTCACTTGGATTTTAAGCTATTATCCTCCCTGGTTCCTTCTACCTCACTGTCATTTTCTTCTCAGTTTCTTATGTTTCTCATCTCCTAGACCTCTTATCATGTTGGCATGACACAGGCCTGGATTTTCATGACTTTTATCTGCCCTGATTCCCTGACCTATCTCTTTTGATTCACTGGCTTTAAATATCTATGTGCTGACTACTTCCAAATATGCTGCCACCCCAGACTTGATATTCAAACTCTAGAGTAAACTCGGTTGTAAAGAGCACAAAGTATTTCTGGACATTTTGTTTGTTTGTTTTTGCTTTTCATTCTGTAAATTGACATTGCAAAAAGACAACTTTTGCCATACAAGCTGTAAAGTGCATCCCTACAATGTTTTAGTAATTATATTTGAGATTTTAAGGTATTTGAATACTCTGAGAGATGAGAAGAGCTCAATTATAATTAATAATTCTAAAAGCATTAAGACTGAACTTAGGTGAGATTTACTTTTTTCTTCAGAGACTAATCAGCATCAAGTTAAGTTTTTCTGGTGTTGTTTTCTGTGCTAAATGTCTTGATATGGTCTGGCTCTGTGTACCACCCCTCACCACCAAATCTCACCTTGAATTGTAATCCAAATTGTAATCCCCACGTGTTGGAGAAGGGACCTCGTGGGAGGTGATTGGATCATGGGGGCGGTTCCCTCATGCTGTTCTCATGATAGTGAGTTCTCATGAGATCTGATGGTTTTATAAGGGGCTCTTCCCCCTTTGCTCTGCACTTCTCTCTCCTGCCACCTTGTGAAGAAGGATGTGTTTGCTTCCCCCTTCCACCATGATTGTAAGTACCTGAGGCCTCTCCAGCTATGTGGAATGGAGTCAATTAAATCTCTTTCCTTTATAAATTACCCAGTCTTGAGTATTTTTTTAATAGTAGTCTGAAAACTGACTAATACACATCTTTTCCTTTCTCTGTCTGAACATAGATATGGTCCACCCTCTTCTTGCCCTTTCTGCCAGGCTTTTCCACTGCTATGGAGAAATACAGAGTATAAGATACAAAAGTCAGTAGTTTTGAGACAGATTACGATTTAAATAATTAAATTGCCACTTAGGCAATTAAGGCACTGTGGTACATTAGGATTATAACCTGAACTCCTGAATATAAATTTTAAAAAATTATTTTGGCCCCTATTTTCCAATGGTATTTCAACCTTTATTAGCTTCCCATTGAAAAACTTGTGGGAGGCCGAGGCATGCGGATCACGAGGTCAGGAGATCGAGACCATCCCGGCTAAAACGGTGAAACCCCGTCTCTACTAAAAATACAAAAAATTAGCCGGGCGTAGTGGCGGGCGCCTGTAGTCCCAGCTACTTGGGAGGCTGAGGCAGGAGAATGGCGTGAACCCGGGAGGCGGAGCTTGCAGTGAGCCGAGATCCCGCCACTGCACTCCAGCCTGGGCGACGGAGCAAGACTCCGTCTCAAAAAAAAAAAAAAAAAGAAAAAAAAAGAAGAAAAACTTGTGTGCACAGAGAAAATGATTCATAACTGCAATAGCCCTGAACATCAGGGAACATGGTAAATTTTCCAGAATGTTGGAAGTATTTTACTAACCAAGTTTGGATCAGGCTTCTATATTAGGCAAAATAGGAAGAGCACCGGACTTGGGGTCCTGGTACCTGCCACCAAGTAGTGGCTTTAAATGAGTCACTTTTCTGTAGACATTAGCTGCCTCATCTAAAAAGTAATGAGATTGAAGCTAGTGGCTTTTAAGTGTCGTTTAAGGTACTTACGTCCTATAACCTGTTTGTGTGTGTGTGTGTGTGCATCTTTACAAAAGCAGATGAGATTGAATGAAAATTTATGCCTTTCTTTTTTTGAGTGCATTATGTAATACACTTTGCAGACTTGTGCATGTGATTTCTCCTGTTTCTTGTAGAAAGCAAACCCTGTTGTTGTATTCTCTGAAATGGAGTCAATGTTTTCTCTGTCTGGTATTCTTCCAGCTTTACTAGGTTATGCAATCCCCTTTATTTGGGAAATTCTCCTCGTGGCTTCCCAGCCATGTAATTCTCCCAGTTCTTCCATGTTCTTGAATAATTCATCTCCCCTTTCATCATGAGTATGACATTAATCTGATCCAACCCTAGGAGACTTTTCTTCTGATTATGTATGATTGTTTCCAGAGTTAGGCATAGAACCAAGCCGGGCCATCAAAATTTTTCCTATCATTGTTCAACCTGGAGAAAGGGAAAAAATGGCATTTCCTTATTTATTATGAAGCTAGGAAACAGGAAACAGGTGGCTTCATCTTCTTTTGTTCCCTGCTATGTTGAGAAAGCTGGTTGGAAGACATGATGCCACAGAGTGAGAGGCTGAAGCAAGAGGTGAGGGGAGAGATGGGCTTGGTGGTATCTGAGAGTCTGTGGCCTGCTGAACCACTCTACTTCCTGTAGTTACATGAACCTTCTGATAAATTCCAATTTTTGCTTAAGGTAGTTTGAGTTTAGGTTTCTGTCTGTTGCAACCAAGATTCATTAATGACCTATTTTCATACCCCCTCAGATATGAAAATTTGTGATAAAAGAGGTAGGCATTTTCCCCCCCTTTTTACTCTCCTTTTTTAAACTATGAAAATAATGGAGGACATATAGAAGGATTTTGGTGTGAATTAGCATCAGTCACACTCAGAACTGCTTGCTGTCATTCCTGTCCATTTCATACCTTCTCCTCCTTTTCATGATAGTCCTCGGCTCCTGGCCACAGGAGTGAGGGTTGGCCCAGGATGCTCTTATCATGTATCATATTCTTCACGGTTCTGGGTACAGTGAGTGATTTGCCCAAGGTTTGTGAGCACACAACCCAAGCCAGACTGTTAGCGGTGGAAGAGATCTGAGTTACTGACAGCATATCCCTATGGGTCCATAGCAACTTCAGTCCTCACCTCTTCAGAAGAAAGAATTCGACAGAGGGGTATAAAGCAGAAAAAGAGGCCAAGGCAAGTTCCAGAACAGGGATGGAAGTTTATTTAAAAAGCTTTAGAACAGGAAAGAAAGGAAAGAACCCTTGGATGAGATCCAAGTGGGTGCCTGAAGGTCAAAAAGAGAAAAGAGAAGACAGAAGGGAAAAAAAAAAAAGGCCTTTAACTTTGACTCTAGGACTTCACAGGCTCGCCTCTTTCCCATGACTCTTCCCTTAGGGTGGGCTTCCTGCATGCACGGTGCTTTCCTTACCTGTTGGAACTGAGTGTGTGCAGTGCGTATCTGGAGTTATACATGAGTATAACTCAGAGTGCCCATCTGAGGCTTTTTTCCTTTTTTTCCAGTCTCATGTGTCCCCCAAAACATCATACTGTGCCATTTTGTCTCTTAACACGCATGCCCAAGAAACAGCTTCTCTCTGGGGCCTGCATTCGATTAACACTCTTAATGTTAACAGGTGTGGACCATCAGGAGCCTGTCCCTGGCTGCTGAATTATCATTTTTAGAGAGGAAATGCAATAATTGCCAAACCATCACCCGACATTTCTAGTGGGTGCCAGGGGAAGAGCCCTCTCCTGCCCCGCTCATGCCTAACTACCTGTAACAAGACCAGTAAGGATTTTTCCCTGGATTTTTTCAAACTGAATCAGAAGAGATGCCTCTTAGACTCTTGTGCCACAGAATTGCTATTGTATAGTAAGTCTGATACATCCATGGCTGTGCTGTCCACGCACAGGGTTAAAGTGCATCATCAACGGGAAAAAATTAAGCTGAAAGGCAGACGGGTAAAAACTTTGACCGCAAGGGTTTTAAAGCTATGGAGTTTGTGGGTCCAGTCATCACCAGCTAGAGGCTGCTGTCATGGGTTGTGTTTTTCAGAAGCAGACGCTGAGATGGATTTGGGCATAATGGGTATTTTTAGGGATCAATGCCCATGAATCCTATGCGGGAGGTTGGGGTCCAGGGAAACTTGCAGGAGAGAAGCCGCTCCTTTATTTTCAATCAAGGGAGGAATTCCAGCTCTTAATAGAGAGGTATGGGCTACTACTGCAGGCTCCAAAGTTGCAGAACATTCTGGGGTTCCAAATTTTGAGGTGCCTTTGTCCAGGTTCTACAGTTTCAGATGGAAAGATCTCATTTTTCCCAACCAGGTGCTGATGTTTATCTAACAGCCTGCCTTCATTTGAGTATTTTCCCTTATCAGGAGTTTGGCCACCCTTAAACCAGGCCCTGGCCCAGCTTTTTCTTCCCTCCTGTTGTAGAAAGTAGAGTCCCTGTGAGAGACCGCAGAAGCCCTCTGGCTTTCACACTTGGTTTTCATTGGCTGTCAATCACCTGCACCTTTTCATTAATTTTTTCTGGAAGAGTGGTTTTCAAAGGAAGGTCCCTGAGCCAGCAGCATCACCATCACCTTGAAGTTGTTAACCATGTAAATTCTTTGGCTCTACCTCAGACCTTCTTGATCAGAAACATTACACTGGAGCCCAGAAATCTGTGCGTTTTGCCAAATGTCCAGGTGATTTTGATGCATGCTGGAGTTTGAGATCCACGGATTTAGAATATCAATATCATTTAGCAATAGTCATTGGAATAGCATTGTCCTAGTTACAAAGTCCTAGTACCTCTCAAATGCCTGATATATCATGCCAGCTGGTGCCTTCCCTTCTACTGGTGTGCTGTCCCCAATCAGCTCTGCTGTGAGTTTTAACAATTGGAATTGTGCTAGATGTCAGAACTCCCTGTACCCAATGATTGAGTACTTTGTAAGCTAGGGCTAGTTTAAGTTAGGATTCTACCACTTGCCACTAAACAAATTCTGACTAATATACCTGAAACACCTAATGTATACCTGTGGGGAATGTATTTTTTAAACAATATTAATAATAATCATTTAGTACCATGTAATTACATAGTGCATTGCTGTTTAAAAAGTTCTTTCCTATGTTACTTTATGTGATTGTAATGAGAAAGCCATGAGAGGAAGGGCAAGGCTGATTCGACTGCAGATGGCTATGGCTTTCTATATCTTTGAATAATATTTTACTTTTCTTTTATGTCAATGTGAAATATAAGATGAACTAAGGTAAGAACATCTGGTTGTTCGTAGTAGTGGAAGATGCTCGCATTCTTTCATTGCCTTTAATTGAAACTTGCTCCTGTAACCTCAGGAGAAATGAAGAGATAAAGACCTGTCCTCTGACTTCCTCAGAGACCCTTTCTGCAGCATGTGCTGTCACTAAGATGACACAATCCATCCACAAAGCATACGAAAGTGTTCAATGACAATGTTCTCCGCATTTTCTCTGGGTGTATATGCAGTTTCCAAATGACACACTTGATCCTATCATTTTGGCAGTACTCACGTTTAATACCAATCAATGCTCGCAATTAACTGTGATTTACATCAGCTGTTAAGGTAGGTGAACACATTTTTCCATCGCACAATTTCTGTATTTTGCAGCTACATTCTTGGTCTCTAGGTCTTTGAAACTGAAATTACCAGTCTTTATTCCTGGAGATATTTTGAAGCTATTTCAACTGATTAACCAGAAAACATTTGTTTAAATGCCTAATAAAAGACTGGTATTAAGTTAGATATCATGGTAGAGACAAGAAAATATATAAAACATGGTCTAATTGTAAGGTGAGTTTCTCAGGTTGGGTTCCCTAGATTCTGAGCCTGACACACAAATTCTTGTGCAAGTGATTCACTGAGGGGGTGGTTTCAGGAGAATCCTGCAAGGGGTAAGGGAAATAAGGTGGGGCAGGGAAAGAAGCTGGGCAAAGATGTGGTTTCAGAAAACATCTAGCCTCAGATTTTTCCCATCGCAGAATACTAGAGAGTGAATCCCACAACGGAGTTTGCCCTGCACAGAGGGGACTGTATGAGTCAGTCATTGGCTATGGATTGCCTCCAGGGGTTGAGGCACAGCATCCCCAGATATCTTAGTGGAGTCGATTCCCGTCAGTCAAGGGCAATCTTCTAGAAAAGTTTGCAGGTATGAACCTGTGACAACCCACACCTGCAGCAGCTGGGCAGTGGGTGTATAAGCCTGGTAAAGGGGAATCAAATAGGGTAATAACATCACTTATATAAAAAAGTTATCTGCAATTCTAGTAATAATGATGGTGATGTTAACAGCAATTATACAGTGCCTAATATATGTTAACACTGTTTTAAGTGTTTCATAGCTATTGAATCATTTAATCCTCAAAACACCTATGAAACAGATAATATTATCCTATTTATAGGGGAGGAAACTGTAAATAGTCATGATCTTAGAAATGATGTAGGAAGCAAGATCCAGCCAAACCCAGGCCCAGTTGGAAATATAACCTAGGCAATGTGTCAATGGAAGAAAGAATAGGCTCGACCTAGTGATTATGTGGAGGATGACCTTCCAGATAGAAGTAAACATTGGGAGGTACACTGATTCTCATGAGGATATCAGTGATGAAACTTTATTATTCGTAGTTCACAAAATACTCTCATCAACAGTCTAATTAAATTTCCACAATGACCTGGTGAGAAAAGGGTTTGGATTCCCATTTTAGAGAACTAAAGACTAATTATTAGAACTTGTGATCAACTTGATGACACTCAGAAGAGGTGTCCTAGCTGGGTCTCCAGACCAGATCTTTGCTGCCCAGATGGGAACACTTTCAGTAGCTACAACTAAAAGTAGAAAAGATTAAATGTTTGAAGACTGTTAAGGATTGAATAATATTCCCTCAAAATTCATGTGTTGAAGTCCTAACCCTCAATGTGACCGTATTTGGAGATAGGGCCTTTAAAAAGATAATGAAGTTTAGATGAGGTCAGATGAGTGGGCCCTAATCCAATATGACTGGTATCGTTATAAAAAGAGGAAGAGACATTAGGGATGAGCTTGCCCAGAGCAAAGTCTCCATGAAGACACACTAAGAAAGCAGTTGTCTGCAAACTGAGAGAGCTCAGGAGAAACTGAACTGACAACTTAATCTGGACTTCCAGCCTCCAGAACTGTGAAGAAATAAATTTCTATTGTTTAAGTCACTTGGTCTGTGGTATTTTGTTATGGCAGCCCTTGCTGACTAACACAAAGACCAATGTTAAAGAGCCCTGGTGACAGAGGTAATCATCACTAAATATATTGTACACACCATTGTCCTTCAAAGTACTGGTGATCTATACAAACATTTCAGTCTAATTTACCAACTATATTAGGTTACTAGGGCCGCCGTAACAAAGTACCACCAACTGAGTGGCTCAAACAATAAAAACTAATTTTCTTTTTTTTTTTTTTTTTTTTTTGAGACGGAGTCTTGCTCTGTCGCCAGGCTGGAGTGCACTGGCATGATCTTGGCTCACTGCAAACTCTGCCTCCCAGGTTCAAGTGATTCTCCTGCCTCAGCCTCCTGAGTAGCTGGGACTACAGTGGCACACTACCACGCCCAGCTAATTTTTGTATTTTTAGTAGAGATGGGGTTTCACCATGTTGGCCAGGAGGGGCTCGATCTCCTGACCTCATGATCCACCCGCCTTGGCCACCCAAAGTGCTGGGATTACAGGTGTGAGCCACTGTGCCCAGCCAACAAAAATTAATTTTCTTACAATTCTGGAAGCTAGGAATCCCAGATCAAGGTGTCAACGGAGTTGGTTTCTCCTGAGGCCTCTCTCCTTGGCTTGCATGTGTCTGTCTGCTTCCTTTGTCTTCACATGGTCTTCCTTCCGTGTCCGTATCCTAGTCTCTCCCATATGACACTGGTTATATGGGATTAAGGCCCACCCATATGACCTCATGTTAAATTAATGACCTTCTTAAAGACCCTATCTCCAAATACAGCTACATTCTAAGCAGCTGGGGGGTAGGGCTTCAACATATGAATTTGGGAGAAAGGCACAAATTCAGCTCATAACACTGAGGATTTCTCAAAAATCCTCCAAGTACTTCCTAGATGTAACATGTCCCTTTCCTGAGAACATTAACTGTGGATGTTTCCTTCGTGTGGTAGTTTTCTTGCTTTACACCAAGTGACTTGTCAAGAACTCTATAGCTTGTTGCACACGTGGCTCAATCAAAAGGAGTTTTATAGAAACTGTATTGCTGCACAACTCTACCTAATAACACTGCTTTAGATTAAGCAGGGCTAATCAACCCAAGCATACCCTTTCTTTTTGTGAGTTTGAATTCATAACGTACAAAGAGATAGAAGTAAGCAATCCAAGGTGAAGCAGAGACTGAGATGCTGAATCATCAGGATGGTGAAGTGATAGAGCTGGGAGCCACAGATGCCCTCTGTTCTGAAATTTGCCTTTTTGCCCTCAGATCCATTCTCTATATTTCTCCAGCACTGATATCTATCACTAACTCCTGGTTATGTTAAGTTGATGGAAGGCACCGGTAGGAGATATGGCTGCAGGAAGAAGGGAAAAGCCAGTATATTTTCCCCTCTCTTCCTGTCTCAGTTGGTGTCTTTGGCAGAGGCTATATAACCTTTATGATTCCAGCTCCTGCCTGAAAGCATCTCATTTGATTGTGCAACCTCCCACCAGGCAGGCCCACCGTCGTCCTCTTTCCCCCAGGTGGCCATGCTTTGTCATTTCTTGTAACACCACCTTCTCTCTTTGTCTTTCCAGCTCTCAGGGTGACAGCAGATTATTGCTGATTTTAATGAGACCCACCATTGCCTATTGATCTTCTCACATTTTCATCTCTTGTGAAACCAATTCCTGTATTAAATTCCTTCTACTTGAAGCATCTAGAGTTTTCTTGTGTTGACCACAATGCCATACTTTGCTAAGGAGATGAATTCTAGAGTTGCTCTCTAGAAACCATCTATTCACCCTAAAAAATGATAAAGAACATTCTGCTTTCAATCTTTGGTATGTATTGCAGAGTTAGTTTTGGAGTTTCTTTCCTTTCTCATAGGCCTTACAATATTTATTTAACATTTGAGATAACCTGAATGTATCTATTCTTGCAACCTGAGCATCCAGGATAACTCAGGCAATAACTTGTAAGAGAACAACACTCTTATTTTTTTAAAAAAGATGAATGGTTTAATCAGATAGATGATCACAGAAAGGTTTAAGTTAAAAGCAGATCCTAATTGCAATCTCCTTATTATTTACATGGATGTTTATTCTACTTATCCATTTACCAGCTGGAATTCTTAGACTCGGCCCCAGTGGAAAGGGCAAACTCTGATTGGAATATGAACACATTTCATGGCTACAGTAATATTTTTTACTGTACAATGGAGATACTCAAGGTATTCATTAGTTAGCCACATTTCTATAAAAGCCTCAGAATTAACCTCACAATATTGCTACAATATTGCTACATGGAAAAAGCTTGAAAGGCAGCTTGATCTTTTGGGAGGGGACATAAGCAATCTGGAGTTAAGGCATCTATAATTTTTTTAAGTCCCATAGGGGATTCTAATATACTCCCAGTGGTGAGAAACACAAGTTTAGATTGGTAGAATAAAACAATGTCTTTCAATATTTTTTCCCAATAATTATTCTAGCTATATGGTAGGTTTTCTTGCTCTAAGTTGATGTATGATATTAAAAGCATATTTGAAAGAATAAATGATTTTGCATAGTGATATGGTTTGGCTCTGTGTCCCCACCCAAATATCATCTTGAATTTTACTACCATAATTCCCATGTGTTGTGAGAGGGACCTGGTGGGAGAAAATTGAATCATGGAGGCAGTTCCCCCATACTGTTCTCCTCATAGTGAATAAGTCTCATGAGATCTGATGGTTTGATATGGTGAAACCCGTTTTGCTTGGCTCTCATTCTCTTCTCTTGTCTGCCACCATGTGAGATGTGCCTTTCAACTTCCACCATGATTGTGAGGTCTCCCAAGGCACGTAACTGTAAGTCCAATAAACCTCTTTCTTTTGTAAATTGCCCAGTATCAGATATGTCTTTATCAGCAGCATGAAAATGGACTAATATGCATTGTTTTAAATTAAATTTGTATGAATAGCATGGCATTTGCTTGGCATAGAGTAGAAAACCACATAAAAGAATATAGCATGTTTTATGGGATATCAGCATATGGGGCATGCCAAGTTGAATTTCAGACCGGAGTTAAGTCAAGAGGAAGATGGCAGTGTAACTGTCTCAGACTGTTATATGCCAGAGACTACACTCCTGAGTTTCATAGTCAGTTGTTGCAGCACAACTGCTATGGTTTAAATGTCCCCTCCAAAACTCATGTTGGAATTTAATCCCCAATGTGGCAGTATTGAGAAGTGGAGTCCTTAAGAGATGATTGGGTCATGAGGGCAGGATTAATCCATTCATAGATTAATAAGCTAATGGATTAGTGGGTTATCATGGGAATGGGACTGGTGGCTTTGTAAGAGAGGAAGAGAAATCTGACCTAGCACACTCAGCCTCCTCATCATGTGATGCCCTGAATCAACTTGGGAATCTGCAGAGAGTCCCCACCAGCAAGAAGGCCCTCATCAAATGTAGTCCCTTAACCTTGGACTTCTCAGCCTCCATAATTTAAGAAATAAATTCCCTTTCTTTATAAATTACCTAGTTTCAAGTATTCTGTTATAAGCAACAGAAAACGGACTGAGATAACTACTTAAGAAACATCCTCATTAAATTGCATGAAGGGAGTTTGCAAGTGGTGGCTTGGAGCACTGCTAGCTGACAGGCACAGAAGTCATGCTTATTGTAACACAATTCTGCTGGGCAGGAAGGAGGACAACCCAAGCCATCTGCTGCACATCACGATGAGGGGAATGACCAAACGCTAGTTGAACAGATGAAATAACTGAGAGGCAGCCAAGCTGTCTGGTGGTACAAGACTGGTGAGTAACAAGAGCAAACAAATCTTCCTAGACATGGAATAGACAAGAAGAGGAGTGATGACTCACTGAAATAGAGGCTGTGGTTTGATTCTCCATACTTGGGAAAGATCAGGCTGTGCTAACCTGCTTTCAGATTCAGAGAGGTGCAGCAAACTTGCATGGGGTAGGGCTGAGAGTCCTGGTGAGGAGCGTACTGACATAAGGGACCTGAACACTTCCTGAAAAGTGGCACATTCCAAGGGACTGAGAGAATCCAGGATTTGGAAACATAGGGTTTTCTCTGCATTTGCCATTACCTGGTGATAATGACCCGAGGGTGGGTTTTCACATCAAGTCAGATGAGTGGTGTCTTTTGGAAAAAGAACAGCCAAGATCTGGAGGAGCTAGAGCTTCCAAAGAGGCACAAGGGGGAACGGTGCCAAGAGTGTGAGTCTGAGATTTCTCACACAGATTCTGGGGCCACCTATTTTCTTAACACCGTCTGTTTTGTTTATGTTCCTCTACTGCTTTCCACTGATGCTTCTTTCTTACAGAGGAAAAATGCAAAATCCTGTGTCAGTGTATTTTACTTAAATGATAAGTGATTCAGATGGGCTGTGTGATGTTACTCATTTCAATATTAATGGCATCAGAGTGATTCAATAGATAATATTTTCCTAACTTATCTGAAATAGTTATTTGGAATTGTTCGCACAGTTATTTTATCAAGATTTTCTATTTATGGCGTAAAACATAAGGCAAGTAAGATAAATCATTTCATATTGATGAGGAAAATAAGAAAAAGGCTCTGTAGTTTTATTTTCTTCCCTTGGACTTTAACACTTTCAATGAAAAGACCTCAAGGCATATGCTTCTTTGAGATAAAATACATTTTGCATCACTGTCTTTCCTCTCACATCATGGGTCTCTGCCTTCACCCTCTCAGATGGTGGCTCAGAGGCATGTCTTATCTCTTCCAAACATGCATCATGCCATGTTATATTTCTTAAATGAATGAAAACCTTGTTTAAACAGGGGAGCAATATAATGATCACCTCACCTGTTTAAATGACTGTATGAGTATGCTTTGGTCATCATCATTAAAAATGTGTTTACTTGGCAAGTTCTACTGCTTTATGAATTACTCTACAATAATTCTCCCATAATAGTTATTAGTCAATGAAAATGTAGTTTAGTGACTATTTCATGTATTTTAAAATTCAAGGCAACAGTTTAATAAAATGAAAAAGGAATGGGTTTTGGAGTTAGAGCTTAGTTCTGATTCTAGGTTTTCTATTTACTTCTTGTGTGACCTTGGGCAAGATATATGACCTCAGATATGAAGAACTCAGATGCCTCATTTATGAAATGAGAATAAAACCTACTTTGTTGGGTCACAATGAGAAAAAGGCACTAGGTTAAAATACCTGGCAGGGTTCTGGCACAGAGTAGACGACATAAAAATAATTTTTTGCTTCTTTTAGACTTTTCGTTTTCCTATTTTAAATCTTCTACTTCAGAATTCGCCGGAGATGTTTTATTTTATTAGATTTAAAGTTGACTTTGTTCGCATTTTGCAAGAATAAGTCAAATTTGCGTTTTCTTAAGATACAAGATACCAGACATTGAGAATGCAACCATGGAGCTGGTGAGTCAGGGCAAGTTTTGGCTCTGGTGATATTTCTCTTGCCTTTTTGATCATTTAACATCTTTCCATTTTAATTTCAAATTCTCCAAATGTTAGCAAAACTAGCACTTTCCAGTTCTTTACAAAACCGTTTAGAATTTATATTCTAGAGAGGACTAAATGGGTGGCAACATTTTGAATACTTGCAAAAACAGTTTGACAAGTTCAGTTTAAAGAAAAGGGACACGAGTAATGGGCATGCAAACAAACTTATGGGTACAAATTCAAGCTGCTTGCCTTTTTTTCCAGAATGACTGGTTTGCAGTTTTAAAAGACCCAAACAAAGAACCCTTTCTATAGAGAATAATAACTTACAATATCACTGTGGTCGGCAGGTCAGCTGGGGAAGGGGCTAGGTAACAGAGAACATGTTACTGGGCTTCGTTTTCTTCTAAGCAAGGGCATATCCCATATTTCAAGAGAATACCTATCATTTTCTAATCTAAAAAGAAACCAGCTTTAGAAACAGTGTGATGTAGTAAAAGGATATGAGCTTTGGAGCTAGATAGACTTAGGTTCAGCCCTCGGCAGAGGCCATAAGCCAGCTGGACACATTTGAGGGGCTGTTTATCCATCTGTGCCTTCGTATCTGAAAAAGGGGATGCTTCCATCCAACTCGCTGGCTGGTTGTGAGAATTCAATGAGATAATGCATGAAAAAGTGCTTTGCATATACTAGAATCTCAATAAGAGATACTGATTTTAACTAATGATATTTTTATTTCTAATGTTGAAGTTAAACCAATCTTAAGAGGCCAAGGAGGTTTGGAAACCTCACAGAGTTCTTATGAAGAAATCTTTCAGGAGCGTCTGTGAAATAATATCATGAACATATGGAGTAGATTTCTAACTTGAACACACTGTGGCCTCAGGATTAAGATGAAAATTACTGACTTTAAACCACCCTGGAAAGTTTGACAGGAGTTCAACACATTTGACCCTTTACAGACCTGAATTTGCCAATACCGAGGAGCCAGGGAGTGTTGAATGAAGAAATATGTCTGCGTCCAAGCCTTCAGAATCCATGTGATTTAAAGTTCAGGGTTGCACATACAACTGACCTATTGTGGGATTGACCATGGATGTTTCTTAATACCATGACCACTTTTTCCTCTCTCCTGCTCCATCTATATTTCTGGTGGCACTCCTTAGAGATTAAATCACTACCTCAAGCAAAGCATTTTCTTTAGTGCTACTCTTTAGCTCATTCCCAAAATTATGCTGCAGTTGGATAAGGTTCAATTGCTTCTGAGAGACCGTTGTTTGACTTTTGGATTCCATTCACATGATTTTGTCCTTCATAACTCATAGATGATCATTAATAATAAATGCTGTCAAGAGTATGTTATGTGAAAAGTAATATTAAGAGGCTGAACTTCTAAGGCAAGACCTATTAGGCTTCCCTAAAGTTGTAGGGAAACTTATTACCTCTCTGAATTATGCTTCTCAATCTTTCTCATGTGTCTTCTTGTCTTACAGTCTTAACGCAGTTGTATAATAGAATTACAATTTAGAAAATGTCAGAACTGAGGGTTCATTAGTCCAACCTCCTAACCCTACTGGTAAGAGAACTGATGAAAATATTTACTTTGAAAGAATATTTTAAAAGCGTATATATTGTCTTAAAGATAATCAGACTGTTAATATTGGTAACAATCCTATGAAAGGATACTTAAGCCAAGGCCAAATTAAAGATTGAGAAACCAAGTTGCTCATGTGTCCATTGATTGTTGAGCAATAGAGGAGAGCATGACTTAGTGAAGCACATTTTGGATTTCAACAAATTGAGGTTCAACTCTCAGTTTTATTAGTTGTGTAATCCAGTTACTTAACTTTAAAAGCCTCAGGACCTTGATTTTATAAATGATAATAAGGATGCTACCATGTAGTAATGCTGTAGGTATTGCAGAAAATATGCAAAGAAACTAAAGCAAACCTAACATGCAGTATATCCTCAATAAGTGATAATTATGAACACATAATAACCCAAAAGAAAACCCTCAAAGTACACCAAAATAGAACCTCCTTAAAGCGTAAATCTCACAGGACCTATATAACAATAACACAATGAAAAAAAGCCAAGGTATTCAGGCAACAAATAGTACAATGAGTAGAATAGTACCTCACATTTCAATACTCACATTGAAAGTAAATGGCCTAAATGCTTCACTTAAAAAATACAGAATAGATAAGAATCAACCAACCAAGTTCCTTCTGTCTTCAGGAGATTCACCTAACACATAAGGACTCACATAAACTTAATGTAAAGGGGTGGAAAAGATATTCCATTCAAATGGACACCAAAAGTGAGCAGGAGTGGCTATCCTTAATCAGACAAAACAAACTTTAAAGCAACAGCAGTTAAAAAAGACAGAGAGGGACAGTATACAATGATAAAATAACTAGTCCAACAGGAAAATGCCACAATTTTAAATTTATATGCACCTAATACCGGAGCTCTAAAATTTATAAAACAATTACTACTAGACCTAAGAAATGAGATAGACAGCAACACAATACTAGTGGGGGATTTTAATACTCCACTGAGAGCACTGGACAGGTCATTAAGACAGAAAATCAACAAAGAAACAATGGACTTAAACTATACCCTACAACAAATGGACTTTACAGATATTTACCAAACATTCTACTCAACAACTGCAGAATATACATTATATTCATCAGCACATGGAACATTCTCCAAGACAGACTGTGTGATAGGCCACAAAACAAACCTCAGTAAATTTAAGAACATCAAAATTATATCAAGTACTCTCTTAGACCACAGTGGAATAAAATTTGAAATCAACTCCAAAAGGAACCCTAAAAACCGTGCAAATACATGGAAATTAAATAACCTGCTCCTGAATAATTATTGGGTCAACAATGAAATCAAGATGGAAATTAAAAAATTCTTCGAAATGAATGATAATAGTGATACAAACTATTAAAACGTCTGGGATACAGCAAAAGCAGTGCTAAGAGGAAAGTTTCATAGCACTAAATGCTTACATCAAAAAGTCTGAAAGAGCACAAATAGACAATCTAAAGTCACACCTCACGGAAGTGGAGAAACAAGAACAATCCCAACCCAAACCCAATACATAATGAAGATCAGAGTAGAACCAAATGAAATTGAAACAAACAAAGAAACAAAATACAAAAGATAAATGAAACAAATTTGGTTCTTTGAAAAGTTAAATAAAATTGATTGGCCATTTGCAAGATTAACCAAGAAAAGAAGAGAGAAGATCCAAATAAGCTCAATTAGAAATGAAATGGGAGATATTACAACCGATACCACAAAATACAAAAGATTATTCAAGGCTGCTATGAAAACCTTTACACGCATAAGCTAGTAAATCTAGAGGAGATGGATAAATTCCTAGAAATGTACAAGCCTCCTAGATTAAACCAGGAAGACATAGAATCTCAGAACAGACCCATAACAAGCAGCAAGACTGAAATGGTTATAAAAAAAATTGCCAACAAAAAAATGTCCAGAACCAGATGGATTCACAGCTAAATTTGAACAGACATTCAAAGAAAAATTGATACCAATCCTATTGACATTACTTCAAAAGATAGAGAGAGGAAAAATTCCCTAAATCATTCTATGAAGCCAGTATCACCTTAATACCAAAACCAGGGAAGGACATAACAAAAAAAGAAAACTACAGACCAATATCCCTGATGAACATAGTTGCAAAAATCCTCAACAAAATACTAGTGAACTGAATCCAACAACATATCAAATACATAATCCACCATGATCAAGTGGGTTTCATACAAGGCATGCAGGGATAGTTTAACGTATGTAAATCAATAAATGTGATACACCACATAAACAGAATTAAAAACAAATCACATGATCATCTTAATTGATGCAGAAAAAGCATTTGACAAAATCCAGCATCCCTTTATGATTAAAACCCTAAGCAAAATTGGCATAAAAGGGACATACCTTAAGGTAGTAAAAGCCGCTTATTACAAACCCACAGCCAATGGTATACTGAATGGGGAAAAGTTGAAAGCATTGCCCCTGAGAACAGGAACAAGACAAGAATGCCCGCTTTCACCACTTCTATTCAGCATAGTATTGGAAGTCCAAGCCAGAGCGATCAGACAAGTGCATCCAAATGGGTAAAGAGGAAGTCAAACTGTTTCTGTTTGCTGATAATATGATTGTATACCTAGAAAACCCTGAAGACTCCTCCAAAAGTCTCCTAGAACTGGTAAATGAATTCAGCAAAGTTTCAGTGTACAAAATTAATGTACACATTAGCTCTGCTATACAGCAACAGCAACCAAGCAGATAATCAAATCAAGAATCCAACCCCTTTCATAATAGCTGCAAACAAACCAAAACAAAACAAAAACAACAAAAAACTTAGAAATATACCTAACAAAGAACATGAAAGACATCTACAAGGAAAACCATAAAACACTGCTGAAAGAAATCATAAATGACACAAACAAATAGAAACACATCTCATGCTCATGGATGGGTAGAATCAATATTGTGAAAATGACCATACTGCCAAAAGCAATCTACGCATTCAATGCAATTCCCATCAAAATACCACCATCATTCTTCACAGAACTAGAAAAAATCCCCTAAAATTCGTATGAAACCACAAAAGAGCCCACATAGTGAAGGTGAGACTAAGCAAAAAGAACAAATCTGGAGGTATCACATTACCTGACTTCAAACTATATTATAAGGCCATAGTCACCAAAACAGCATGGTACTGGTATAAAAATAGGCACATGGATCAATGGAACAGAATAGAGAACCAGAAATAAAGTCAGATTCTTACAGCCAACTGATCTTTGGCAAAGCAAACAAAAACATCAAGTGGGGAAAGGACACCCTATTCAAAAAATGGTGCTGAGATAATTGGCAAGCCACATGTAGAAGAATGAAACTGGATCCTCATCTCTCACTTTATACAAAAAATCAACTCAAGATGAATCAAAACTTAAATCTAAGACCTGAAACCATAAAGGTTCTTTCTAGAAGATAACATCAGAAAAACCTTTCTAGATATTGGCTTAGGCAAAGACTTCATGACCAAGAACCCAAAAGCAATGCAACAAAAACAAAGATAAACAGATGGGACTTAATTAAAGTACTCTATGGGATTTTCTCCCACTCTATGGGTTGTCTGTTTATTCTGCTGAATTGTTTTTTTTTTTTTTGCACAGAGTAAACAGACAACCCACAGAATGAGAGAAAATCTTCACAATCTCAACTTCCAACAAAAGGCTAATATCCAGAATCTACAGAAAACCTACATCAGCAAGAAAAAAAAAAACCCCACAATCCCATCAAAAAGTGGGCTAAGGACATGAATAGATAATTATTCAAAGAAGATATACAAATGACCAACAAGCAGATGGAAAAATGATCAAACTAATAATCAGGGAAATGCAAATCAAAACCACAGTGCAATACCACTTCACTCCTTCAAGAATGGCCATAATCAAAAAATCAAAAATAGTAGATGTTGGTATGGATGTGGTGAAAAGGGAACACTTTTACACTGTTGGTGGGAATGTAAACTAGTACAACCACTATGGAAAACAGCATGGAGATTCCATAAAGAACTAAAAGTAGATCTACCGTTTGATCCAGCAATCCCATTACTAGGTATCCACCCAGAGGAAAAGAAGTCATTATACGAAAAAGATATTTGCACACACATGTTTACAGCAGCACAATTTGCAATTGCAAAAATATGGAACCAGCCTAAATGCCCATTCATCAATGAGTAGATAAAGAAATGTTATATATATATGTGTCTATATGTTATATATATATGTGTGTGTGTGTATATATACACACACATACCATGGACTACTACTCAGCCATGAAAAGGAACAAAATGGTGGCATTTGCAGCAAACTGGATGCAATTGGAGACTATTATTCTAAGTGAAGTAATTCAGGAATGGAAAAACCAAACATCGTGTGTTCTCACTTGTACATTGGTACTAAGCCATGAGGATGCAAAGGCATAAAAATGATATATTGGACTTCAGGGACTCAGGAGAAAGGGTGGGGGGCAGTGAGGGATAAAAGACTATACATTGGGTGCAGTGTACACTGCTCTGGTGATAGGTGCACCAAAAATCTCAGAAATCACCTCTAAAAAACTTATTCATGTAACTAGACACCACCTATTCCCCAAAAACCTATTGAAATGAAAAACAAAAATTTTAAAAAACGAAAAAAAAAAAAAGAAAGTGAATGCCATGAACCACAAAATATAGGCTCTTTAAGAGACAGAACATAATCATTCTAAATTCCCTACTACAAGTCCAGAATTATAGACCAACCATAGAGAATGTGAATGACTAAAAGTCTTGGTTTGCTCAGTCAGTGTAACAAGATGACACTGGGTAACAATAAACAGTTCAGGGCATGGAGTGATAGAACAGAATGGTAAATATTGTGAGCTCTAGTGCAAGGGGACCTTGGCTTGCATCCAGGGGATGCCACTTACTATTTGTGTAGCCTTGAACAAATTGTTTAGTCACTCAACGCTTCAGTTTCCACCTCTGTAACTAGTGATAGTAGTGGTGATAGGAGTAGTGTTACTTGGGGTTGTTGTGGGGATTATGTGAAGTGAAATGCTTAGTCCACTGCTGGGCATACACTAAGAACTCTCTCTTTCTGTATACATGTATATGTATGTATGTATATGTACTCTCTAGGTATGTACATTTATAAGTAAGTATATATAATAATTTATGGATATATTCATGTATATAAATTGTGATGAAGTACACATAATTTATGATCTTCACTATTTTTAGGTGTACAGTTCGGTGGCATTAAGTACACATTAAGTACATTCATATTGTATCACCACCGTGTATCTTCAGAACTCTTTTCATCTTGTAACTGCAACTCTGTACTGATTTAAAATACCTCTCCATGCCCCTCCTCCACAGCCCCTGGAAACCATCATTCCACTTTCTGTCTCAAATTTGATGGCTCTAGCTGCCTTGTATCAGTGGAGTTATACAATATTTGTCCTTTGGGGACTGGTTTTATTTCACTTAGCATCATAACTGCAAGGTCTATCCATGTTGCAGTGTGTGTCAGTATTGCCCTCCTTTTTAAGGCTAAATAATTTTCCATTGTACATTCATTGTACAATGAAACGTACCATGTTTCATTTATCCATGGATGGACACTTAGGTTGCTTCCACCTCTTGCCTATTGGGAATAACGCTGCTATGAACATGAGTGTACAAACACCTTTCTGAGACTCTGCTTTTAATTCTTTTTTGGGGGGGGGGTTGGGGCGGAGTCTCGCTTCACCTGGAGCGATCTCGGCTCACTGCAAGCTCTGCCTCCTGGGTTCACACCATTCTCCTGCCTCAGCCTCCCGAGTAGCTGGGACTACAGGCACCCGCCACCACGCCCGGCTAATTTTTTGTATTTTTAGTAGAGATGGGGTTTCACCGTGTTAGCCAGGATGGTCTCGATCTCCTGACCTTGTGATCCGCCTGCCTCGGCTTCCCCCTGCTTTTAATTCTTTTGTGTGTATACCCAGAAGTGGAATACCTGGATCATGCGGTAGTTCTACTTCTAAATTTTTGAAGAACTACCATATGTTTTCCATAGTGGTTGTACCATTTTACATTCATACTAACAATGAACAAGCATTCCAATATTTCCACATCTACATCAACACTTGTTAATTTCTATTTTTCTTTTTTTGATAGTAGCCATCCTAATGGTTACGAGGTAGATAAATATATTTTTAAATGCCAAATTTATATTATTTTATTATGTACATGTTTGTCTCTGTGGACTATAATTTAAGAGTCCCATTGCCCACAGTCATGGAGGTGATTTATCCTGGGATAATATATAAGCCAGATTCTAGGACTGGGAGGAGCGGCTTCTTCAATAGGTGCGTGTGTCTGTAGAGTGGAGAAGGGTAAAAAACGTAAACCATGGGACAGATGGGGCAGAAATTTGGTCACAGGAGAAAAAAAGCAAACTTCTGGCTACACTAACCCAAGCTGGATATATTTTTATATATTAATTTAATTAAAACTTTTTTTGGTTGTTGTAGGTAGTAGAGCTTTTGGTTTTAGAGATACACATCTAAGTTTGGCCCCACCGTGGGGAGTTGAGATGCTGGTAATGGCAAAAAGACTGCTTTGTAGATTGCTGTGAAACCCAGCCGGAGACAACCAAGGCAGTGAGCTTGCTTGCTTGAACTCCACAGTTTCTGAGATTGGGCTTGAGAGACACCCTAAGCCTCTACCTACACTCTGGGCAGGGGCAACAAATATATCTCCAAAAGGGTCATTGTTAGTGACCCTAGAAATCCTCAAATTATGGAGGGAAACACTAGACAAAGGAAGTTCGGACTTCTTGCTACCCTGGACAAATATGGGCTCAGAGACCTCACAGACTGAACATTCTTTTTAATGTTCTTAGAGTGGACCTGAAGCTGTATGCTTCATGTGCAAAATATCTATTATTACCCTTTGTGTATGTAGATCCATGCAGAAGCTGAGGTCTTGGTAATGCTGCAGCACTGAACATTGCAGATCGGACTTGGATTTGCCGTGAGCACTCCGCTTGGCTACACAAACAGCGGGGAGCCTCCAGGTACCAGGCTCAAAAACTATTGGCCGGGCTTTATGAGCTGGTGCTAGCTGGAAACAGAAATCCTTCAGTCACATTTGATTGATTTGCATCTAAGTTAGTAATTGTCTGGGACTTTAGTTGCTGTTTAATTTAGTTTTATTTTGTGCAATGGAGAGGTGTGTACTTTATTTTCTTAAACTTTTGCTCCTCAAATTTAATATCCATTTGATTTTATTAAAAGTGAGTATAAACATAGATATATTACAAATGTTGAGAAGTGGATTGAGATATTCAGAGAATAATATGATTTGTTTGTACATACTGCGGAAGATTTGGACTCCAGCACAGACACTGTGGGGCTCTGGGCAAGACATAGCCTCTGATCCTGATCTACACTGTGGCATAATGATGCTCACTGCAAAGGACTATGAAGATCAAATGGATAGTGCGTATTCAATGTATATGTGTTAAATACTTGCTATCTTTCAGGTCTCAATACACACACACACACACACGTCAGTGCCCAGTGCACAGCAGATATGCAACATAGTAGAGGGGATAGAAATTGCAGGCTCTGATTCCGTATTTCCTGGGTTTGCAATGTGGCCCTGTGCCATCCTCTATGATTGCCATTAGTCATTTGAGATGTGGCTATTGCTGCTGAGGAATTGAGTTTTAAATTTTTTAAAATTTTAATTAATTTACATGTAAATGGCTACATGTGACTAGTGGTAACCACAGAGGACAGAGCAGAGAGCACAGGATGTATAGAAGGTGAGAGAGATTATTCAGGAGTATTGAGGGTAGTTTTTGTTTTTGTTGTTTTTAAGATAGTAAAGACTGGTACAATTCTAAATGCTGATGAGCCCTAGGCAGCAAAGAGGAGCATTTGACTTCGCAGGACAGAAGCAGAGAAGTAATTAATAAAGCCAGTGTCTGAGAGTGAGGGATGGTTTGGGATTCTGTTAGGTGTGTAGGCTGGTGGCAGGAAGTTGAGTGGGTTTTTAGCGGATGGATTCCATTTCCTCTGGAGGATGGGAATTGAGGTCATCTACTGTGAGGGAGGGGAAGCATAGTAAGTTAGAGATTTCAAGAGAGTTGGGAAGATTTAAAACAGCTTTATGGAGAAGACAGGGTGCTGACTGGGGAAATATATAAAATCTGTTGAGTAATTCTTATTTTTTAGATGGGCAGTCTGAGACAGAGGATGGTTGTGCAAGTTGCTCAATATTACTCAAGATCAGAGAAAAATTGGGTCTTGTTCTTTCTGATTCCATAACTACAGCTCTTAAAATCGCCAATACATTGGCCCACCGACACTTACTTCCTGGCACCTTTCTGTGCCTCTTTTGACACTTCCCACTTCTCTATCTTATATATATTTAGTTATGGAAAGGTTTTCTTTCTCTTAGTCAATTGATCCTGGTGTGCAGGATCAATATTCTAATTCATCCTTGTGTCTCTGTAGTGCCTACCACAATTCTGTGCACACAGAGAAGGCTCAGTAATTATTTGTTGAGTGAATGAGTGGACGAATAAAGAAAGGGAAGATGCATGAGGTGGAGGAAAAGCGCCTTTTCCTTATACAGGCTTACCTTCCTCATTCATATGTATGATTGGCTCCATTTCTACTTCATATTTCTGGCTTTAGACATAGCTAGAGACTCTCCCTATTATAATCATAGTTTGGAAAGAAATAATTTAAAATCAAGTGAAGCAATGCAGCGTGGAAAAGATGGGCTGCTATTTTTGAGAATTTCTTTCTTTTTAAAATTTTATTTTTCTATTTCTTGGAGTCCAGACACAGCCGAAAAGCTGACGCTTGGGAGATTCTCTTTTCACCAATATAACTGACATCACAGAGTTCGTGCCCTTATCTTTCATTCTCAAGGAAATAAACAAACATTGGGATTGGCCAGAGCCCTGACCTTATGGATGACTAAGGCCCCCTGGAGTTAAATTCTAACTAAGATTTTCCTCTGGGACTCAAATTCTATCATTTTGTGCTATATTTACCAATGATGTTACACTTTATCTTTATCTTAGCAAATATTTAATTTGTTGAGAGAAAACATGTCATGAATGCATTACTCATAAGTTTCCATATTTCCCAAGGATTCTGGCAAGTGGGAGAAAGGGAATTTTCTGGGGTTCTATTCATACAGCTGAAACAAAGCCAAGTATCAAACTTTAGTGAATTCAAAAGGGAAGAGATGTGTGAGGTACGGAAACGAAAAGACAAATACTAAATGATTTCCTATGGCTAGTTGACCAGCTGGTCGGTTATCAGCCCTTTCTTGCAATGGTTCTGCTTAGCTTTGAAATCAAATGGCTTATAAAAATAGTATCTGAGAATCAAGAAAATGTACCTTATCCACTGAAAATACAGAAAGCTCACCTCTTTTTGTTCTCAGTTTCCTTCTCTTTTATTCAATTAAGTATGTAGCTGACGATGGAGAAATCTAATGATGGGGTGAGATTTTTGCATCATCATGATGAATTTCTGTGCTAATGTCTAAGCTTCTGAACTGAAACTCCTTTGAGAAAATAAAATACTTCTTGACATTGATGGTTCTGAGACTACAACAATACACAGTATTCTAGAGAACCGAAATAGGCTATTTAAATAAGAGTTTTTATTGATAAGCACCCTTAAAAACTCATTATTTGTACTGCAAGCTGAAATCTGACCATAGAAGCAATTCTCTTGATTTCCCAAGTGGCCTCGTAAAGGGTTTGGGCTAAGTCTAATTCCAAAATCCAAAGAAAATAAATTTTATCCAGATGTTGGGCTTGGAGATTCGAGTTGCATTACAAACAAAACTGAATATTTGTTTTTGGAAAATCTTACTACTGTATATAATTTAAAGTAAATGTTATATGTGTTTCTTCATTCTTGTCACAGCTTCCCGTGTTTAGCCTCCGAATGCCACTTTCCCGCTTCTGAGTCTCCAGCATTTCTATGTTTGTCGACAATGCGCATGATTAAAATGATATTTTCATATTTCAGTGTAGTTGGAGCTCCTTAAAGCAGAGGGTTGTAAGTGCAAAAAAGAGATATGCAGTTCCCTAATGGCTTATTACCATCACATTTGCAATTCAGATCAGCTCTAAATTGACTGAAATTTTTAAACACATAGCAGGCAGTTTAAACTAATGATTGTCTGGAGGTTCACCACTGACACGAACTAAGCTTCTGTTCAAAACAAATTGCAAATAATTCCTCCCTTAGAGTCAAAATGTCACTTTTAGAACTCCATGTTATTGTTAGATTTTTGTCAGTTACATCAAAAAAAAAATATCTGCTTTATAGGGAGTGTTCTACCTTTGAAAGGACGGAGTGACACAGTTTCCCTATTAAAAAAACCCACAACACCACGTATCTGTATATATGGATCTACATCGGTTTCACTAGGAATCACCCCTCCCTCTTCCCCCTCATCCCCTTCAAAAATCCTAATTGTAAAGTAAAACACCCTTGGGGCAGTGGTAGGCCCAAGTTGCTTAGCAACCCTCAGCAGGTAGCAAGGATTCAGCTGCAGCTGTCCTGATTCTTTCCTAAGAACCTTCTTATTACTGTTTGTGCTAATCTTTAACCAGGCTTTTAAACCACAGTCTTTCTCTGGGGTCTCTTGTTGTTAGATTGCAGGGGCCTACTCAAATGTTGTCCCAGAGGTAATGGTATTAAGGGTGGCTATTGAATGTTTGAAGAGTGATAAGTGCTGGAAGGGATTAGAATTGCATGTTCCAACTAACCTTATTTTACATTCTTGAAAAATATCATGAAAATTGTCCCCCAGTAGGAACAATGGTTGGTGTTGACACACAGCTCTAAACCTGCTTTTGCTCCCAGCTTGTAAATTGGGTGAGGCGGACTCTCTCCCCATAATTGTTTCTTTTAAAAGACTTACATTCTCCTGCAAAGACTACTTAAGGAATTCATTAAGAATTAGTAGATAGCCTGATTTCATTCTCTCATTTAATTATGAGAAAGCTAGGTGTGGATTGGTAGAGAGGGCTAAAGAGAGATGTAATAGGGGATTGAGAAAATTTCTTTCCATGGAGAAGTGTTTCTGCCTACATTGGCAATCCAAAAACTCTGAGGTTGGACTTGAAGTTGGCCAATTATTACAGAATAAAACAGTGGCAAAAAATGGCACATTTATTATTAATAGCATGGAGATTTCTGCTTTGTTTCCTGGGTTGCGAGGTTTGGATAAATTTCAGAGGCTGCCCACAGCTGTTATTAACCAATGAGGGTAAGCTCATAAAATATTTTAAAGTAAGTCTACTTCTACCTTCCCATCACACAATACAAGGCAAAATGAAGAAGACACAGCTACCCTGAGGTTTTTTTTCACTCAATCCCTTTCTCTCAGCAGATTAAAAAAAAAAATTATGAATGATTCACTCCTCGAAACTTCATTCTGTCATTTAAAAGGAATTTAGGCCTTTTTCTATCATAACATTTTGTTACAGACCTGGTCCTATTATGCAACATAATATGTACTGAATATGTGCTGATTAACTGACTTGGAAATTGGAGAAAGGTCAAAGCCATCTGAAGGAGATAACATTTTTATAGGCTCTGAACCTTATTGAAGTTCATCTATATAGATATAATCTTCAAAATTCGGTTTAAAATCACACACACAAATAAGACTCATGAGTCTCCTGATTTTTAAATTTCACTACATTCTCCTTTTCGTTACAGGTTGTATAAAAATTGTTTGATCTTAAGTAAAAAACAAAAAGGATAGTGTCCTCCAATAGGTTGATTGTTGAGAGTGTCTGCCATCATACACATGGAATAGTTCACGTTTATTCTTCTGATCCCACCAAATATCAAGTACAGGGAAATATACCTTATATTTCTGATGGGAAAACTGAGACAGGAAACTTGTTATTCAGTTTTAGATTGCCATATTGGGATGCCCTGAAAGTCCCACGATGTCATATAAATCTCCCCCACAGTGAAATGATACTCAGGTGTCTACTAATATTAGTGTTGTATTTAGAGGACTAGCTAATTTTTCTTTCCAAGAAATCTTGGCCGCACCACTTCAAAATGATAAACTCTCTAATTTTGATTTGTTTTCTATTTAAACT
Source organism: Homo sapiens (assembly GCF_000001405.40). Taxonomy (NCBI): domain Eukaryota; kingdom Metazoa; phylum Chordata; class Mammalia; order Primates; family Hominidae; genus Homo; species Homo sapiens. The sequence continues at coordinate 22,252,211 of NC_000006.12, forward strand.
CCAACCTCTGTCTTTTATCTTTCCCTTGCCCCAAGATCCATTATTTTGTTACATAAATGATTGCCCAAGTGGGTCAATTAAATTCTGAATACAGCTGGTGTTGATTACAGTTTTGCTAATAAAAATATCTTTGTGAAATCTTCAAGGTGACCTGTAAAAATTAGCTCCTTGATGAACCTGGAAATTCGAAAAAAAATCTATCAGTAAACATGTTGATCGATTTCATCCTATCAATCAAAATTTAGTTTGCCAGATAATAATTTGTTAAATGTCAGTAAAGGAGAATATCGTTTAGAAAAGGGCGATTTGAAACAACGTGCTTGTGCCCTGGAGAGGTGTGTAGAACCATCTTCATGGAGTGTGGGTTTGGACTTTATCTTTCCAGGAAGTGGGAACATAGACCCCACGCCTTGGTCAGAAGGCACCATGTTCCTGTTATCTCCAGGCAGCTACCTGTGTCTACCTGGGGCAGATGGCTCTGTGGACCTCCTGTTCAAGTCTTCCTGTTAAAATACCCCTGCCCTCCCACTGTACCTCCAAACCATCAATCCACATGCCAGAACTACAGCCCCATCCCTGAGAGATGCATCTGGTTAGGGTGACCCATTGTGGGCTGTAAGGTTTCTGTTGTGGTTCATTATGTTAGGTATGGACACATATTTTTAGTGTTGTTTCTGGCTCCCCGAATTTCTTTTCATTTCTTTTTGGACATCTGAATCCAGGAGTGCATAAAAGACCATATGCTTTATTCTTCATTGTTAGTAATTATAGTAACTGGAGGAAGATCCTTAGATTTGTTGACTTCAGGATTTTTTAACTTCGGCACTACTGCTATTTTGGATGGTATTGACATTTTGGGCTGAGTAGTTTTTTTGTTGTAGGGGGCTGTCCTATGCATTATAAGATGTTTAGCAGGATCCCTGGCCTCTACCCACTAGCTGTACCTCCCCGAAGTTGTGACAACCAAAAATGTCTCCAGAAAGTGCCAAATGTCCCATGGGGGGGACAAAGTCATTCCTAGTTGAGAACTGCTGGTTTATTCTCTTGTGTGGTGCAGGTCAGCCATATCAGCGTCACTGAGAGCTTGTTCGAGATGCAAAAGTCTCAGGACCCGCCCCAGGCTCACTGAATAGGAATCTGTGTTTTAACAAAATCCCTGGATGACTTTGTATAAATATGAATGTACGGGAAGTGGTGATTTAGTCCATTATCTTGATCCGAAGTCTGGACATACGTATTTCTTAGGCTAAAACAGCACAATTCCAAGGCTCAAAATGTAACTATAGGCCAGGCTCGGTGGTTCAAGCCTGTAATCGCAGCACTTTGGGAGGCTGAGGTGGGTGGATTACCTGAGGTCAGGAGTTCGAGACCACCCCGGCCAACGTGATGGAACCCCCATCTCTACTAAAAATACAAAAAATTAGCTGGTCGTGGTGGCGAGCACCTGTAATCCCAGCTACTTGGGAGGCTGAGGCAGGAGAATCGCTTGAATCCAGGAGGCGGAGGTTGCAGTGAGCCGAGGTTGTGCCAATGCACTCCAGCCTGGGCAACGAGAGAAAAACTCTGTCTCAAAAAAAAAAAAAATGTAATTATAGCAGACTTCTCAGTCTGCAAGCCCATGTATACATTGATAAAATATATTTGAAGCAAAATTAATTGAAGAATTTAAGGAAAATTAAAAGGCATTGACTAATCTAACTAACCCCCGCCCCAAATAATTACCATAGTGTTTTAGATTTTGGCCATTTTACATTATATAAATATAAATTAATAGTACTTTGGAAATATCTCTGTATCTCCCAAGCAAATCCATAAATAACACTAACAATAATACTGCAATCTATCAGGGTGTTTACTATGTACTGAGTGGTCTATTAGATTGTTTAATCTTCACAACAACTGTGTGAGGTATTAACCTAATTTGACAGACAAAAAGCTGACTCAGAGAAATTAAATACCTTTGCCCTAATCACACATTTCTACAAAGTGAGATGCCAGCACCTAGCCCATGTTCATTCTATCCAACTATTCTGCCTTAACTCTAAGGAGAGAAAAAAAACATAAAGAACATTTTCTCCAAACTAATTATGTCTAAACAACATCCACACAGATCCTCAACCCCAGGAATGAGCAGGGGAAAGGAATCATTATTTTTCTTTAAAGCCCTCTTTTGTTCTATCTTCTTAGGCAGTGGTCTCATTATACCTTGAGAATGTCTGAGTGTAGCCAACAGCTTGAGGTGAAGAATCCTGTTCACCCATTTCTATCCCTTTGCCCCCACGGAATTAGTGTTCAGCAACAACAAAGCCAGGCTGTACATTGTTAAGAAGCATTCTTGGCAAGGATGGTTTTGTCTTTCTTGTTTCTGAGATTTGCCCACTGATTGCTAAAAGTATGTACTATGAACTTTGATTAGCTAGCCCAAGGGTCTGATGAGTAGACACAAACTGTGCAAGAAAGCCAAATGTGACATTCACATGATTTAATCAGAAACGAATACATCTATGATTCTTTATTTCTTTCATCAGAGAAACCCTCTGCTTTTGCTTCTGATCCTTTCTTTGCCTGGACCTCTTCTACTGTATCATCAACCTATTTTTTTATTCAATGTATATTCTACCAGACAGTATTCCTAGCTTCCTTTTGTCACCATGGTGACACTGTGTGCTTATGCCTTTATTAAAAATTTATCTTAAATAGATCTAGGAAGTAGTCTTTTAGGCAATGACAATTTTTTCAGTTTCGAATCCACCATAATGTCCAGATGCTGGGAATTTGTGTGCAAATATCATTCCACTATTACTATAAAGGGAAATAAAGCAAAATGTTTAAATGGCTGCTATTCCTGTTAGCTGCTTATGCATGGAAAAAGACATTTTATATGCATTCCGTTCTTGCTTTTCAAGTGCACTTGGCACACAGTCATTTGAAAGAAGAACTTTACTTAAGCTTTTATTAGCTTATACGATCATCTATTACTGGTAAATTTTAATAGTGTTGCATTTCTAGCAACATATCCTATGAAAAAAATCAGAAATACTAACAAAGATTGACATGCATATAATTGTCCTCACATTATTTATAATAAATACTTAAAAATCATAAAAATGCTCAACAATAGGGGGAGGATTAAATAATGGTATGGCATTATGGTTGAATAGCATGCCTCTCCTAAGAATGATATTGCAAAGAATTTTAGTGACAGGGAAAGAATTATAATATGTTAATTTTAAAAAGATACAAAATTTATATATAATGTGACTTCTATCTTCATAGCTATGTATATAGCTTGTTAGTTAATTAAATATCTTTAGTTATATGTATATCTGTTTATAAAATTCCAAAAATGCCAGATGTTAATAGTGGCTATATCTGGTTGGAGAGTTTATGGGTGATTTCATTCTTTTAAAAGCTTTCCTCTGTTTTCTACACTTTTTTAGTGAGCATAAAATGCTTTTGAAATCAGAAAGAAAAAATAAATATTTAAATATAAAACTGAACTAATTGAATTCTTCCAGGATTGTAGTAATACGATTAAGAGGTCCATGAGATTTTCCATATTTTTCTTGTATTTATAAACTGTATTGTTTTTAAACTACTCTCACCCTGGTACTTTTGTGTTCAAAGAGAGTTCAAAACAATTACTCTAGATGAAGGACAGAGACTATTGTCTTCACCCTGGATAATGAAAAATGAGTGACATGGAGAGAGGCACAAAATTAGAGGACATTGTCCCGAGTGTGTTTAAATTAAATAGCTAATTTTTAAAAGCGTCAACTCTGGAGTCTGTAGATGGGTCTGGCAACAGAAAAGATTGCAGGGATTTTTTTTCATTATAGTTAAACAAAAATGTACTTAAAAATGCAAAATGTAAGAAGATGCTTTTATATGAGAAAATGATTAATGAGTGCAGTATTTAGGGGAAGAAATACTCAAAGTTTGGTAGTAGGAAAAGAAAAAAGCCACAGGATTTTGATCACAAGAAACCTTGGATTCTAGATCTGACGCTGCCAGTACCAAGACTTGGACAAGGCATTTACGTTTATTCTCTCTTGGCCTTGGGTTCTTCTCATATAACCTAAAGGGTTTGGATTAAATGCTATTTAAAATCCCTTCCAGTTTATAAAGTCTGATCTATTCTACCATTTTACGTGTTTTCGTAGCACAGATCAAATTCTGGGAGTTTACATTTCTGAAACTTGGGTCAAGGTCCTGGCCAGTCCTCAACAAGAGCAACCGTGTGGACATCTGTGGCAATGGTAAGAATTCTTTAGTGGCCAGTCAGCTCTGTTATTCTCTCCAGCTAAATGAAGCCAAGCAATATGAAAAGTAGGCCCAAGCACACAAAATCTCCTCTTGACTTCCACCAGACAGTCTTTTTCATTTGGAACACTATTTTCATATGAGGAAGTATTTCATCTTTTATAAAGTGCTAGTATAAATTTGTGCTAAGGACCAGCAAGTGATGATAATAGCTGCTCTGTTTTGTGAATACAAGTGTCTGTTAAATATATCTAATATGCACTTGTATATATGAGTGCATTTATTGAAAGACACGCTAAGCATGGATAAATGTACTAGTTTTTAAACAGCTTTATTAAAGTATAATTGACATGGAACAAGTTACACGTATTTTAAGTATGCAATTTGCTAAGTTTTAATATATGTATGTACACATAAACTCTCACAGAACCAAGTTAATAACCATAATATCACCCTAAAAGTGTCCTTGTTTTCCTTTGCAAACTTGTATGTGGTACAAAGCATGGATCGAATTCTTGGTTTTTTTTTTTTTTTGCGTTCTGGATATCCAATTATTCCAGCACCATTTGTTGAAAAACTATTCTTTCTTCCCATTGAAATACTGTCAAAATCAATTACACACATATGTCTGGATTATTTCTGAAATCACTATTTTGTTTTGTTGATACAGTTAACTCTCTTCGCATCAATACCACATTGCCTTAATTGCTGTAGATTTACAACAAGTCTTAGAATTAGATAGTCCTACAAAATTGTTCCTTTTTCCCCTCCACCTAGCGTGGCTATTTCAGCTCTTCTGAATTTTCTTATGAATTTTAGGATCAAATTGTCAATTTTATGAGAAAGACTGCTGAGATTTTTATTGAGATCACATTGAATCTCTATTAATCTGGGGATAATTGACATATTAATGATATTGAGTTTGCTGAATCATGAACAGCAAATGATTCTGTAATAAATCATTCTGTAAATGATTCTCCTCATTTATTTAGGTTATTGTAGGTTTATCTCATTTTATATTTTTCAGTGCACTGGTCTTGCATATCTTTTGTCAGATTTATACTGAAATAGTTTGTATTTTTGATGCTTATATAAATGGTATTGCTTCTTTTAATTTCAATTTCTGATTATTGATTGCTAGTCTATAAAAATACAATTGATTTTTTTTTTAGTATTGATCTTGGATCTCATGGTCTTGTTAAACTCAACATTTAATTCCAGCAGATTTTTGGGTACATTTCATAAGAGTTTTTACACAGATGATCCTGTCATTTGTGAATAATGATAGTTTAACTTCTTTTTAAATGTGGATGCCTTTTACATATTTTTTTCTTGTCTTATTACACTAGCTTGAACCCCCACTAATGATGAATAGATGTAGCAAAAGCAGACGTCTTTTGTGCTTGTGACATGGATACCGCATGCTTCAGATATTGCTCTGCCCTGTTTGTCAGCCTGCTCCCAACATCCCAACCTCCTATGCGCAATCTCATACCAACCTTTGCCCATCTGCACCCCACACAGGGTTGTTTCTCACAGTCTTCTTGGCACAGACACTGTATACCCCTGGTTGCACATGACCCTCCCAATGAGTGAGCTCCAGGCACCTTGACTCATTCTGTGCTCTCTCACCAGCTTTGTCACCTTTAACTTGGGAAGGATATTTTGTTCTTCTGTTTGTCTGTTTTTCCTGTTTGGCCAACATCTGTGGGGCAACTCTGGTTCAGGCAATCCAGTGAACTTCTCTGCCATGCAGTGGGCTGCGAGCACAGCTTTCCAATGAAGCCGTAATTCAGCCTTGAGGAGGGCACCCCTTTCCAAGTTTGCTCCTTTTTGAGTGTTTTTCCTAAAACTTACGTTTTTCATTAGAGTTTTTTGTATGTCTTTATCATGACCCCAAATTACGGTTAATTATTCTTTATATAAAACCTTCTCTTTTCAAATTACTGTGTATTTTCTGCCTCTTAATTAGACTCCAACTGACACATTACTTCCGAAAAAAATTATTGAAGTGTAATTAACAAACAAAAAACTGCACATATTTAAAGTATACAATTTGATGTTTTGACATATGTATATACCCATAAAATGCAATCAAGATAATCAACATATTCATCATCCCTCAAATGTTTCCTCGTGTTAAATGGTATTTAGGACATCATGTAAAGAGAAATTGAGCTAAGGATATGTTTAGTGTGGGTTCCTTAGGATGGGTTTATATGGTTCACAGTCACTTTCATGGATGGTTAAGACTGCCAGTCATTCTGGTTTAGGAATGGTTTCTGTACTTAATTTTGCTGCCTACTGCTCTTGCAAGCATCTTGACAGGAACTGCCTGGGCCATGTGAATATATCCTATAGTACTGAGCATGGACCTATGTGGGTAATGAAGGAAAAAGGAAGTTCAGAATATATAAGAAAATAGAGTTGGACCTTGTGTGTGGAAAATTGTTCTAAATCCTGCACTCACATGAACAAAGATTTGAATGAGGTTTTCCTAAGTTATCAACAAAACTTTTAATAAAGTTACTAATAATACATTATTTAATAAGAAGCTAAAAATTATTGTTAAATGATCAATAATGTAAAGAAATGAATATTTATTAACCATGCTCAAGAAGAGTCTAAATTTCTTATTTAGTCTCTCTTTTTTTTTTGGAGACAGGGTCTTGCTCTATCACCCAGCCTGGGGTGCAGTGGCATGATCATGGCTCACTGCAGCTTTGACCTCCCGGGCTCCAGTGATCCTCCCACCTCAGCCTCCCGAGTAGCTGGACTACAGGCATGTGCCACCTCGCCTGGCTATTTTTTTAAATTATTTTGTGTAGAGATGGGGTTTCACCATGTTGCTCAGGCTGTTCTCGAACGCCTGGGCTCAAGTGATTCTCTCACCTCAGCTTCACAAAGTGCTGGGATTTCAGGTATGAGTCACCATGCCCAGCCCTCTCTTTATATAAAATATTGCAGAATTATTGTTTGTAAAGAAATGTTCAAAGGGGCCAAAGCCAAAAATGTGAGAAAAAGGTATTGTAGAGGTGGGTCTGACAGGGTATTAATAGAAGTTTTTACTTTCCTTGAATTTACAATGTTTGTGGTAATGATGGATGGTGATGTTCCTATAAGCTAAACTTATTAACTCCCTTTGTGGATATCTGCTATGTTACCAAAGATTTCTTCTTTATATCTTCTCAAAATTGTACCTATTGCTATTTAAACCTACTTCCTCTCACTGCACAATGAGAACCTCTGGTCAGCATTTACTATATATTTTATATGGTCAATGTCTGTGATGACTATATTTTACAAGTTAAAACATAGCCTTTTCCTAGTTTATACATTTATGGTTTTATAGAATATGATATTTAAACTCTTATGAAAGTGTCCAATTAATTTGTATTTACTTACATACTTCAAGAATTACCTTTATTATAAAAAGTATGTAAAAATTGAGTACATATTTTGAGTATGTATTTCATGTACCTACAAATATATTTGTGAAAATTATACTGGAAAATTGAGGACAATGTTATTAGAGTGTTATTTGTCTGATCTTCCATAATTGTTTTAAGGTGTGTTTTTTTTTCATTTAAAATTTAGCATTAAAATTGGTGGCTTTAGACATATTTTATGTTAAAGACAAAGGTTAAAAATTCTCTTATGTATTGTGCCTTAAGAATTATTCAATACAGCCTAAGTCAGATCATAAATATGCTTGTATTATATTTTATTTACTTATAAGGCAAATGTATTATTTTCTGACATTGGTATTTTGCTTTTATGTTTCATGAGCATCTTTTTAGTTTAAATAGATTTCTTTTCTTCTTTCCTCTCTTCATTTGTCATTCTTTTTTTTTTTTCACAGTCAGATTCACTCGATCCCAAGACAAGATGCTCTTTGATAATGGACTAGAGGAAAGGGTGAAAGAATGGTTTAGAGCCAATTCAAGAAAGAACAATCTGATTCACACTTGGAGGAGGACACAGGAGCTGAATCAGATGGGGCTGTGGTGCCTGGGGAGGAAATTGTGAGTACTTGCTCCTGATTGAGTATCATTATCCTCCTGTTGTCTAGGAAGATGATTGTTATAATTAGCCACAAATGTCATGGGCAACTATAATTTACGTTTTCCTGTAACAACTGATAGTTTACCTTTTCAATGCCTTCTTTTATCTATCCACCATGGGGCTTTCCCCATCCCTCCATAACAATCAAATATAGGATAAAATATATTTGTCTTATAGTATGTGTCTGTCAGTGTATACTTATAGTAATAATGTGACTATTCATTTTTAAAAAGTCATTAAATGGCTACTCACCCAAATTTCAGGCTCCTTTAAAATTAAAGTTCCTATAAAAAATTAGAAATCATGAGGTTATAAAATAGGAATGCTGGTGGAGTCCTTAGAGATATTTTAGGACCATTTCTCATTAATCTTATTTCTAAATATAGTATAAAGGGATGTTATTAATTGTGTTGCATAATGCCTTTGAAATGCAATATTAATATCCTTCGGATTTTATTTGTAGTGTAATTTCTTAATTCCATTTTAAATTTATTATGGTAATTCAGTGGAAGTATATATTTGTATTCTATTATAGAATAGTTATAGTTTCTATTCTATTTTTAATACAAATAGTTTATTTTTAATAGAAATACAATAGTTTGTATTCTATTTTTAGTAAGCTGCTTTAGTAAGAACTAACTCTTGAGTTGAATTTTTAAAATAGAATAAAAATCACAATATTTTATAAAGCATTATATAATTAATTGCGAAGAATTTTTAACTAGCATGCACCTTTGGTAGATACTAACCAAATAATAACCATATGCACTGAATTGCTTTTGAATGAAAGTCGCTCAAGTGCTCTTTTTAAAAAATGTCTCACTGCTTTGGATTTCATACTATATTTATTTATTTATTTAGAGCAGAGTCTCACTCTGTCACTTAAGCTGGAGTGCAGTGGTGTGATCTCAGCTCACTGCAACCTCTGCCTCCTGGGTTCAAGTGATTCTCCTGCCTCAGCTTCCCGAGTAGCTGGGACTACAGGTGTACACCACCACGTCTGGCTAATTTTTATATTTTTAGTAGAGATGGGGTTGTGCCATGTTGGCCAGGCTGGCCGTGAACTCCTGACCTCAGGTGATCTGCCTGCCTCGGCCTCCCAGAGCGTTGGGATTACAGGCATGAGCCATCATGCCTGGCTTCATACTATATTCAGATTAGTAAGTTTCACTGCATATTTTTAAGTAACACTAGAAAGTTATATTTAGAATAGTAATTAAATGAAAACAAATCAGTGACATAAATAGCTAGTAAATCCAGGCCAAAGATAACTGTTCCTAAAACTGAGGAGAGATGGGACTAACATCTTACAACGATATGCTTTTGTTTGAATATAGCTACTGTCTGAACATTTTTATTTCTTTTACTACTATAATTTTTTTATTTTATTATTATTATACTTTAAGTTTTAGGGTACATGTGCACAATGTGCAGGTTAGTGACATATGTATACATGTGCCATCCTGGTGTGCTGCACCCATTAACTCGTCATTTAGCATTAGGTATATCTCCTAAAGCTATCCCTCCCCCCTTCCCCCATCCCACAACAGTCCCCAGAGTGTGATGTTCCCCTTCCTCTGTCCATGTGTTCTCATTGTTCAGTTCCCACCTGTGAGTGAGAATATGCGGTGCTTGGTTTTTTGTTCTTGCGATAGTTTACTGAGAATGATGATTTCCAATTTCATCCATGTCCCTACAAAGGACATGAACTCATCATTTTTTATGGCTGCATAGTATTCCATGGTGTATATGTGCCACATTTTCTTAATCCAGTCTATCATTGTTGGACATTTGGGTTGGTTCCAAGTCTTTGCTATTGTGAATAGTGCTGCAATAAACATACGTGTGCATGTGTCTTTATAGCAGCATGATTTATAGTCCTTTGGGTATATACCCAATAATGGGATGTCTGGGTCAAATGGTATTTCTAGTTCTAGATCCCTGAGGAATCGCCACACTGACTTCCACAATGGTGGAACTAGTTTACAGTCCCACCAACAGTGTAAAAGTGCAATTTTAAAATGAATGGTCAACATCTGATGTCTGCCCGTCTGCCTTACATCCTTATGACCTGAATTTGTTCTGTATGTCCTCACTGAGACGTTGTGCTAGGATGTCATTAATAAAGTATTTCTACAATACACAATGACCGTTTGCCCAATGTTCATTCTCCGTGACATCTCTACAAATTTAAAATTGTTGACCACACCCTCCTACTCGAAAGAAGTGGCTTTTGTGGTATCCATTTTGAGTTGTCTTCTATCTGGATTACTCCTTCTCGCATTACTATGGATTTTTCCATTTTTCTAAATGTGCATGTTCCTTCATGCCCAGTTTTAGAACATGCACTCTTTTCCTTCTTCTGTGGGAAATATCTATTTTCTAAGCTTTAATGATCATTTCTGTGTGGATAAAATTATGAACTATGATAAATAACCTTTTTTTTAATCTCCAGACTTGTCTTGTTGAATCTCCTAGAGTCGAGGAATCAAAGAAAAATAACAACATTAAGGATTTTTTTTGAGATCATAAAACTATAGAGTCACAGAGTTAAAAATATGGAAATAACTGGAATTATGGAGATTCTATCAGGAAGGTTCCTGTTTGTTTGAGTTTTCAAAAATTTTGCTGTTGTTTGAAAGACGATGCATTTTTTCTTTTCAGTTTTTATGTTTAATTCTTTGTTTCTTTAATTTTAGAGGTGGTTCTTGTGTTGTTGCATATTTTTTAATTAAAGGCCAATAAAATATAGACTATTTTTATCTATTTTCACGCAATTAGAATAATTTTCTTAAAATAAATTCCTTTAAGCAAAGGTACGTAGTTTTTTTAGGTTATGGAAAAATTAAATTACTGTGTATACTCAAAGTCCTGTTAGTGGCACTGGATCAAAACTGTTATTTTAAAGCCACTTGCTGATTTTGCTGGCAGTGATTATAATGAAATATAATAATATGTTTTATTTATAAAGTGCTTTTCACCTATACATTCAGAGTGTCTGGATTTCAAGTGATACTCAGGGTGTGTCAGTCGATAACTTCAGTTTCTGAGGCCTGATGAACACATTTGCGTAATGTTCATGCTTGTTGATTACTGGGGTCAAAAAGTCCAAATTCACACTGCATGTGTTCAAAATATCATAGGATTACTCAATAAGGTCTTGAAATTTTTTCCTACCATATTATTTTTGTTTAAGGACAGGATTTGGGACAAACAAACAAAAGCCTAAGACTTCTCTGTGAAAGACCTAAACTAGGGTCTTGTGTACTGAATAAAATATAACTATAAAAGAATGACACAAATTTCCTTATATGATTGTGGAATTAGTCTCGTTATCTTAAAATAATACCATCATACCACAACTATTATTGTCACCAAAAAAGAGCAAAGGATACTTTAGTTTACTGTCTAAAGATCGGTTTTACTAATGAAAAAACATTTCCCTGCCTCCTCTTAGTCATTAGAAGACATTACATAAAAAAGCCCCATAGTTGCTTCTGAGTAGTTAAAGCATATTCTTAAGTGGTTAATTTTCTGCCCCAATTTCATCTTGTTCATATTCTTTCCCTTTCTCTTCTCTACCAGTTTCCAACTTTTCTAAGACAGTTAGGTAATGACTAGCAATACATTTGTCCCTACCATGGATAATTCAATACATTAAAACAAGATGGAATTCAATAAGAAATATTGCTAATTCCACGTGTCCTCTGCTCAGTGTCTTTGGCTGTGGACTGCTGGCTGCTCATTTTGCTTTTTTAATTTGAAAGGCGGCTCTAAAAAAACATGTTCTTCTTTGTACCTAATTTTCTGAATTGAAAATATTTACATATCCACATATGGCATTCAACATATGTGGAAACTATATTTGATAGTAAAGAAAATTTGATACCCAATATTTGGTAGAAGTAAGCAAATATAATCTTAACATAATAGTAAGAGCGGACTTAGCATAAAGGGAAGAGCACATGGACCATTACACATGATCAAATATTTGCTATAAAAACATGTTGGAATAGAAAATTAATGTTACTATAAACACTTTTAAAGCACTGCTACATTGGAAATATAGAAGTGGAAATTAACTTACTTGAATAATTTTATTCAAACTATTACTATTAAACTTATTTGAATAGTCCTGTTCAAACTATTTCTATTCCTAGTCAAACTATGAGTAAATTGCTGCTCTGTAAGTTACCAAATGTTGTAAGACTTGCAAAAATATCACCATACTCATATCCTTATTAAATTCATTCTTCTATGATCCAGCAGCTGCCACAACATATAGTAAATATTATGACAAATCTATTGGGAAGTGTTTTGGGTTACAGCATTGAAGAAAATAATTTCTGCATGATGTAGGGCAAAAAATTAAGATATGAAGAGTAAATACTTTCTCAAAAGATCTAAATTCTCTAAAGAATGATGTAAGATGTTCCATATTATGCTTATTTAGTTTATATTTGTACTAAAATTTTTGAATTTAGTTTTATTTCATTATAAGATGTCTCTGTGATATCCTAGGTAAAATAAAAATAACAAGTAAACCCCAACATCCTGAGGGAAGTCAATTTAATTTTATTTTTAAAGCTTTAATGTTTGGGATTTATGCTGTCATCCTCAATTCTGTTCAAAAGTAATAAAAGCTTGAAGCAGCAACATACTTACTTTCTCCTCCTCCAAATCTTAGACTGATTATGTTGTTATTAACAGTTACTTGATTAAAGATGCATACCAGTTTTCCTTTTCTTTTTCTTTAAAATAAAGCAGGTTACTCAACCCCATATTGTACATGAAAGGAAAACACATCTTGGGCAGATCTATTCCACTATTATAGATGTAAAGCAGACCCAAAGCACACCAAGGAAATATAATGTCACTCAAAGGAAATTAAATTAAAAGTAATTTAACCTAAGAAATAAAAGAAAAAACAACAATAAGGATATTAAATGCATACCACAAAAACCTATACACTTGCTACAAATAAATCAAAAGCTAGCACAAAGCTTTCTAACAATCAACTGAAAAATCGTAATGTGGACAATTTTATAGTTTACAGAGTTTATGTGTTTAGAAAAGGCTGTTCAAGAGGTAATTATTCTGTGTACTAGTCCCAGAAAGAAATTCTTACAAGGTTCCTCAGTAAGAGAATACTGTAAAGAACAATGTCCACAGTGATATTTCCATAGCTGAATAGTTTGAAGGGTATGTTTTTAGAAAGTTTATATTAAATATTTAAGATTTTAAAATTATAATTATGTTTATATCAATGTACTATATGTAAATTAATACATGAAAATAATTAAATATATGTATATGAAATATGTAAATATATTAAAATATATATCATATTTTCTTAGAGCATTATAACAAATTAGAGAATAGAAAGGTAGACGTATTTTCTATGGAAGTACATGGTATAGGTACCATGAATCAACAATGACTTGGCCGGGTGCAGTGGCTCACGCCTATAATCCCAGCACTTTGGGAGGCCGAGGTGCGTGGATCACCTGAGGTCAGGGTTTTGAGACCAGCCTGGCCAACATGGGGAAACCCTGTCTCTACTAAAAATACAAAAATTAGCCAGGCATGGTGGCAGGCACCTGTAATCCAGCTACTGGGGAGGCTGAGGCAGGAGAATCACTTGAACCCGGGAGGTAGAGGTTGCAGTGAGCCAAGATCACGCCACTGCACTCCAGCCTGGGTGACACAGCAAGACTCCATCTCAAAAAAAAAAAAAAAAAAAAAGATTTTAAGTAGACACCTGGCCATACCCTTTGTTGCTAAGGAGAGGGGCTCAGGGGCACTGCTCTAAAAGAAAGTTATTTATTATTTTTTTTTTTGAGACGGAGTCTCACTCTGTTGCCCAGGCTGGAGTGCAGTGGCGCAATTTCGGCTGACTGCAGGCTCTGCCTCCCGGGTTTACGCCATTCTCCTGCCTCAGCCTCCCGAGTAGGGACTACTCGGACTACTAGCTAGGACTACAGGGGCCCCCCACCACGCCCGGCTAAATTTTTGTATTTTTGGTAGAGACGAGGTTTCACCGTGTTAGCCAGGATGGTCTCCTACCCTCGTGATTCGCCCGCCTCGGCCTCCCAAAGTGCTGGAAAGTTATCATTTTTGGCAAACTATCCATAACATACAACTGTTTGGTCATTTATAATCTTATGCAGTAGGTTAGCTCATTTGGTTCTCTAGGTATATATTTTGCAGTCAATTCTCTGCAGAAGAATGGCCTGCTTTTCAAGATGAACCAATCCAAATATGCTTTCCTGAGACTTAAAAAAATGGCCAAAGGGCATGATTACTTTGTCTGCATATAAAATTTTTAAGGATAATTTTTTTAAGCCATGTACCCTCTGCTGGAGAACTTTAAGGTTGGTCCTTTTATCAGTATATCCAAAATTACATTCTGAGGAGCTTCTTGCCTCTTCCCTAAAGGACTGAGAGACTTGGTATTCATTATATATTCTGTTAGGCAGACACCTCGCCTTTCTTAAGGGGATGTTAGTCTATCTCTGCTTAGATGGCTGCAAGGCATAGAGATAGTTCCAACTTAAGGCAGAACATAGAATAGCTGCACTCCAGGTAGCTGTTAAAGAGTACTTAGGTCCCTGCTGCTCCAATTTTATGAAAAAGTCAGTTGAACAAAACTATATTTATAAACACACACACACACACACACACACAATCACTGGATGGACATGTAGTCCAACAAGAAGATGCATTAATTGACTGAAAATTGCTGTTGGCCCTCAGACTATTGCCTTTATTGAATTGCTTCTTTGGTGCAGTGCCCCAGCCTACAGTGAGTGACTTGATAAGAAACAGTCTAGGAAACACATTGCTGCATTGAGTATAAGAGTGTTGTTAAGTTTGTCACATCACTTATTATCATTTTTATGAGGACCCATGGGAGAAAATTCTCTTAGATTTCAGAGATAGTAATGCCTGTCCTGGGCCACATTTTACCCTCTCATCCATGCTACAAATAATGTAACTGATTGGGCCATTCTGAATCCTGGACTTCCTGGCTCTGTCCCCCAAGGCCCTCCTTGCCCCGGATCCCAGAAAATGTAGCATCAGTATATGCGCTTCTTCTAGCAGGCTTCCAGATCCCTAGGCATCCTGTATATTCACTTCAATCTTGACTTCAACCATTTTCTTCCATTGTCATTTTTTCTTGATTCCATTGATCATATTTTTAGTTTTTTTTCTATCTTTTCTTAGTATATTGCACGGATTTTTAAAAGCTATTTTCAATAATTTATGAATGTGAGCATGAGAATCTCGAGAGCAGTCAAGGCTTTGACCTTTCAATGTTACATGTCCTCTGAGTCTAGGGGCCCCTGTGTTCTGTAAGCTGCCGCCATATACAGTTAATTTGCTCACTCAAAATTTGCTCACTGTTCTCGCTACAGGCATTTTCTGTGCGGACAAAATAGTATTTTACCACCTTCCCCAGGGAGGACGTGAAACATGGTTGCTCCTGCTTCTGTTTCTGCACATCACTTGTGCTGTGCACTTGAAGCATATACATTTTAATATAAAATTTAAGCCTTCTTGGAGGTATTAGATTCTATGAGCTTAATGTTTTTGATGACTCATATTGTTACTCAGTTTCTTTGGTGATTTAGTGAAAGATCTGAACTCTTCTCCGAAATGAACACACTCATTTAATAAAAAAATGAAATGTTTACATAATTAAATTGATAAGAGTTGACAGTAAAGCAGAAATTCTGGAAATGCTGGTACTAACTATTGTCAGTAAACTCATTTCTCTTTTGTCTGAAAGTATTTCTTACTTAAATGGCACATCTGAAATTCAATGTATGCTGTGAGTTCCTTTAGCACTCACACTTTTAGAATAACTAAGATGAATAGAGGAAAATCATTTCTATTAGGTTATCATTCACTCCCTCATCCATTTATCCTGCAGTCAATAACTCCTCTGTGCCCTGTATGATTCGAGGTACTGGGAATACTGAGGTAAGTAGTACAAAATCCATGCCCCTGTGGAACTTATGCTCTAGTCAAGGGAGGAAGAGAACTAATGAATGAACTAATAAACAACTAAATGAGATAGTTTCAGATAGTTGTGGATGCACTGCATAAAAAGTAAGGTGGCCATGTATATTACTGACTTTGATTAGAGGGGTCAAGGTAGGCGTCTGATCTTTGATATGAAACTGGGATAATGAGAGGGACCCAGACATGCAGAGATCTAGGGAAGAAACCCTTAAGGCAGAGGGAACAAATCATGCAAAGGTTCTTGGACAGGAATAAGTTTGTGTTCTCAGGGTCCAGAGGGAAGTCCAGTACAACCTGAGCCAGGAATGTCAAAAGAGGTGAGCCAGGAGGGTGAGGGACAGAAGGCAGGCCACTTGAGGTCTTTGGCTGTACATGTCTTTTCTTTAGGCCCCTTGAGCAAGTCATCTAACCTGTCTAAGCCTCAGTTTCCCCTTCGTTAAAATAAAGGGGATAGAACTATCTCCTAGGTTTGCTTGTGAAGATTTAGTATGTTAATCGATGTTAGGTGCTCAGAAAAATGTCTGCCACTTAGTAAGAACTATATGTGTTATCTATTATTATTATGTATTTATGTACTTTCCCCCTAGCTGACAATTTATTGCTCTGATAGATTTTTAAAGCTAGAATAGGTCTTGGAAATCATATTAAATCTTGACATTTTACAGACGACACTTTAGCTCAGCGAGGTCAAATGGTTGACACAAGTTCCCAAAACCGGTAAGTAAATGTTTAGACTAGAATCTTGGTTTCTTGACTCTCAGGCCAAGAGCTTTCTACTATTAAATAGTGTTGGCCTTTAGCTATCAACCTTATGGCTTAGAATTATTTTCCTTAGTATTTGCCTTATATAATTATATTGGCAATAGTATTATTGAAGCTGTATTTTTTGGTAGAGACTGAGATAGTTACCACACTGGTACTGAATTTACAAGCTAATGATTTACTGATAACTGAAAGAAATTTGGAAATAATTAGGATTTTGCCATGAGGCTTATAACAGCTTTTGCCCATAGTAAAATAATAATATAGGCTATTGTTTAAGATTATTCTATTTTATCTATGAATTAACCACAGATTCAAATATCCCATTAGTAGCTTTAACTTTTGCACCTTTTGAATAAGATGAATATAGGAAAATTATTTTATTACTTTTTTTCATTCATTTATTTCCTCAATAACTACTCTGTACCCTATAAACAATA
Source organism: Homo sapiens (assembly GCF_000001405.40). Lineage (NCBI taxonomy): Eukaryota > Metazoa > Chordata > Mammalia > Primates > Hominidae > Homo > Homo sapiens. Next base: position 22,269,769 of record NC_000006.12, read on the forward strand.
TAGAAGTGTGTCCTCTCATAGAACTTATACTCTAGTCAGGGCAAGCAGACAATAAACACGTGAGTGAATTAATAAATAACGAAAAGGGTAATTTTAGAGTAGTCCCCAAATACTTTAAAATTGGGAATCAGGCACTCAGTAATTTGTCAGTCTAATAGATAATAATGGTGTAACTAAAATCAGAAGTGTTAATCATGCTTTAAGTGATTAGCTCATTTAAACAACTTATTTTTCCAAGCCTCAGTTCTCTAGCCTGACTACCCACCAGTAAATGAGTTAATAGGTTACATAAATTAAAATGTAATTATGCACATAGTGTTATTAAACAGTGGGGTTAAATTAATATGTGACAAAAATAATGCTAAAATTACTTTACCTAAGAGGTATGATGTGGTGTCTCAGGTTAGTTTTAAATTTTAACTTGTCTCTTTCTACAACCTTATAGATTTTCCCAGACGTAGGAAAATTGGTTCCTGGAATAATCTTCATTTATTTATTTTTCATTTGCTTCTCTATAGAAAGTCTCTTACCTACAAAAGGTTTTGTTCCCAAAGTTAATTTGTACACCATTCTGAACTCGTTTACCATAGAAGCGGTGCTTAGCATAATTGTTAGGTTCAAATGTTGGTTTACAGAAGTTTATTTCACTGTTCTTGAAGCTGAAAAGTTGCACTTAATGGTGCTCCCTTGAGTTTTGGCCCAATTTGGTTGCAAGGAGTAAACAAAGGAGGTGCATTTTTCTCTTTCCCTGAGCACAGACCTGGATCCAGTCCATCCTGGGAAGCAGATGAGATCTCCTCACGGCCCCCTCTGGTCTTCCCTTTCACACCCCTGACTGCCCGTGGCACTGTTCTCTTTACACATCAGGACAGATTTTTTTTTTTTCTAGTAAGAGCTACGTGTCCTCTATTCACTTTTTTTCCATCTTATTGGAAGAATACCAAAGTTGATAATTGAGTAAACAATATGGATATTTGATTTTTCTAAATGCCAAATAGATGTATCACAGTGTCAAAATGATTTCCTTCATCTTTTGTTCAAATATCTGTTTTTAAGGGCCGATAACTTCCTCAGAGTTACCTTCTTTTGCTTCTTAACAATACCCTCTGCTCGGTTAGAGCTGTCACTGACTGGCCCCCAGATGTTCATAGAATATTCTTGCTTCTAACTTTGAGATGGTACGCGGGAATTAAAATCTATGTGATTTAACTCAAGGCAAGCTTAGTCCTGTTAAAAGAAAAAAAAAGGCTGAAAAAGTATAGCAGTGTTAATTGATTAGTTTGGGTTCACCCTGCTGTTGGCATTTGCTTTATTCTGTGTATTGTCCTTGTACACTTTGTTGTCACCTTAGAGAAATATGCTATATGAAATCCTAGCATAAGCGAAAAGCAAACGAAAGCAGTGAGTTTGTCCCACACCACTGTCAAGACAGTGCATAGGTCTGCAGCCTGCCAAAAATAGATGTGGTTTATAGTATGTTCAACTCCGTTGCTCATATTTTTTCATTTCCTCTTCCCAGCTGAATAAATGGAGGGGGAAAGAGAAAAAAATTACAACCATAAAAAGTACATTTTCCCCTCTATGTTCGATTATGGAGGGACATCTATAAACGTGGGCATAAAGCCCAGAGGAAAGGAGATATTTCCGAAATGTTGTCTGATAGTCACTTTAGTTTCCAAATAAATGTAGTTTGGAAATACATTGAGGACGTATAAGCAGAAATATTGACATATGGTATGTAATATTTGGCTGAGTTTGTGGATGAGAAATGAGCCTGCCTCAAGAAGCTTTGCTGGTAATTGTATAGCCCAGGAAGGGACTGACAATCAGGCATGAAACACAGAAGTTTAGGAAGCTGTGGAACCTTAATGATCATGTAGAAGAATTTATCTGGTAATTAAGACACTGAAATAAAACTACTGTGAAATATGAATAAAATTAATGTGATCATTTAGAAATAGCTGAACTATTCAGTTTCAGCTTTTGCAATTTCCAAAAGGTGTTATTTGCTGGGCTCCAGGGTGCCATGGCAAAAACGGGATCTTTCTTTGGTCAGTACCTACAGTTGAAATCTCATCTCCAGGCTGGCTGCTTAGGGTGTGGCATTTGTTTGTTCATTGTGATTTTACCGTCAAAGCATATGTCACATATACTTAAGTATGTTTAATATTATAAGGCACGCCTGTAATATTATAATATAATATTATAATATGCTTTCTATTTGCCCCTCCAGAACCATCCAATTCTTTTCTATCAAGATCTGGGTTTTTACAGGCTGAACTTATCAGACTAGATCCACCTGGCTATCCACCTATAATATTATAAAATTATAATATTATAATTAATATTATAAGGTGTGGTGGCTCACGCCTGTAATCCCAGCACTTTGGGAGGCCGAGGCGGGCGGATCACAAGGTCAGAAGGCTAACACGGTGAAACCCTGTCTCTACTAAATATACAAAAAAAATTAGCTGGACATGGTGGCGGGCGCCTATAGTCCCAGCTACTCGGGAGACTGAGGCAGGACAATGGTGTGAACCCGGGAGGCGGAGCTTACAGTGAGCCGAGATCGCGCCACTGCACTCCAGCCTGGGCGACAGAGCGAGACTCCATCTCAAAAAAAATAATAATAATAATAAGGCACATATACTTAATGTGGAGAGCAGAATTTGCAGCAGTACATGCTCGAAGTAGTATTTACTTGAAAAAGCAGAGTTTTGAGGAGATAACATGGTTTATTAGAATGCACACTAGACTGGAATTTGGAAACTTAGTTTTCATTTCTTCTTTTGCCATCTGGCTTTATGAGCTTAGATAAATGACATTCATTTTCGGATTTCTTTGTGTAGATCTCTAAAATGGGAAGTTTATCTAGTTGATTTCTAGGGTTCTTTTCTAAATATCCAATAAATTCCACTGAACAATTATCTCTAAGGAACTCATTTTTTTTAATGCCAAGGGAATCGGCTAAAATTTATACAAAATAATATAAAAAGTAAAGAAAAATATTGGAATCATTTTTTTGTACTTATTTTTAGCTGATCCTGTGATACCTGTGGATGTTTTTGTGTTTATGATTTTGGGGTCAGGAAGAAAGATGCCACCCTTCTACTGAAGGCACATTAGTGACAGTTTCCTGAGGGGCCATCATCATTTAGTAGTTCTGTAGGCATCTACATCATCAAAAACAAGATGGCGCACTCCAATGAAGAAAATAAAGAGAGCCTAATGAGCTAGTTAGAGCTCAAGGGGCTAGTTAGAAACTGTAGTCAGAGTTCAGGGTAACCCATAAGGAATGGCAAAGATTCCTTTGAGACCAGTAAGAGCAGGGAGATCTTAGCACCTTTGGGCCTGCAGGAGCAAAGAGAGAAGTAGATATTGGAATCTGTATTATTACTAGCTTGCTTGTAGCTATAGGAGAGGGTCTCCAACCAGAGCTCTGGGCTTTGGTGGAGAAACTTGGCTACTTTCCAGTAGGAAAGGAGTCAGAAGAGAGAATAAATATATGAATCTCTTTCCTGATTCTCTGATCTTTTGCTAGTGCCAACCATTGGCTAAACTCAAGTGGAAGCCAGACGCCAGGGGAGCCAGGTGGATCTAGTCTGGTAAGTTCAGCCTGTAAAAACCCAGATCTTAATAGAAAAGAATTGGATAGTTCTGGAGGGGCAAATAGAAAGCATCAAGTACATTCATAATTTTATGCTATAGAAATGTTTTTCCATCCTATAAAAAGTAGTGATGAATTTTCGATAGACATTTAGAATGACTCTTGGCATGATTAACTTTAATGGAAAAAGTAAACTAAAAAAATTGCTTTGATCTAGACTTTGGTATCTGTTATCATATTGCTGCAATGATAATATTTTTACTAGGTCCCCTACTGACTGTATCACTGACTTATTTAAACCTTTTGAATAGATACGTAGTGTGACCAGACGTCTATGTTCAGGATCTATGTGTATGCATTGTTGGATTCCGTTTACTGTGTGTGAGACTGAAAACATTTGTATCTAAATTTATGAGAGATATTGGCGTGTAGTTTTCTTTTTTTTTCACTACTTTTGTTTGTTTTTATTATCAGAACAATACTAGCCTCACCACATTAGTTAGGAACTGTTCCCTTTACTTCTATTTTCTCAAAGAGGTGGTATAAAATTGACATTAGGCTGGGCGCAGTGGCTCCTGCTTATAATTCCAGCACTTTGGGTGGCTGAGGTGGGTGGATTACTTGAGGTCAGGAGTTAAGAATAGCCTGGCCAACGTGGCAAAACCCGTGTCTACTAAAAAAATCCAAAACATTGGCTGGGCATGGTGGCACATGCCTGTAATCCTAGCTACTCAGGAGGCTGAGGCAGGAGAATACCTTGAGCCTGGGAGGCGGAGGTTGCAGTGAGCCGAGATCATGCCACTGCACTCCAGCTTGGGCAAAAAAATGAGACTCTGCCTCAGAAAAAAAAAAAAAAAAAAGAAAAGACAGTAGTACTTCTTTAAATGTTTGGTAGAATTCTCCAGTAAAAGCATCTGGAACTGAATATTTTTTTCCAGGAACTTTTATATCATAACTTCAATTTTGTTAATGGTTAAAGGACTATTCAGATTATCTATTTCTTCTTGGTTGAGTTGTGGTAATTTGCAAGTTTTGAGGAACTGCTTCTTTTTTTTTCTAATTTGTCTGACTTATGAGTATAAAATTGTCATATTTTCTTGATAACTTTTTAAATGGCGGTGAGATCTGTAGTGATACCCTCTATTTCATTCCTAAGATTGGCGACTTGTGTCTCCTCCATTTTGTTTTGTCAGTCTTGCTAAAGATTTGTGAATTTTATTGATTTTTTCAAAGAACCCGTTTTTTAATGATTTTCTGTATTTTCCTATTTTCAAATTTATGGATCTCTACTCTTGTTTTTATTATTATTTTTTGTCCTTTTCAACTTTTATTGTAGACTGAGAGGGTAGATATGCAAGTTGGTTACCTGGGTATATTGTATGATTCTGAGGTTTGGGGTACAAATGATCCCATCATCCAAGCACTGAGAATACCACCCAACAGTTCGTTTTTCAGCCCTTGCCCTCCTCTGTTTCTCTCCCCTTTAGTAGTCCCGAGTGTCTATTGTTGCCATCTTTATATCTATGAGTACCCAATATTTAGCTCCCACTTACAAATGAGAACACACAGTATTTAGGTTTCTATTCCTGTGTTAATTTGCTTAATACAGTGGCCTCTAGCTGCATCCATGTTGCTTCAAAGAACATGATTTTGTTCTTTTTTATGGGTCTATAGTATTCCACGATGTATATGCACCACCTTTTCTTTATCCAATCCACTGTTGATGGGCACTTAGGTTGATTCCATGCCTCTGCTATTGTAAATAGTGCTACAGTGAACACACGAGTGCGTGTGTATTTTTGGTAGAACAATTTGTTTTCTTTTGGATATATACCCTGTTATGGGATTTCTGGGTCAAATGCTAGGTTCTGTTTTGAGTTTTTTGAGAAATCTCCAAACTACTTTCCACAGTGACTGAACTAGTTTACATTCCCACCAACACCAACACCGTCTAAGTGTTCCCTTATCTCTGCAGCCTTGCCATCATCTATTGTTTATTGGCTTTTCAATAGTAGCCATTCTGGTGTGAGATGGTATCTCATTGTGGTTTTGATTTGCATTTCTCTGATGATTAGTGATGATGAGCATGTTTTCATCTGTTTGTTGGCTACTTGTGTGTCTTCTTTTAAGAAGTGTCTGTTCACGTCTACTGCCTATTTTTTAAATGGGGTTGCTTTTTGCTTGTTAATTTAAACTTCTTATAGATTCTGGATATTAGACCTTTGTCAGATGCATAATTTGCATATATTTTCTCCCATTCTGTAGGTTATCTGTTCACTCTGTTGATAGTTTTTTTTTTGTTTTTATTTTTTGCTGTGCAGAAGCTATTTAGTTTAATTGGGTCCCACTTGTGAATTTTTTGTTTTTGTTACAATTGCTTTTGATGACTTATAAGTTCTTTCCCAAGGCCCATGTTCACAATTTGTGTAGGATTCTTACAGTTTGAGGTCTGACATTTAAATCTTTAAACCATCTTGAGTTAATTTTTGCATATGGTATATGTATGTGTAAATTTTGTGTGTGGTAAAAAGTAGGGGTCCAGTTTCATTCTTTTGCATATGGGCAGCCAGCTATCTCAGCACCATTTATTGAATACTCCTTTCCCCATTGCTTTTTTAAAATCAACTTTGTCAAAGATTAGATGGCTGTAGGTGTGTGCCTTTATTTCTGGGTTCTCTATACTGTTCCATTTTTCTAAGTGTCTATTTTTGTAGTAGTACTGTGCTGTTTTGGTTACTATAGCCTTAGTGCAGGCGTCCCTGACCTGCGGACAGGTATCTGTCCATGGCCCGTTAGGAATCGGGCTGCACAGCAGGAGATGAGCAGCAGGCAAGCACTATCACCTGGGGTCCACCTCCTGTCAAATCAGCAGGGGCATTAGGTTCTCATTGGAGCGCAAACCCTATTGTGAATTGCACATGCGAGGAATCTAGGTTGCACACTCCTTATGAGAATCCAACTAATGCCTGATGATCTGAGGTGGAACAGTAACATCCTGAAGCCATCCCCACCCACTTGTCTTACACACAACCAGTCACTGGTGCCAAAAAGTTGGGGACCTGCTGCCTTATAGTATAGTTTGAAGTTAGGTAATGTGATGTCTCTGGCTTTGTTCTTTTTGCTTAGGATTGCTTTGGCTATTCTTTTTCTCTTCTCTTCCTAGTTTCTCTCTCTTTTTTTTTTCTAGTTTCTTGAGAAAGGAATTTTGATTATTGATTTCAGACCTTTCCTTGTTTCCAGTTAGTGCTATGAATTTCCTTTTCAGCACTGCTTTAGCTGCATTCCACAAATTTTGATATGCTGTTTTAACTTTTATTTAGCTTTACGTATTTTTTATTTCCTTTGAGACCTCCTTTTTGACCCATTGATTTTTTTTTTTTTTTTTTTACTGAGTCTTACTTTATTGCCCAGGCTGGCACCAACACCACACCTGGCTAATTTTGGTATTTTTAGTAGAGATGGGGTTTCATCATGTTGGCCAGGCTGGCCTCGAACTCCTGACCTCAAGTGATCCACCCACCTCGGCCTCCCAAAGTGCTGGGATTACAGGCATGAGCCACCATTTAGAAGTGTATTGTTTAATTTACATATATTTAAAGATTTTCTCATTTTTATATTATTGATTTCTGGTTTCCTTCTGTTATAGTCAGAGAACACACTGTTTATAATTTCAATACTTTTACATTTGTTGAACTTTGTTCTATGGATTGGGATATGCTGTATCTTTGTGAATGTTACATGAGCACTTGAAAAAAAATGTATTTTGCCATTGTGTTCTGTATGTGTCATTTGGGCCCTGTTGTTTGATTGTTATTCAGACCCTCTATATTTTTGCTGATTTTCTGCCAAGTGGTTCTATCAGTTTCTGAGAGAGGGATGTTGAAGACCCTAACTGTAATTGTGGATTTGTTTATTTCTCCTTTCAGCTCTGAGTTTTTGCTTCATGTATTTTGAGGCTCTGTTGTTTGGTGTGTACCTATTTAGGATTATTATGTCTTCCTGATTTATTGACCTTTTTATCCTTATGTAATGTCCTATGTCTCTCTTTATCTCTGGCAATTTTCTTTGCTTTGATGTCTACTTTATTAGATATTAATATAGCTACTCCTGCTTTTAAACAAATGTTTGCATGGTATACCTTTTTTTAAAATCCTTTTATTGTCAATCTACCTATGTTATTACATTTGAGGTGAGTTTCTGTGAAACAATATATAATTGTCTTGTATTTTTAAATTCACTCTGCTAAGCTTTGTGTGTTTAATTGGTTGATTTAATTGGTTTAATTGTGTTTTAATTAGACCATTTCTATTTCACATAACTAATGATATATGTTAATGCTTAAGTCTTCCATTTTTATTATTTGTTTTCTGTTTGTTCTTCTGGTTCTTGTTTCCATGTTTCTCTTTTCTTTACTTCCTGGGTTACTTGAATTTTTTTTGTTAGGATTCCATCTTGATTTATTTACAGTGCTTTTGAGTCTCTACCTTTGGGCATTACAATAGACACATATGACTTTTCACAGCCTACTGGTATCAACAATTTGCCGCCTTTACTGGAGTGTGAAATCTTCATTTCCATTTCGAGCTCTTTCCCTTCCCCAGATTTAAATATAGTTCTTGTGAGTATCATATGGTATTCTAATTTTTATTTCAATCATTAAACATGATTTATAAAACTCATGAAGAAACTTCATAGTCTATTAAATATACTCATATTTTGTCATTTTCTATTATTTTCTTTTCTCCTGATGTTCCAAGGTTCTTCGTTTTATCCTCTCCTTTCCGTTTGAAGCATTTATTTGGCCAATTTTAAGACTAGATCTGCTAGCAACAAAGTCTTTTACTTTTTCCTTCATCTGAGAATGCTTTTATTTTTCCTTCATTCTTGAAGGAGAGTTTATTTATAGAATTTGTGATAGTTCTTCTCTTTGAGCATTTGTCACTTTCTTAGAGCCTCCATGGTTTCAGAAGAAAAATTCACTGACATTTGAATTTGCATTCTCCTGTAGGTAAATCATCATTTCTCTGTGGCTGCTTTCAAGACTTTTTTCTATGCCTTTCATTTCCTGAAATTTAATGTGTGTCTTTGGGTTTATCCTACTTGAAATGTTGAGCTTGTTGAATCTGCAGGTTTGTGTCTTTTTCCAAATTTAGAAAGTTTTCAGTCATTATTTCTTGGAGTAGTCTTTCAGCTCCATTCTTTCTCCTCTTTTCATTTTGGAATGTGATGATGTAATTGTTGAATTTTTTTATTGCTGTCCCATAGGTCCCTACAGCTCTGTTCATTTTTCTAAGTCTATATTCTCGCTGTTGTTCAGACTGAATGAATTCTGTTGATCTGTCCTAAAGTTCACTTATTCTGTGCTCCATGATCTCCACTCTACGATTATGCCCATCCAACAAGTGCTTTTTGTTGTATTTTTTTATTTCTATAATTTCCATCCAGTTCTCTTTTAAACATCTATTTCTTTTTTTTTAATTTAATTTAATTTTAAGTCCTGGGATACATGTGCAGGACGTGCAGGTTTGTTATATAGGTAAATGTGTGCCATAGTGACACACTTATCAATCTGTCACCCAGGTATTAAGCCCCTCATGCATTAGCTATTTATCCTGATGCTTTCCCTCCCTGGCCCCTCAGCAAACCCCATTGTATGTTGTTCCCCTCCCTGTATCCATATGTTCTCATTTTTCAGCACCCACTTATAAGTGAGAACATGCTTGGTTTTCTATTCCTGTGTTAGTTTGCTGAGGATAATGGCCTCCAGCTCCATCCACATCCCTGCAAAGGACATGATCTCATTCCTTTTTATGGCTGCATAGTATTCCATGATGTTTATGTACCGCATTTTCTTTATCCAGTCTGTCATTGATGGGCATTGTGTTGATCCCATGTCTTTGCTATTTAAACATCTATTTCTTTAACAAAATTTTTTCAATTGTTTCCAGAGAATTTGTAATTCACGTTGAGGTTTTTTTTTTTATGATAGCTGCTTTAAAATTCTTGTCAGATAATTACAACATCTGATTAATTTTGGTGTTGGCATCGGTTGGTTGTCTTTTCTCATTCAAATTTTAGATTTTGGTTCCAATATAACAAGTCGTTTTACTTGTTGTCTGAATATTTTGTCTTATGTTAAAAGTCTCTGGGATCTTACCTAAATCTTTTCTTTCAGCAGGAACTCATCCTGTCTATATTTAACATGCAGTTCTTAGGCTACTATGTGGGTTGTGGTTCCAATGATGGTTTCATTTTTAAAGCCTTTGGTGTGTTATTTTGGTCTGTTTGACTTACCTGATGTTTCTTGGGCTCACACTAGTTCCTGCAGAAGGGGTTTCTCCAGACTGGGTCACTGGGTGTTCCTAGGTGAGAGAAGGCAGTCCCAGGCCTACAGGTAGAAAGAGGCTCCCTGACCAGATCTTACGGAATGATCTCTCTACTGTGCCCCTAGTTGCCCCAGGATCTCTGGTCAGAGGAGGGGAGTATTAGGCCTAGGAGACGAAGAGACTTTGCAGGTCCTGCTGCCTGCTGTGTCTGGGTCCCTCCTCCTGGTTTCACCCACTCATCCTGGTATCCCAGTATGGATGGGAATTCCAGGCTTGTGGCGGCTTCCCTAGAAAATACTTATTCTGACAACATCTTCTCTTCTTTGAGGGCCAGAGTATTTCCCAGGCTGGGTCACTTGGTATGACCCCCTTGAAGGCACCCTCTGGAGGATGTCACAGGCCCTCAGAGGCAAAGAGGCTCCAGGATGAGACTGCATGTGTGGAGTTTCCTGCAGGTGCTATGGGGCAACCTTGGTCTCTCCCCACTGGAAGGAGAGTGCTTCTCCCCATCCATCCCCCTTGATGATTCTTCCTGGTTTGGCTTGTGCTTTCTCAGGGGCTCCAGTTCCATTGTGGGAGGTGTGGCCTTACCAAGGCTGCTTTCTGGTGCTGGGTTGAAGGAAAATGCTGGCCTTGGGTCACTTTGTTCTACTGGGTCACTTTGTTCTACAGGGTGTTGCTCCTCTAGTCATTGGGTCCCAAACCAGCTCACCTTCTTCTTACCAATAACCAGAGTTCTCCTTTATTTGCTTCTTGCTATTTTCAGGGTGAGGAGTGGGTACAAATAGGTGTACACCATCTTGCCTGGATTGGAAGCCTAGGGTCTATTTTAAACCAAGGGAAGACGTTTCAATGAAGGAAGATGTGGAGGAAAATGAGAAAGACTGCACAGCAGGCAGAAGGGGATGGGAGCTATGAAGCCCTCTTTCACTGGAGGCAAAGGAAAGCTGAGAAACTACTCTAGAGGCATACATATCTATCTCTGAGTTAGTATGCTTTCTTCCCCCTTCCCCAAATTTCAGCCTTTTGTATTTCTTCATTCATTCTCTATATAAATAGATATGTGTAATGATAACCACGGTAATTTTTGTTTTTGTTTGTAGGCCATTGCTTTGCTTTCAGTGTGCCTTGAGGTTTAAACCCCTGAAGAAAAGGAATCTATTGTGAAATTTGGATTATTGTCTAGCAGTAGATGAATTGATGATGGACTGATAAAAGGGTTAATGATGATAACTTAATTGAGCCTACAAAATTTTATATATGCATACAAAGAGATATATTCACATATAATTTTATTTCTAGCCCCTTGTGGTATTATGAGAGTTTCAATTTAAATTATACACAAAATAAATTGTTTTATTATGGTTGCTAAACAAATGTGCTGCAAGTATGTGTATGGATACCTAATCCATTAGCCCAGAGGCCTTAAAAGTGAGTGTTCTCAATCCTTTGAAAAGAAAATATTAGCATTTCTATTTCTAGTTATTTTTTATCTCAGTGTCCTTTCACTTATATTTTGTGTGTATTTTAAATGCTATAACATACTATAACAGCAATGCATATATAAAATTTAAAAATTATATAAATTTGGGCACAGATAGGGTGCTGTAAAATCAAAATAGTTTGGAGATTAATGCTTCAGGCAACAGAAGATTTTCAAAATTCACTGCATAAAAGAGTACTTAATTTGGGGGCATTCTTCCCAGAATAATTTACAAAATCTTAAACTGAAGAGAGGCAGAATGTTCACAATATTCATGTATGGATATGTTTGAATAACGCATTTCAATCTCAGAACCTCAGAGGAAGAAATGTTTTTGAAAGCGTGTGGAAGAGAAAGAAATCTGGCAGCTCAGGACAAAACTTGGATCTGGGATGCAAGGGAGCACAGGTTTGCATGATTTAATGGAGGAAAGCCGGCTGCTACTGCTCTCAGTAGGTTCTAATCTATCTTTTAAAATCTCTTCCCTTTTTCCACCTGTGCGCCTAAAGCTCCTTATCGTACTTTCTTTTTTCTATAGCGTGATTCACCTGCTAACATACTATACAACGAACTAGTATTAATGTTTATTGTGGGTTGCCTGTCTTCTCCCAGCTAGAATGTAAATTCCATGAGGTCATGTGTCTTCATCGGCTCATTGATGTAAACCAAGCACCTGCAACAGTGCCTGAATAAAGTGATGATTAACTATGTATTTGTTAAATGACCAATAGCAGGGTCCTGGGCTGGCTTACAAGTTTTAGGCCTTAGTGGTTTTTATTAGCATTACAGCTAAAGTGCTCTGCGGTTAATGTCCCAAGGTTAAGATATTCTGTTCTCTTTGTCAGCATAAACATAAACTACATTTGGAGATTTTTTTAGATGCCATATGCTGACTAGAATGTGCCTTTAAGAACACAGTATTCTTGATTTTTTTTTGTACAAAATACATTAGTTTTTTGACTTAGTGCAATTAAATAAATCTTACAATCAGAGAGTTATTTTTAACAGTTGAGTTGAATAAGACTTCTCAGTGCCAATTCATATAGCGCCTTCCTCAAAGAAGCCCCTCCTGATTAGGCTCACCTGGTTCCCATCACGGTTGTATGTCATGCAACTGTGCGTGTGTCTTTAAAATATGGATCATGCATTGCTTTCTAAATGTCTTTCGTGGCTTCATTTGTGTTTCCTGTCTTTACTATCCAAGAAAATGATAATCATTGCAGAAGATGTAGAAGTAGAAAAGTTGTACCTGGCTGCTCCTGAGCATTTTGGAAAGATGTTGAAGAGAAGTCATTTCACTATTAGGGATTTCTGTTCAAGGGATTAGGAAGCTTTTTAGTTTCAATGGCCCCTAAGTATGAATTTACTTTAGAAGTGGACTTTTAAAATATGTATTTAATTAGTGACTAATTGACCATCTGCTGAGAGCAAGGCAATGAAGGAACAATAAGCAAGGTTGGATTCAGAAAAAAAGAAATAAGCAAGGATGGATGGATTCAGAAGAAAGAAATGAGAAACTCTCGGAGAAAGCAGACAAATGTAAGGGGAGCATTATTCATATTTTGTTTAGGGTTGGCTCTGTAAGTAAATTGCTTTTATTTTATTTTTATTCATCCACTCTGCTTTACAAAGTATGTCTTATTTAAGTGTTAAAGGAGACAATGATTATGATTACTAGGAAGTATAAATCCTTTTGTTCTTCTATCTTATATAATCTTGCAGAGGTTCTTGAATATAATCATTTCTCTGGTTTGCTTAAATAATTTTTGATGATTTTTTTCTGGTCCAAATTCAATGAAATACAGGAAAACAAAGTTTGTATGCATTTGGAAAGAACATTGACCTCATCCTCTCTTCTCTCTGACTTTCCCATCATTTGTGGCTCTTGGGTGTCTGTTTGACTCTTCTATCTATATCATGTCCTCCATATAGTCCAGGCCTATTGATGTTTCTATATGGCCCATGTCCTTTACTTTTTTTTTTTTTTAGATGGAGTTTTGCTCTTTTTGCCCAGGCTGGAGTGCAATGGTGAGATCTCGGCTCACTGCAACCTCCGCCCCCCAGGTTGAAGCAATTCTCCTGCCTCAACCTCCTGAGTAGCTGGGACTACAGGCACGCGCCACCACACCTGGCTAATTTTGTATTTTTAGTAGAGATGGGGTTTCTCCATGTTGGTCAGGCTGGTCTTGAACTCCCGCCCTCAGGTGATCCGCCCGCCTCAGCCTCCCAAAGTGTTGGGATTACAGGCATGAGCCACTGTGCCTGGCTTTACTTCTTTCCTCTTGGCAGAGCCCTTTTTGATTTTCTCTTAGAGTATCATGATATTATTTCGACTTGTTTCTGGACCTCTTATTTTTTCCTCTGCCTGTCTCACACTCCCACAACCTCCCAAACTAGATTATTATTTCTATTTTCCAATTCTGCACATATTGCTCTCTTGTATTAAAATTTGCTGTTTTCTTGTTGTCTGGCAGAAAAAGTACAAACTCTCCAAATTGGCATGAATGATTCTCCTCAAAGCATAAACAATCCTACCAGGTTTTCCCCCATTATTACCCTACAGCAATGTGTCTAGCACATAATAATGAGAGCTATTAAAAAATGTTTGTTTAAAAATGAACATTTCTTATGTTTCAGCCAGACTTACTTATTATTAGTGATACTTTATAATGCTATATGTAGTAACATCTCAGTTCCTTTGTTCGGGCCATAGGGAAACCTACATCATAAAATGCCGTAAGTTAATTGGCAGATAGGCTGTCTTCCTATTTTTGCCTTTTAGTATCCCATCAAGGCTTCAAAACTTCGTCGCAAAGCCATCACAGCCATGCCACTTCAGAAACACTTCCTTGTGGCCAGGCACGGTGGCTCACACCTGTAATCCCAGCACTTTGGGAGGCCAAGGTGGGCAGATCATTTGAGGTCAGGAGTTCGAGACCATCCTGGCTAACATGGTGAAACCCTGTCTCTACTAAAAATACAAAATTTAGCCGGGTGTGGTGGCAGGTGCCTGTAATCCCAGCTACCTGGGGGGGGCTGAGGCAGGAGAATCGCTTGAACCTGGGAGGCAGGGCTTGCAGTGAGCCAAGATCACGCCGCTGTACTCCAGCCTGGGAGATAGAACAAGACTCCGTCTCAAAAACAAAAACAAAAAAAACTTCCTTGTTGTCACATCCATGTCTCCCAGCTGTTCTTTGAGTCACTGTAGCACTTTGTTTAGCATCACCTATCATATCATTTCCTCTACCATGTAGCATAGTAATTTTCACATTTAGATAACCCTCTTTCTCCACAACTTGAGAGCAAACTCCTAGAAGATAGATTTTTCTTACTTTTCTTTTAGACCTTGTAGTACCCATAGCAAGTGATTTATTAATCTATGAGATCAGTACCTTTCAAGGGTGTTTGGTGTTTTTTGTTTCTTTTTTGTTTTTTTTTTTAACCACTGCTGTTCTTGCCATAGCAGGGCCATTTCATCAAATGTAATCTTGCATGGAAATCCACAGAAGAAGAAAAAAAACAAACTCCCTCTGGTTGGAAGAGATGTGATTGTTATATTCTTCCCAAATATCCTCTTCCTGCTACCCTTTGCTGACTGTACAGAACACCCATTGCTCCGCTCAATCTTATCTGAAAACTACAGTATTTAGTTTATATGTCATAGCCAACCAGGGCGAGGCCTTTTACTATCACCCCATCAGTGGTTTACCAGAGCTCTAAATATGTGCTTGGAATAAACACTTAAGTAAGGAGGAGTACATGAAGTTGCATATGGTTAGTGGTTACCTTATATTTCTTATAATTGTATGTCCATTTATTGCCAAATTTTACCCCTGATAAAACCCATCCTCACTGTTGGAAATAGCTAGAAATTGAAGAGAAGGAACCTAAGTGAGTAACATAATAGGATTAGATGTTTTCAACAAATGACTTAGAAATAAAGTATATACAGGTTTTCCTGTGCTCTTTTGCTTTTTGCGAGAAGAAGGCTGAAATAGGAGCAAGCTGACATTTTGCATGCATTTAGGAGGAAAGGGAGGGGTTGATAGGATTGGTTTGGAGCAGAGTATTCTGCTGTATTCTGAAAGGTTTGGTTCATCACAGCTGGAAGCAGGGGCAGGAAGGATTCCGATAAAAACAACCCTGGCTATGAGGAAAGATATTTTTTTGGGGGGGTGGGGGGAGGTTGGGGTAGTGTTCCTATGAGCGTGGGAAAGTTTTCTCTGAAGAGAGGTGGAAAATTGCCTTGAATTCTGATCTGAAGACATGCCAAGTTGCTTATCTCTAGAGCTATAGCCACTCAATTGGTAAGGGCAAAGAATGCTCCTAATACAAACGAGAGTTTCAGGAAAGGAAGAAAGAAAAGGGAAGCGAAAGGAGTATATGAAATAATATTTGCTTTTATGGTATAAAAATTAAGGGAGATTTAGGTCTTCACCAAGAGCAGTATTCTAATAACATCTTAAAGACCCAAACCTTTTGTTCATTTTTCTTCTTCTTATCTTTCCTCCCTTCTCTCTCCCTTCCTCTTTGTTCTACCCCCTCACCTTTTTATTTAATGTCTATCAGAAAGTTGAAAGTGATGTTTTCCATTGTCTATTTTCTAGAAATCCCTGCTAAAGCCCAGAAGCTGCTGCAAAACCAGCCTGACAATACCACCGCCTTCTAAGGGGAGCTTGCAATGAGGTTAGCCCTCATTTTAGGTTCTTTAGAGGCCACTGAACAAATTTAGGGACCCTCATCCAGTCACCTCTCTCCATACTCAATAAATAGAAGATTAGGTATTTTAGGAGGGTGTTATAATTCAGTGACCTAGTAGAGAATGTTTGTGAGGTTGACTCTCCAAGATAATTGCTAATAGAGATAATTACTCACTAGGTTTAAAAGAAGGAAAGACTAGCATCTCATTCCTGAGGTGAATGTCTGCTAATGAATCCAACTTCTGATCTACTCTGTGTCTATGTCAATGGGAGAAGGGAATTGGTAGAGACCCCGGGAAGGGGTCAGCCATGACCTAGTCCTATTGCTACTTCATTACTTGGAGAGGTTACGATGCATGAGTTTCCTATGGGGCAGTTGACACATAGCTGACCTCATGCCAGTTTTCTTCAACAGAGTTCCTGCAGGATGAGGGGAGCAATAGCAGAGGCCGTGGAGAATGCTACGGATGGCAGAGCTATGGGGCGAATAGGAGAATCAAGCCAGAGCATTTCCCCTGGGAAAGAAACTATACTGTGTGGTGTCCTCACTGGTTGGTATCTTGGAAATTATAAATCAATTCCACTAGAAAGACACCCACTACTCAGAGAAAATCCAAGGTCGGTCCCTGTCAACAAGGGGAAGGGTACGATAGTACTACCTAAGTCAGTGATGTATGAACTTTTTCTTCTCTGCTAGTCCTCTATCCCATTCCAACACAGCCAGAGGAATGGAGATCCAGAAGAGAGAGGCGGAAGAAAAGTTGCAGGAACTGACCACATCTGCTTTCTCTGTTAGGTCCTTTGAGCCAACACAGGGGGAGAGAAAAGCATTAAATAACTTAAACATGGAGTTGAAACCTGACTGGACCAGACTTGTTAGACTCAGAATTACTAGAACATGAAATGTGTGCAAGATAATGCAAAAGAGATGGGAATTTAGTAGAGAATGATTGAACATAGCTATTAGAAAAAGAGAAATCCATGTCATGTTTATATCCTAACAATTTTTAGACTGCTCAGTAAACTCCATACTATTTGGAGGTTTTGCAGTTGCACAGTACTTATATTGTCTGTCATAACACTGAAAGTTAACTGACAGAACATGCCTGCTTTCATAAAGAATCCAGAGAATTCAATCTTCTTTGTAGAATGACTAGCATGATTAATAATCTAACTCTTCGATTCTAATAACTTGACCCACAATAATCTACTGTGATTTTAAAGTAAGCTGTTAATTGTCTTATGTGCAAGGCTAGCTTCTGTTGTTTATGACACATTCTGATAAGAACTTCTTAATGGGAGTGATAGATTTTCTTTTGATTTTCTATTAAATGAAGAGAAGAAACTTTGACAAATCGGCATTTTAGATTTTGATGTCTCTAAGGAGTCAGTTTTTATTTTTTAAGAGGAGACCTGTTACACCCAAGCATGGATTCAAAAGAGATACAACTAAAAGAAGCTTGCAATGGAACGGATCATTAAGGACCTTCTCAGAAATAGATGAAATGGATGTGGGCTTAGCAGTTGTTGTTGTGGATGATTCGGCACTTCAGGAGCTTGAGATAATTGTCGATTTTATGTGAATCCCTGCGTAGGCAGTGGAGCAGGTTATAATAAGCAGAAAGGCGAGACTCTTCATCAGCCATCTGCAGGGATGGAAGTCCCGACCAGACAGGGTAGATCTCATTTTCTTTGGTTTCAGGATGAACCTAATCACACAAAAAAAGAGTGACTTATTCTTCATATTATTAGTATTTGTATGTCCTTGTTCTTTCTAACTGTTGAATTAAGAATTGAGAATGAGATATGAATGCAAAGTTTTAGACAAAGGCAATGATTTTTGTATATCTGGGCCAGTGTATCAGAAACCTATTAATCTAAAAACTAGAAGCAGAATACCTGTTTAGGTTCTCTGACATCTATGGGATCACAGATGAAGTATGTTTTTGCAGGAGTAGACAGATGAAGAACTGGAAAGGTACTATGTAAATATTGACATAGATTTGACGAAGAGACAATGGAGTAGCTAGCTTCGGTGCTCTCACTTGAGGAACTATTTCATTTCTCCAGTCTTGTCCCTGATGTATCCCTTGTGCTTTATTCTTCCTGACATCATTTATTTTCTTCCTGCTTTGAACTCAATCTATTGCCTATCTAGTGTATGTTCCAAAAACTTTAAAAAAGATGAAGATTGTACTCACACTTGATGCTTTGGGGTACAGATAATTTAGTGATGACCATGACTAAGAAAAGCTGCTTACATAGTCAGGAGATTTTCATTTCCTCAAATTTCTAGGGGAAACAATTGCTTTCTTTTGAGGTCCCTGGGCTGGGAGGTGCCGGGAAAAGCACCTACAAGGAAAGGGTACAGGCCGGGTGTGGTGGCTTACACTGGTTCACGCATTTTGGGAGGCAGAGGCAGGTGGATCACTTGAGGTCAGGAGTTCAAGACCAGCCTGGCCAACATGGTGAAATCCCATCTCTACAAAAACATACAAAAATCAGCCGTGCCTATTGGTGCACGCCTGTTGTCCCAGCTACTTGGGAGGCTGAGGCATGAGGATCGCTTGAACCCAGGAGGCAGAGATTGTGGTGAGCCGAGATGACACCACTACACTCCAGCATAGGTGACACAGTGAGAACTTGTCTAAAAAAAAAAAGGTCAGGGGGTTGCTGGCAGCAACCCTTCAGTGGTGAGGGCTGTGTGGTAGGGTTGGGGGCATGGCTGTGATAACAAAAGGAGGCTGAACAGCACAACAGAGGGCATGCTATGTTTCTTCACACTCTATAAGCCTTTGCAAACCAGGAAAGCCCAGAGGTCTTAGAGACCAAGTAACCATTTTAGCAACTTTAGGGATGTCAGCTAGTTTGGAGAGTTATTAGGTATATATCTGGATGTAGACGCCGATCTGCTAAACCTTTTCCTACAAAGTGAGAATATTTTTCAAATCTGGGATTCCCTATTGGAATTTAAAGTGTGTGTGTGTGTATGCGCGTGCGCGTGTGTGTGCGTGTGTGCGCGCGCGTGTGTGTGCGTGCGCGTGTGTGTGCATGTGTGTGTGCGTGCGCGTGTGTGTGCGTGTGTGTATTCATTGACTGGCTTTATGTTTTTATTTTTAATTTTTGGTACTTGAGCCCTAAGACAAAATTTACTGTGTAAGGGATAATGATATGAACAAGAATACTTAAATAAGTGGTAGAGAAAAAAGAACAGAAAATGAAGTACTATAGAACAAATTAGTGACCTCAGAAATGAGGTTTACAGTAATGAAGAAAATAACTGGAAAATCAAGGTATTTATTTCACACATTCCAAGGTTAAAATGTGCTTTGTGTTTGTTTTGGACATATTTTTCTCGCATGAAAATAACCAAAATGATACATGATAACATGTACTTAGTACACAAAAAGAGAAATACAAAATTGTTCCTGTTATTATTCCTATAATCATATATTTTTCTTTAGATGGTACATTATCCCTGAAAACCTCAGAAGCTGTTTAGGTATTATCTCACTAATGTTGAAATTATCCCATCTGAATGGAGATATCTATTGCAAATACTAACACAATCTAAATATGACAGATTATTTGGGGGAGATTAAGTACAATGACATGAGTTTTGACTTTGGAGTCCCAAGAAAAAACAAAATTTAGAATGAGACAACTTTCTATAAATTACAAAATGAAGACATTCCAGAAAAGGTATATCTCCTTCTTTTGTGACTCCCTGCAATCTCGTGCTTGTGGGACCTCCTGAAATCAATGCAACCTGTGTGCACTGATGTCATTGTCTTGTCATGTTAATATCTGCTCCTCCCTGACAAGTCTGTGCAGCAGATCGGGGTGAGTGGCTGAGGGCCCATCCAATCTGATTTTGGTTTTCTTCTTTCTCCCTTCCCACTCTCATCCTCTGGCGAGGGGAGAAAAGAGAAAGAATTTTCAATAGTGGGTGTCCTGGGATACCCTGCAGAAAGCATGTATCTTGCAGATTCTATTCTCTAGTTTTCACTCCCTTGAAAACACTTAACTTCTTGTCCTCAGGAAGGGGCAAGTCTTTTGTAGTTTTGCGTGTAGGTGTAGGGAAAATGACACCTGTCAAACAGCATTCTAAGATTCATTTACATGTATGTAAATTTATGACTATGAATGACTAGGCTCTTGCTTTATTTAATAGCGGTCTATAATATGGAATGCCTAAATTTCCTTCTTTCAAAGGGAAATATTTATCATCACAGAGGTCACCGCTTATATTAATGAGAAAAACAAAGAAGCACCAGGAGGCTGCTCACCTGGCTGACTATCAGCTCCATGCCCTCTAGAAGCCGTTTGGTTTGCTCCTCAATCTCTACAGCTTTGGATAGGATAGCCTCCGGGGCTTCTTGCATACCACGTACTTCCGTGACCAGATGATACAGAGGCTCATTCCAGGATCGCAATATGCTGACTATCAGGCTCAGAAAGTCTTTTTGCTACGAAACCATATAGAACAATTGCATTAAAATAGGTAAAATACAATGGGGTTAGTTACTTGTGATTTTTGCTTAGAGAGGCTGTACTGAAATATCTTTTTTTATTCCTATGTGTAGGTACATTTTTCTTTAGGTGAGAGAATTTGTAGAAATGTAAAATTGAAACTATTGGCCTAAACTTTGCTAAAATTAAAAAAAAATCCGGCTTATTTCAGTAACCACTTTTTCTAATGAGAGTTCTAATTGATAAAATGAAGAATTTTGTTTTTCCTCTGAAATTCTACCATCTGTCCACTTAGTAAGATCTTTCGTATTTGATTGATTTGCTTGTCCCTGGGGAGAAACTAAAGTTTTGCCGAAACTCAGTAGGTGCCCAGAGTATCTGACTCATGAGAAATAGATTCCACTGGGGTCCATGCCAAGGGGCCCAAATCACTCTCATCCAAGCATTCGTTCATACTAATGAATCAAATTGTTCATCGAACTATTCATTTTTGATTTGTAGTTTTATTTTGGGATCCTAGAACGAAGAGACAATGAAGATGACATGGAATTCATCAACATGCTTTCCTTGATCTACACAACCGCCTGCCCCATGCTGCTGGCAGAGCAGTCTGTTCTCTTGGCCTATGCAGGTAAATAAAATGGAACCAATGTTATCTTGAATAACCATGGAATTCACAATGGAGTTCTGCCTGCCTAGGTTTTGCTTACTACCACGATCGTGTAGGAGACTCCAAGTAGCTGATTATCTCTGATTTAAAATGCTTACTTTGTAGATGTCCGTGAACTAGTCTAGTGGTAACAAAATGAAGAATAAAGAAGAAATAAATGGACATTGCAATGGAAACATGTAAGAGGATATGAAAGAAATGAGCTATAAAGAGGTACAGGTCATAAAGTGAGTGTCAGTGTAGTTTTTCTGGGAGCATTGCAACACAACGATTAAGAGTAAGGGTTTTGAATAGAATGAAGCCCAGGCTCGCTGCTTACTTGCCATGTGACTGGTGCAAATTCCATAACCTTTCTGAGCCTCAGTTTCCTTATCTCAGTGAGTGTAATGACAGTACCTTGTGTTATAGGATTTTTATGAGGATTAAATATAGTAATGCCCACAAAGTGTCTGACAATGTAGTACAAGTTGAGCATTCCTAATTAGAAAATCTGAAATCTGAAATACTCCAATGAGCATTTTTTTTTTAGCATCATGTAGGTGCTCAAAAAACTTAGGATTCTTCAGTATTTGGGATTTCTGGTTAGTGATAACCTGTAGATCTCAATAAATATTTCCTCTTCCTCCTCCTTCTCCCCTTTCTCTTTCTCCTCCTTCTCTTATTATCATAATTATTATTAATGAACATAGCAGACAGAAATGTTGGTGCCATTCCTAAACTTGTAAATGGAGAATACATTGAATTTGTAGGTGGCATGCATATAAAGATGTTTGTTTTAAATCATGTTAAGGCTGTGATTATGGTAGACAACCAAAAGGAAGAGATCATAGCAATAGAAGATTGAAGCTGAGATACATGATTGAGGCTTGATATACAGACTTTGTAGTCATCAGAACAGTGGCAACTGTAGCTGTGAAAAGCAAAATATTATGTTTTACAGGATCTGTATTTTTTGTGAGGGGAGTGGTGACTTTTAACTAAGAAGTAAGAGAGGGCAGAAGAGTCAGTGAAGAATGAAAAAGTGGGTGTCAGAGTAGCAGAAATAGAACCAGAGTAGAGTCTTGAAAGTCCAGAACAGATGGCTCCAATAGTGCAGGGGTCAGTCATGTAACATGCTGTTGATGTAGGAGTCACGAGTAATATGTAATAAATAAAACTGCATTTCTTTTTCTTACAGATGCATAAATGTATATTTACTCACAGAAGTCCAATTCAGTTCAAACTTTCATAAACTGTATATACAATCCTAGCGACAAGGCATTGGTTAAAATAATGTTATCTGCAAGGACAATGTACGGATCTGCTATTTAGATTGCTGCCACCATCTTTACTTAGCATTTGATTTGACTCATATTTCATCAACTACATAATGTAATTTTTTGACTGCTTATTCTTCCTATATTTTTCTCTGCATGTACAATTACCACTAGCTATTACAGCACCTATCACCATGATAATACCCATATACTGCCTTGGTTGTTTTGGTGCAAAGCCTGGATGAAGGACTCACATTCATCTGTTGGGCTTGCTCCTTGTCTTCGGGGGTGGCAAGGGAAGAAGTGTGGCAGCTGTTGATGGCCTTGGTAATGAACCCCCGGCCATGGGTATACCGTTTATCCTGGAAATGATGAGACAAATTCAATTAGTTGGGGTTGTTTGGGCATTGAATAAATGAATCCATTAGCAGAATACTAATACCTTTGGCAGATGTGTAATTTTAAAAAATTAGAGCTACATAAAAATGAAAACTAAAGAATTAAGAAAGTAACCCTTTCGCCTACTTCCCCCCCATTATCTCTGTAAACTCATTTTTTCATCTAGTTTTCATAAATATCAATGTTTTTCCTTCTTTGCAATTCCCTTGTTGTTTACTTTTACCATTCACACAAGTCACACGAGTTGCTATTTGGAAAGCAAATGCTAAAAATAGCAAAAATATGCAACATTAAATGTTGTATTGAGAATCATCTTTCTTCAGCATTTGAGCCAAATGCCACAGTGCAAATGTATTTACATGTATTCATTTAATCTCTTATTTACTGTGTGCCCAAACTGATAGACTTCTCTTAATAGGCATTATAAAATCATAACTTTTCTCTAAAAAGTTTCTCTGAGTCCACACACCTATACCTTACCAAGTTCATGATAGAAACGGAACACAACTTTTTTTTAAATTATGACAAAATAATTCAGAAACACAGGGCACACAATTTTAGGAAATATAAACAATGGACTGAGGATAAGAACAGAATAAAAAATGAGCTGACACATTGACAGGAAAGACTAGTCTTCAGCAAAACTTATAAAAGTCTAAAGAAATTACTAGGAAGATTTGGAAGACAAAAGATGGCCAGTCAAAAATGGAGGATGAAAGCGAAATCAGAGAGTAAAAATAATTTTATAAATGTATGTTTATTCTCTGTGGAGGCCCTTGATTTATTAAAGCACTAATCTATTGTCTGCTCCTTGATTGACCTAGAAGAGTTAACCTATGATTTCCAAAATAGGTTATTCAGAAATAGAGTACATATTTCTGAAAAAGAAAAGAAAGGGAGGAAGGAAGGAAGGAGGGGAGGAAGGAAGGGAGGAGGGAAGGAGGGAAGGAAGGAAGGAAGGAAGGAAGGAAGGAAGGAAGGAAGGAAGGAGGGAAGGAAGGAAAAAAGGAAGGAAGGAAGGAAAGAAGGAAGGAAGGAGGGAACAAGGGAGGGAGGGAGGGGAAGCAAGGAAGGAAGGAAGGGGAATGGAAGGGAAGGGAAGAAGGAAGGAAGGAGGGAAGGAAGGAAGGAAGGAAGGGAGGAAAAGAAAGAAAAAAGCACTGGTTTCCAATTCTAAACTAGCCCTTTATTGTAATTATAAACCCATATACTGAAATCTCAGAGAAATGATTTCTAGCATTTTGGGGTTTTTGAAAAGTTATTATTTGTATATTTTCCCCACCATGGATTCAGCTCAGTTTAATTCTATTCAATCCACCCAATTTGCTGCAGTGCAGTTCTTCATTATTGGATATCTATTCCGTGCTAAGTAAAGAATGCCTGTGGAGTCTGACCTCTACATTCAAGAACAAGAAATCAACACTCTTCCTTCTCCTCAGCCCCACCTAAACATGCTTTAGGTCAGGTGTTTAAATTTTTTTATTTTTAAAAAATAAAGTGAATTAAAGAAAAAATTTAAGTCATTACATTCTTTGAGAATCTTTGAGATTTCATGGCACTGTCCCTTTCTTCTTGTTCCACATCTTATGAGCTGGTGTCTTCTTTCACATGTTAAAATGTATCGTTTGAAATTTGGCTCGGGAGGTTTTCTAGGTTAACATGTAGCAGAGCCCAGTAGTTCATGTGAAGGCTCCTTCAGGGAGGAAGCCAGAAGCATGGTACTTACGAATTCGCTGAACATTTCTGAGGAGAGGTTATGGATGTAGTGGGACAGGACGACGGCGCGGTCAAACAGGTCTCGAAGGGTCACCTGGCATCGGGCAGCCCCGCCGGGACAGATGGGCAAGGGGGCCACGCTCTGGCACAGGAGCAGGTTTGACACCAGCAGCAGCAGGAGGGACCCTGCTTAAATAAGAACGCGAGCCACTCTGAGATGATTTATTCCACGGAGGTTTTCAGAAGTAATCCTGCCGAGGAAAGCCTTATTGCTCCCCACTGCCCTCAGCTGCCTGATTTGCTACTGTAATGGCTGGGATGGGGGAAGAACAAACGCCTTCCACTGTGTAAATGTAGATATATAATTATGTTTGCACAGATATATAGTTTGAGAAGTGGGTTACCTCCTGCATTTTTGTACGTTTCCCAGAAGTGCTTCTGTACTTTCCAAACATTTGGAGCTTAAATTAATTCTGAGCTAGGGTGTTTGGATCATTCTCTTAAGATAGTTTAATGTCTTGGGAGTTTCTGCAGATTTTCAGCAGTCAGGCTGCCCAGCACTTTGTAATTTTTTTTTTAACTAGGTGTGTCTGATAATTTACATTGTAGACACTGATATAACAAAAACAGTACAGTCGATCCTTTCGATTTATCATCCTGCCTGATAAGAATAAACACACGATTGTTTGATTGCTAATACTGAGTTTGAAAAGAATTCTAACATAAAAATAATGCTGTAGTTTAGATCTGCTAACTCGTAATAGTCCCATGCATGTGTTTGACACTTCGCCAAAAACATTAAATTTTTTTTATATTTGAGCTTCATAATAACCTTGTGAGATACACTGGGCCTTTGTAATTATCATCAAATTATACTGATGAAACAGATGGCTTAGGGAGGTTAAGTGATTTTCCCCAAGTCGTATCATTAGTGGGTGAGAGAGGCATGATGCCAATACTGTGGTCTTTGCACGTCGTCTTGTCACATCGCGTACACCTGTGGGCTGTCAATCTGCATCTGTGTAATGGGGGCCGCATGAGTAGCCGTGATGGCTCAGTGTTTACATAGGTTGTTGCTGTCACTTTTAAAGAATAACAAGTTCTTTGCCTTTGATTGATTACATCACAACAGAGGCCCCAGAAAGCTTGATTTTCTCCACTTTTCCTGCTCTAATTACAAAACACTCTGATCTTTGCTGAAGGTTTTCAAAGCTTTGTCATCAATTTGCTATCTCAGCAAATGGACAGTTACAGTCCTATATATATCAATAATTTATACTTTCAAAAGGAAAGAAACGATAGATAGCTACCAAATTAAAATCACTTGTTAACTTCAGTGGCATTACCCCAAAAGAATGCCCAATATAAAACTGTGTTTATCACAAAACTTAAGTCCTTCAAAACCTTTAAGAAATGCAATCAGAAATGCCCAAGATAAAACTAGGCAAATGCTAAAGTTTAGTTTGTGAAAAAGTACCTAAACCTAAACACTTAAAAATACCTAAAAAATTGCTTAGTGTAGGAAGTGACTAAATCTGTTAGTTGTAAAATAAAATTTTTGTTTGAGATGATTCCTATTATAGACTTTTAATTTTTCAAAAACATGATTCTTCCAAAAAGTTTATTTTATGCATACTATAATCATATGACGAAACCAAATGTATATTTTATCTGTATGTGTAAATAAAATGTGCTTTGTAGATAGAGGAATTGGAATAGCAGGTCTAGGAAATTCACAACTGGATAGATGTTCTGTAACTCTGAGTACATTTATCTGCACATTTAGCATGGAAAGGATTTTTAAAGCCCAAAACGAGATAAAATAGACACATGTTTTTGTTCTTCATTTAATTAGAAACACATTTTATGGTTGTTACTAATTTATTTTCCTTGCAAATGTCAACCAAGAAAGTAAAGGTGATTAGTTATTACTAGGCAGTCTGTTTTTCCTTTTGAAATGTCATTTGGCTTGAACCAAATTGACAAAGAATAGGAAAGACAATTCTGTTGTTAGTGTCTATTTTATGGCTTCACAATTGAAAGTTTCATCAGGTTGATTCAAGTTGGCCAATCCACATTAGAGGCCTGATAACCAGAAAATGTTACTTTGTCCCTTTGAGAGTTGTGGCAAATTGGACCCACAGACTCTTTGAGTCTTATTCTAGTCCAGAGTTTCTCAATCTTGATATTATTGGCATTTTGAGTTGAATAATTCCTTGTTCTGGGGGCTGTCCCGTGCATTGAAGGATGTTCAGTAGCATCTCTCATCACTATCCATTAGATACCAATAGCACTTTTCCCTCACTTCCCCACCTCAGTTAAGACAACCCAAAACATCTCCCGACATTGCCAAATGCCTCTGAGAGAGGATTCCCCTGTTTGAGAACCATTGTTCTGTTCTATGGTGCCCTTGTAAAATTGCTTTCTAGAGGAAACATAAGATTGTGCTTCTAAACCTTGTAAACCTGCAAGCTCTTGTTATTAGTTAAAATTTCACATTAATCCCCCCACAGGAGTGTTGATACAACCAACAACGCAGTGAGTTGTCACACATACCTTTCCATGGCGATCCTTTGATGTTCATGTTCGTGATCGTTGCAGGAAACACACTTCACCAGAGAAGATCTGGAAGTCTCACGGTTTTCTCTTTCCCAGATATTGGCTTTATAAACCTTTGATATCTTCATGAATATAATGAATCAGGCATTCGTTTCCCTTTTCCTGGTCATCTATTTCCGTCATTGAGATTACCCCCATAATTTCAAACATCAAATGGTATTTTATTTCTTATTCATATTCAGGAAGACATACTGGCCAGAAATGAACATTCTAGGAAGGATTTTGATTAATTAGGCCAAAAGGAAATGAGAGAAATGATGAAGGTGAGATCTGAGACTAGATTGGTTTGGAGGATCTATAAAACTACAGAAGTCATTTACTTTAAAATTTATCTTATTTCTCTAAAGTTTGTTGAATATATAGGATTATATTTCACTTAGGTAACAATCTCATGTATTATCAGTTATCAAGTTTCTTCCTCAAGATTGCTAGGTAAAGATTTTAAAATTTTTACACTAAATACCAAGAGATATAGAATAAGGATTGAGAAATCAGGATTTTCAGTCCCCTGTTACACTGTCATTAAATTTCCTTCATTTTGTTGCTTTTTACATTTTGTTTTATCTTTTTGAAATACACATTTTGTTTTGTCTTTTTAAAAATACATGTGTTTTGTCTTTTTAAAAATAGCGTATCTGTATGGTACTTTGAATGTACATCTTCATCTGTTTATTTCTTTTGATTTTAACATATGTGTTAAGTGGTATTATTCTCTCCAGTTTACAGATGAAGAAACAGAAGCTTGGAGAGACTAAAGGTAAAGAATATGAAAGAAGTAGTTCAGTGCAAAAGTAATTGAGGTTTTGGGCTTTACTTTTAAATGGTAAAAACTGCAGTCACTTGCGCACCAGCCTAATAATTCTATAGTTGAGTTAAATGAAGGAACAATTATTACTTCACGGAAAATCAGGAGTCATATGAGGAAGGCTGGGAAATGAATTCTCTTGTAAACATCCTGTGGACCCACTTCTAAGACAAACAAGCTATAACCCCTGATTTAAGAGTTTATTTTGGGGAAGTGATGCAGTAGTTTTCCAGGGCAAACACACATGTGTGTGCACACACACAGACACACTTACACCCATCATTCTGGTATACCATGTAATAAACTGAAATTCTAGCCAGTAATTTCCACTCTTTTCAAGGATAGCAGTGTGTAAACTGTTATTAACTTATGATCTCTCTACCTTCTCTGACCCTGAGCCACTCTGAGGCCAAGGTGACAAAAATTCATCTTTCATGGGCTTAAAAATTCCATTCACCTTTTGGAAATTTCCTAAATGAAATGACTATAATGAATAAGAACTAAGTTTTATTGATGACTTTCTCTAATTTTTAAGTCCATGCATCTAAAGCAGCCTGTGACCTTTAGTTTCAAATTTGCTGTCTCTTACAATAGACTGATGAATGAGGTAATTTAAAAAATAGTCTTCCTATGGCATTTACTTTTTCCTTAGTTCCTAGAGCCACATATGTGCTTTAGCAATTATCTGACTAAGTGCTCTTATGGGGACCTAGAAATCTTAACAAAGACTAACGTCTCTGAAAAACTATCTTCCTAATTGCCTTAGTTTAAGGCAATCCTACATTTTGAATCATAAACATCAAATGTGATGATTCATAGACTCTCTCAATCTGAAAGCTGGGTCAGGATTCCATATACTCACATTAGGTATTCATTTTTTCCCTGGATGGAGAGAGTCTGAATTATTAAGAAAGCAGAGCTGTGTGGCAGAGAAATTAACATTATCCTATATTCTCCTCCTCTCCCATAAACTTAAGAGTAAGAAAATCTGTTATAAGAACTGACAATGACAACTTAATCTTAAAATTTAAAGGTGTTGCAACATTCTTGGATAGCCAGGATAAGAGCAATCTAAGAAAACCTAAGCTGTGTTTATTCAGGGTCTGTCAGTCGATTTATTTGACTGCAAAGAGGTACAGGTTTCTCTGTAAAATTTATTGTGTGTCTCCTTGCTGCTCCATAGCCCCACATTTCCTGTGAATGGAATATTGAAATATATAAATAATGCAAAGACATATATTATGCAAAAATCATAGTTGTCCTAATTCTTCTAACTGCTATGCATGTTACCCCCTTTCACCTTAATTTTTATATGTGCTTTCTTGCCAGGCTTTCTCTTTATCAAACTGTGCCCTTAATTTAAAACAATAAAGAAGTTCAGTAAGAATAGGGTTGTACATTTTAAAACTTTACAAAACTTCATTTGTTTGCCATTTTTGGTCTGAGAGCTTGTGATGCAACTGAGGGGTGATGATTGATTTATGTCAAGTAGCTGAATAAATAGCTCAAATGATGCTAAAGTTCCCATGCTATGTTTAGTACCTGAAACTAATAAACAAGGTTGCCATCTTTTCTAAAGAACGCTAGTTTTTAACATTAAGTAACATCAGGTTGGTTTTTATTCCTAATTTAGAACAAAGTTTGTATTTTCTTTTGTTTATCTGTTTTTAAGTTTGGAATAATTTTGTTTTTTCTTCTGTCACGTATGAAGCAAAGTATATTTAAAATCCTTCACAGGGCGGGCGCAGTGGCTCACGCCTGTAATCCCAGCACTTTGGGAGGCTGAGGCAGGAGGATCAAGAGATCAGGAGTTCGACACCAGTCTGATCAATATGGTGAAACCCTGTATCTACTAAAAATACAAAAATTAGCTAGGCGTGGTGGCAGGCGCCTGTAGTCCCAGCTACTCAGGAGGCTGAGGCAGGAGAATCGCTTGAACCCAGGAGGCAGAGGTTGCAGTGAGCCAAGTTCACGCCACTGCACTCCAGCCTGGGTGACAGAGGGAGACTCCATCTCAAAAAAACAAAAAAAAATTTCTTCACATAACCTAGGAGGTGTCTACTGCAAAATATGCTAAGGGATATTAAAGAGTGAAAGAAATTAAGAGTTAAAAAAATCCTCAGAATGAATGTATCACAAAGATATTTCAATTTATATTAGTAGTGAATTGTCTTAAATAAAATGAAATATGAAATGATTAAAGGAGTATTGTCTATGAATTGAAAAATTCTGAATAGTCGTCTTCTAATGACTAAAAAATTAAATAGGACGTGTGCTGTTTTCAATATAAAATATTAGACAATGTAAAGGGCACATTGGAGAAGAGATCAATAGTGGTTTTTTTTGAATGGCACTATTTTTAGAATAAGCAAAATGCAATGACTTAATTACATCCTACTATTTAGATTAACTTCATACATATTGTTGAATTGAATTTGGCCTAATGCTGCCCCATTTTCAGTAAACTGCAATCTAACTTAGTATGTAAACAAACTGCAACCTAAATTAAGAATATATTCTTGTAACAAGTAGCTGAGTCTTGGCCAATCTTAGCAGCTGAGCTTTCAGCCAGTTACAGGCTACAAACTGCTCAGATGTCCAAATAAGGCAAAGAAGGAGCTGTAATCAATGACACTATTTCTGTTTGTCATTTTATTTTTCTGTCTGTAAATACTGCCTGCCCACTTTGCAGAGTGGAGCTCTCTAAACCATTACTCGTTTAGGGTGCTGCCTCATTCATTAATTGTCTCTTTGCTCGTTTAAACTCTGCTAAAATTAATTTATCTAAAGTTTTTTCTTTTAACAATAATAAGACATGCTTTTGTTTTTTTGGAAGTGTTCATGTTCAGTGTTTGTTTTTGCTAGGGCTTTGGAGGTCATCAGTTTCCCTCAGTGAATGCAAGTTCTTAATCTGTTGTCAGTGCCTTGAGGGCATTTACTCCTTAAATAAGAAAACCATAGTGGAAGCATTTGGAAATTTCCCCTGTAATTCTTATTTTTTTCTTTTAATTACTGCTATACTATTCATATCCTCTGGTCTAGTTCTATGAAGTCTCTATGAATTGTATGTCACGTGCTTGTTCTGAATCATGTGTGCCTTTGTACACATTTTAATGCCTGATATAAAATAATGCCAGATTTAAGGATGACATGTCCAGAGTCTCCACAAACGTAAATCTCACTCTTTGAGAGTTATGTTTTCTTTAGGCAAAAGAATTAAATATTTAGCTGTATGCTAATCAGAAGTGAGATGGATGATAACTTTCCTTGTGAAAGGTTCCTCACACTTCAATATTCTGTCCATGTGCACAGGCACACACATTTCTTATCTGATGGAAAGTAGAGCTGAAGCATGCCTACTTCTAGCTAGGGATCAATTGGTCTATCTATCTACTTATCTATTACCTATCTGTTAATCATCTCTTATTGTTATCTAATAGGAAATGGGACTCTCAGCCATGCTTACTTCCCGGGATAATTTTAAATTTTATAATTTAAAATTCTAATTAGCACAGGCACCATCAAATAGAACAGAAAGCTATAGCGATAGATCAGGGTGCCTGAGGCCCCCTGAAATGATAGGCATTGATGTTTTTATTGTTTCATAGTGGTGAGACTGTAGGGGTTGACCTATGTGAGGGGCTGGGGGAGTCTAGAGGAATCAGGGCACTTGGAAAGTCAGGGAAGTGAGTCTGTACTAAGTATTTTGATATTGTAACAACTCTTAGGGCCATGCATGTGCTGACACACTATTACCCCTAACTTCCCCCACTGCCAATTTTTTTGCCTGTATTGAAAAGATTCAGACTGAAAAGTAGAGCAGGCTCTTCAGAGAAAATGCTACCCTTCAAATCCAGCCTACGTACCCTTTATCCTCCAATACATTTTTGTTAGAATTTGTCTAAAATATCTTAGCTGTGACATATCTGCTTAGTTTTTTTTTCTTATTTATTCATTCATGTCTTATCAGTATAACCAAAGGGATGATTTTTTTAGGAAAGCTTTTTACCATTGGGGTTGACCTAGAAGAAAATGGACATATAAATAAGAATTAATTCTTTGATGGAATGCTCTGATGTCCAACAGTAATTCAAACAAGTATAATACTAGGCTTTTAAATGATATATGGGAATGTAAAAGTTCAAGCTGTTGAAGAAGCCTTATGGGAAAGGCAGATCACAGAATCATGGATCTCACTAATGCTAATAAAATAAATGGAAAATAAGATTAAAAAGAAACTAAAAAATACACTTGTTATCAACAGTGGAAGGAAGTATGAACATGTTCATTTTAAAAAATGGTTTATATCTGAGAATCAATAGATATAGTCAAGCTGATTTTTTATCAGTTACGATTTCAACAAATGATGCAAAGTTCTGACTATAACCCTTCAAAAAATGGAAAACAGATCGTAAACCTTTTAAGTTGTCAGAAAAAGAAAATACACATACGCACACACACTCACACACCCAGAACACAAGACATTCCATTTAACAGAAAATAGAAAAAAAAAAAGGATATGTAGGCAACAAAAATATGCAATTAGGAGGCAGAATAAAATCAAGTATATTGAGATAAATCTACTTATTGAAATAAAAAAGACTCAGTTTCTCTAAAAATGGCAAATCCCAATTAAATGCTTATGTACAAGTGACATATCTTGTAGGGGAGAAGAGATTCCGTTTCTTGCCCATAGATAGGTTTATGCCTGACAGTCCTATAACAAAAGACAGAGTAACAAAAGAAAAACGTACAGATTTATTCAATATAAATTTACATGAAAAAGAGCCTTCAGAAATGAAGAACCAAAGAAACAGAGAAATGTGTATTTTTATGCTTAAGGTTGATAAAAAGTGGACAGTCATGTAGAAATACAATTGTCCAAAAAGGAGTATGATCTGAAATGACTGAACATTAATAAACTGTAGGGAACTTACCAAAGCCTGTATGTTCCGATTCTTCTTGGTGTCTCTGTCTTTGAGGGTACTTCTGGAATGAAGGTTCTTATGACCTACTTTATAGAAACGTCAGAGGATTCTTTTATGGCCTGCTTCAGGGGAGAAGGGTGGGAGAAGCTTACAGAGTGAACTTCCTGTTTTTGCTGTTTTCTGAAATGCCAAGATGCCATATTTTGTGGTAGTGTGTTCTGAACCCCATCAATCTAAATGAGTGGTTTTCAAAGGGCAAGCAGTTAGGAGGTGATTCTGCCTCCCAGGAGACATTTGGCAATGTGTGAAGATGTTTATGACTGTCATAACTGGAAGTGGGGGTGCTGCTGGCATCTGGTGAGCAGAGACCAGACATGTTGCTAAACATCTTACAACACACAGAGCAGCCCTCAGAACATAATATTATGCCATCCAAATGTCAGTAGTGCTGCTTTTGAAAAACCTAGATTAAAATGGAGTGTCTAAAAACGTTGAAGTACAAAAAATCACAGCAAGCAAATTAAATTGCTGGAGTAATAAATTTGTTACTAGGCAAAAATGTTAAAGCATAGTACAGTACTTTGTGATATTGTATTGATATGCAGTCAATAATGGAGATGAGACTGTCTATAGTCTTTTTGCAATCAATAATAGGATCAAAAATATTAAGCATGCATTAAACAAATGTGAGGGGAAATTAACCAAGACTCAAGAGTAGGATATGGGTGTGTGTATTTCAAGCACCTAGAACATCTACAATAGAACATATGGCAAAAATAATATATAAATAGTTTAGTTTGTTTTGTTTTCTCTTACTCGTTACCATGATTGTTTAATGGCTGAATCTAAATAATTCCTTGAGTTCTTATCTATGTTAATTTTTGTTGGCATTCAACCTTGTACTGCCCCCTTTGGCTGTCTTATTCAATGTCATGACTTTATTTGTCACATCCATGAAGATGATCCCAGCTCTGTTTATCTCTCCCTAAGTTGACTTCTGAGCTACTAATTACCTGCTAGACATTTCAATCTATATGTCTACAAGTAAGATATGCTGATTTATTAAAGAAAATCCTTAATGATTCATCTTTTCTCTCAAACAGCTTCTCAGTCAACACTTAACATCTCAGAGTTGAGTTTATTTCCTTTTCTTTTGTTTCCCTTGCATCACACTCAACCAGTTGGCAGGTGGCAATTATTCTGTCTCTCTAACTCCATAAAATTATCTTTCCTCCTTTCTCCAGGTTATCTTGACCTGCATATTACAATAGCTTCTCCTCCATTTTCTCCTGCCTATGTTCAATTCAATTTCAATCTGTTCATCCATTAAGATTAACCATCCTGAGGCTCAACTTCTGGACAATCTCTAATTTGTCTAAATCATAGTATTGCAGAGGTAGAGGAAACATGGACTAATTCTAACCAAATATCACATTACAGAAATAAAGAAAATGATGTAAACATATTTAATTACTGAAAGAACTGGCACTGGAACTCCAATTCTTTCTCCTGCCATACTGGTAATATTTCTTCTTGCCTTCTGTCTGCCCACTTCTGTATGCCTTTTTATGTGCCCACTGAGCTTCTTATGCAGCTGATGGTAAGTCTTGGTGAGGAAATAAAGATGTGACCTCGAAGACACCTTGTGAAACACATTATTACTTCAAGGAAAAATGCCAAGGTAATTGGGTTTCCAAAGAGAGAGGAGAGATAAATGGAATGTTCTGAAGAATTCAGCATCTTTAAGAAAACATGGCCACTGTCAAAGATAATTTGCGTGTGATTCTGAATCATGTTATAAAAACAATACGTTTGTTAGACTATTTCTTAATGAGTTATGCAGATAAGGGATGAGAAGCTATTAATTTTTTTCGTCTTCAAATTGGTCTTTGATTTATCTGCCATTTCAGTCTCTAAGAATTCTTTTACTAATATGAGTCTTGCATGTGTCATAAAATTTTCATTTAACTTTTTCACTTGTCACTTCTACATCATTAGTGGAATGAAACTCAAAGAATTCTTGTAAATTAAAAAAAGAGATAAAAGGTTATCTGTCGACCACTTGAGAGAAGCTATGCTATTATTACCATTGGAGGTGATGTGGCATTTGAATGTTCTCTTTTCTACAGGCCTTTTTGTACTGATACCTTATAAAATTAACTTAATAGATGAGAAATAGTGTGTTTCATCCAGAAGGGAGAATTGATTTCATAAAGAAGCAAAGAGAATGAATATAAATTATAAGTTTCTGTTAATAACTGCAGAATAACAGATAGTCTTTAATTTCAGCTACACCTGAAAACAGAGAAAGTGTCCATTGGAATAAGTGGAAATCATAGGTACATATGTAGAGAGACAGCTATGAAATTATGAGAATGTTTTCATGTTTGGTTTATAAAAAGCTTTTTCATTGAGGTTATGTCAATTATATAGGAGTACATATTTTATCATTTAAGAATATTTTTTGAAGATAACTATGTGAAATAACTATCTTCCAAACTCTCAGCTACATGAATGAACAGTGAAATAATTATTTATGTGTTTTAATCTAAAGAGAACTTTAATACCAAATGTCAAGAAAGAAGTTTTCTTTTTTTCCATTTCCAGGTAGTTTCAAAAAGTATTCATTGCATTTGCTTGTGTAGGTCTGTATCTTATTTTTGTTCAAAACCTTTTAAATTTTTATTTATAGGTTGGCAAATTAGATGGTTAAAAACAGTCAATCAAATTGTAGGTTTTGTAGGCCCTAAGCAATTGTTGGTGAAATTATGAATGATTTTTACCTTTCAAACTCCTTGATGACCCAAACGATGAAAATAATGAAATCCCTTTTTTTAGTGCTCTGATCAAAATCCTATAACATGCCATTGTTGTGTAGATTTTATCCATGTTACTTGAGTAGTTTAACTTCAAAATGTGTACAAATTTTACTCACTGTGTATGTGTTGGCAGCCACTAGACATGTATATGTGTTTGTTCTGAATTACTCAGATAATTGTCCCAATCTCACTGTGGATCACAAAACTTTACTACATGCAAAATATACTTTAATTCCTCGTCAGTGTTTTAAAATTTTTGGAAGATATATTTTTAAAAATTACATATAGTATTTTCATTATATGAAGTGTTTCTAGCAATACATCTCAAAATTTCAAATCCCATAAAAATGATTCCATTGGAGCTTTTAGTAACTCTGCAGGAAGGTCTAGAATATGAAAGTGAAAATAAGACAGCTTTTAATGGACTAAAAAATATACATATATATATGTATATAAAATAAAGGGTAAAAAAATAAGTTCTAGATAGCATCTTATCACCCAGGTCCATTTCCACTGATAACCACTGCTTCAAAGGTTAAATTAAAATGCACACCTGCAGAATATTTGTGTGTTTAAAGAATTCATTAAAAGTGGAATATTCCTTCCTGTTTGGCCAATTCCTTAATGAATATATTTGCATTTAATAATAGCATCTTACCTTTAGAGCTTTCTTGCTCATTTTCTCTGCCTTTATCCTAAGCAGTAAGATTTCCAAGGTTAAGACCAAAGGCTTTGTAAAAATGTCATGGGTTTGTCCTTGTCAAAAAAAATAAATAAATAAAACCTCAGAAGTCTTTTCTGGCAGTTTACTTCAATGTCATTTCAAGCATAAGAAACTTTATATCATCCCAGACATGAAATCAAAAATATTGTTTTGTACTGTTATGAAAGATTTTATTATATATATTTTGCCTTTGGACAGACATATTTTAGGGCAGTTCATAAAGATGACATTACAACTGTTTTACTTTCATTACAACCCCAAATTACAAATTTATGTCTTAAGCCTTGTCTTTGTAGAAAGGGTTGTATGAAAGCAAACTCCAAGATGTTAAATGAAGCAATATGCTTATTTTTAAGAACAAATTTTACATTATTGTTTGTTAACGAGTTATATAGACTCATGTATACATTATTGAATAAGGGGAAAGAAGTTTTGAATTAAATTATTTGCTCCAGTTCTGGCTTACTCCATCAGTACCTACATGACAAAATAGTTACTTTATTACCAAATTTGATGGATACGATTTGTCATGCTTTGTGAAAATTCCTGATGCCTCCACATTTCCTTTTGGTCATGAAGCTTCATAAACTAGCTATAGCTAGCAACTTCCAGTGATACCCAATCCTGCCAAGGTATTATGAAATCAGACAGGCCAAGTACTCATTTGCAACAGTGGCCTCTCTGCATAGGGCTCATTTGGTGATACTTTGAATAATGTTTAGAATATCCTCAGTAAGAGAGACTATAAATAGTTGTTTTGATTATCTATGGCTGCAAAAAACAAAAACAAAACAAAACAAAAAAAGTACCCTCAAATTTTGTGGCTTAAAACAACAACAATCAATTTGTTATCTCTCATGGCTCTTGCTTGGGATCTTTCATGTGGTTTGCAGCCAAATGGTGGCTAGAGCTAAACAAACCATGTTTGTTAGTTGATACTGGCTGTCAGCTGGGATTGTCCATCAGAATTCCTACTCAGGGCCTCTCCATATGCTCCAGGCTTCCTCACAGCATGGGGGAAAGTCTCTAGAGCAATTAACCCAAAAAGACTATGCAGAAACTCTACCTCCTTTTATAAACAGCCTTGGAAGTTACAGAGTATCATTTCCTTCGTGGTTGCTGGCAGGCCTGGATTCAAGGGATAAAATAGACCCGAACTCTCATTGAGAGGTGTCAATATCACATTGTAAGAAAATTATGTGTAATGGAAGACTTTGTCCTATCCATCTTGAAGAACATAATCTGTGATAATTCTTGTACTCCAGGGCTAATATCATTATCTACTTCTTTAATTATTCTGCAATGACCTTTGATGTCTACTATTTTTTTTTTTTTTTTTGGGACAGAGTCTTGCTGTTGCCCAGGCTGGAGTGCAGTGTCGCGACCTCAGCTCACCACAACCTCTGCCTCCTGGGTTGAAGCGATTCTCCTGCCTCAACCTCCCTGGTAGCTGGGACTACAGGCACATGCCACCATGCCCGGCTAATTTTTGTATTTTTAGTAGCGATGGGGGTTTCTCTATGTTGGCCAGGCTGATTTTGAACTCCTGACCTCATGATTAGCCCGCCTCAGCCTCCCAAAGTGCTCTGATTACAGGCGTGAGCCACCAGGCTCGACTGAAGTCTACTATCTAATTAATATTTTTTACTCAACAGCAGCACATTTCCTCATATTCTACTTCAGGGTTGCCAGATAGTGGCAGATTCCTCCTTTGGCTGAAATAACTGTTTCTTTTTTTTTTTTTTTTTTTTTTGAGACGGAGTCTCGCCCTGTCGCTCAGGCTGGAGTGCAGTGGCGTGATCTCGGCTCACTGCAAACTCTGCCTCCGGGGTTCACACCATTCTCCTGCCTCAGCCTCCCGAGTAGCTGGGACTGCAGGTGCCCACCACCACGCCTGGGTAATTTTTTGTATTTTTAGTAGAGGCGGGGTTTCACATGTTAGCCAGCATGGTCTCGATCTCCTGACCTCATGATCCTCCCGCCTCGGCCTCCCAAAGTTCTGGGATTGCTGTTTCTAAAACCATTTCTTCTAACCTGGAACACAAGTCTTGCAGAGGAAAAAATACCAAATAATTACTTTGTTTCCAGAATCTAGATCAGACATTAGCAAACTTTTACTTAAAAAAAAAACAGATAGTAAATATTTTAGGCTTTGCTAGGCAAGAGACAAAATCAAGGGTAGTATGTAAGTACTTATATAAGTATTTAAAAATGTAACCATTAAAAAATGTAATTACAATTCTTACCTCATGGGCTGCGCATGAGCTAAGAATTCAAACAGCTAGTGGACTGCCTTTGGCTGGCAAGGTATAGTTTGTCAACCTCTGGCCTAGAATGTTAGGCAGTAGTGCAAATAAAAATTCGTAAAGCCCATGAATGACTTTTCATTTGGTTTTATGAATGTGTGTAGATGTTGAAAAAATCTGACTCTACACCTATACTGGGCATTGCAAATTTCTGCTTAAAGCTTTCAGTTTTAATTGCAAAGAATCTGCAGCATAATTTGATGGGCTTTTCGCAAAATCTGTCAATCAGTTTAAGTTATAAAACAAGTGTGAAAGCAAATCTCTAAATATCCAGAGCAAGGTAAAAAAGTATTCAAAAAATTCGATTTCTTTTCTCTTCCTGTTGGACCTTAGTGAAGAACAGAGGCAAGGTATTCATTCATTATGTTTTATTGTCATTATTGTTCTATGCATAGCTACTCCCATTTTTTTCTTTCTGTCTATCAGTCATCATCTATCTGCTGTTATCTCCTTCTGAACTCCCTTTCCTTTCCCCATCAACACCATTCTAATATGTTTGAATGAATGAATTTGTATGTGTTGCTGGAAAATATGCATTTTTTGTTGAGTGTGCATATATTTTTAATTTACTTAGGTATCATCTTAGAGACCTCTGATCTTTGTTTTGGTTTTCCTTCACTCAGTTATATGTTGATGATGTTTTCACGGTGCTGTATTACATCTAGTTTGTCATTTGTAACTCCTTTATAATACTTCAATGACTGCATCCACGTTTTACCTATCCACTCTTCCAGAGTGCATCTTACTGCCTGTCCTGCTATACACAGTACTGTATTACACATTTCTGTATGTGCCTTTATGTGAAAGAGTGATAGAACATTCTCTTATAAAGAAATTGAAATTGGAGGTCTAGTGACAATTGTGACTAAGTCAGTGCATTACAGATCCCCTTGGCCTATTACAATTTCAGTCGTACAATTCAGTGATAACACACACAGAATATACTGAAAAGAAACAATGCAAAAGGATTTCATTAAGAGTGCAATTCCAATGGTTATTCTATTGGAACTAAATTGATTCACTTGTTTAGATTTGATTGAGGTGACAGTCACTGTCTTAAAAATGAATATTAATGCATTTGAGTTCTTGTCAACATTTTAGTAGTTGCTCTAGAGATTACAATATATACCCATAGTTTTTCCCAGGCTAGTTAACATTAATAATGTTCCATGTCACATAAAATATAGCAACTTTGCAATTGTATAGGTCTATTTACCTCTCCTCATCCTTTCTACTATAGTTGTCATATGGATTACATATATATATATATATATATATATATATATATATATATATATATATATATATGTTGTGCAGCTCATAAAAACTACAGTTTTTCTTCACAGACTGTGAAAATAGTTTTATATATTTACCATTTCTGGTGTTTTCCATTCCGTCCTAAAGGTCCAAATTTACTTCTGCTATTATTTTCCCTCGGCTGAAAAACATGCATTAGCATTTCTTATATTACAAGTGTACTTATGACAAATGCTGTCAGTTTTTAAAATCTAAAAAAGGATTTTGTCTTTATTGTTATTTATTTATTTATGTATTTTTTTGAGATGGAGTCTCGCTCTGTTGCCCAGGCCAGAGTGCAGTGGTGTGATCTTGGCTCACTGCAAGCTCCGCCTCCCGGGTTCATGCCATTCTGCCTCAGCCTCCCGAGTAGCTGGGACTACAGGTGCCCACCACCACGCCCGGCTAATTTTTTGTATTTTTAGTAGAGACAGGGTTTCACTGTGTTAGCCAGGATAGTCTCTATCTCCTGACCTCGTGATCCGCCTGCCTCGGCCTCCCAAAGTGCTGGGATTACAGGTGTGAGCCACTGCGCCCAGCCCTTGTCTTTATTGTTAAGAGATAGCTTTGCTAGATGAAAATTATTAGTTCATTTTTTTTCTCTTCAAGCACTTTGAGTATGTTATGCCAATGTCTTCTGGCATCCATAATTTAGGATGAGAAGTCATTTGTTAACTAACCATGATCTCCTATGTGTAATGTATTGTTTTCTTCCTGCTACTTTCAGATATATTTTCTCTTTTTGGGTTTCAAATAGTATGACTATTATGTTCTTAGACATGCTTGTTTTTGAATTTATACTGCTTGAGTTTCACGGAGATTGTCATATCTGTACATCTACTATTTTCACTAATTGGGTAACTTTTTGTTTATTATTTATTTGAATATTTTTGCCCCATTTTCTTTGCTTCTTCAGTAAATTGGACTTTTGTTTTTCTCCCACAGTCCTTAAGGCTGTGGTCATTTTTCAATTTTTTTCTTTCTTCTTCAGGTTAGATAATTTCCATGATCCTATCTTCAAGTGTACTGTTTACTTTGTCACCCCCATTTTCCTGCTAAGCCCTTTCTATTATTTTTTAAAAAAATATAGGTACTAAACTTTTCTGAAATTTTCATTAGGTTTTTTTCCATTCCATTTTTCTGCTGAGATTCCTACTTTTTCATTCATTATGAGCATTTTTTTCTTCATGTCATTTATCATAATTGATGATTGTTTTAAAATTCTTTTCTTGTAGTTCTAACACCTCAGTCATCTATAGCTTGAACTCTGTTGTCTTTTATTCTGATAATGAGTGACAACTTCTTATTTCCTCATATGTCAAGTAATTTTGGATTGCATTCTTGTCATTGTAAATATAGGTTGTCTTTAGATTTTGTTATGGTCTCCTGAAGAGCATCACTGTCATTTGCTTGTTTTAATTGGCAATCGATTTAACAAGATTCAAACTTCAAACTCCATTTCATGTGTGGCAATTCAAAATTTCAGTTCAGCTGTGCTGTTTGGAGTCTGACACACACACACACACACACACACACACACACACACTCTCTCTCTTTCTCTCTTTAGCCAGAAATTTGCATAGAGTTTATACATGGAATTTTGGGCCCCTCCTCCTTTCTGTTTTCTTCCCATCTAGAATTCTTCTTTCACTTTTCAGTGGCTACAATTGTCCAGAATAATTCTGGGGTTCCTACCAGAGTTTTAGCCACTGTGAATGCTGTTATTATAATCTCTCCTCTGGCTAAAAGCCATGCAATATTGGAAAATCATCCTTGCCATTCCTTTTTCTGAATGTTGACTCTCCTCTGCCTTTTTTTTTCCTTTTGGTGTCACTCTCCAGTATATTTAAGTAGATTTCTGCTTGTTTATCTTTTCCTTCCTTTCCCCTTTCTCCTCTCTCCATTCCTTCTTTCTTTCTTTCCTCTCCCTTTTCTCCTCTTCTCTGCTCTTTCCTCCCTCACTTCTTGCTTGCTTCCTTCCTTTCATTCTCTCTCCTTTCTTTCTCTGTTTCATTTGTTTCATTCCTTCTTTTCTCCTTCCTTCCCTCTTTCTCGCATTCCCTCTCTTCTCTGTTTCTTTCTTCCTTTCTTTTATTTCACCAGAATTCATCATTGTTATCAGCAGAAGGATAGGGTATGCTAGGAGATTCAAGTCCATGCAAATTTCAGGATGATAACCAATGCTTCTTTGAAATCCAACAAAAACAAATATTTTAATATTCTACACTGAATAATAGCTATGTTCTCATAGTTATAAGATAAACCACGTGTATTAGTCCATTTTCACACTGCTTATAAAGACATACCCAAGACTGGGTAATTTATAAAGAAAAAGGTTTAATGGACTCACAGTTCCACATGGCTGGGGAGGCCTCATAATCATGCCAGAAGACAAAGGAAGAGCAAAGGGACTTCTTATATGGATGTGGATAGACAGAATGAGAGCCAAGTGAAAGCAGAAACCCCTTATAAAATAATCAGATTTCGTGAGACTTATTCACTACCATGAGACTAGTATGGGGGAAACCACCCCCATGTTTCAGTTATCTTCCACTGGGTCCCTCCCATAACACTTGGGAGTTATGCGAGCTACAATTCAAGATGAGATTTGGGTGGGGACACAGCCAAACCATATCATCATGATCTATTTTATATAAAATAGTGTTTTAGTTGGATAAGAAATAATTTCCAATAGCATTTTAAAAACTATACTAGGCTGTTCTTGCATCACTATAAGGGAATACCTGAGACTAGGTAATTTATAAGAAAGGAGCTTTAATTGGCTCACAGTTCTACAGGCTATACAGAAAGCACAGGACCAACATTTGCCTCTGGGCAGTCTCAGAAGCTCACAATCATGGTGGAAGGTGAAAGGGGAACAGGCATTTCACATGGTGGGAGCAGGAGCAATAGAGCAAGGATGGTGGTGGTTGGGGGTGGCAACACACTAAAA
This sequence comes from Homo sapiens, assembly GCF_000001405.40. Classification (NCBI taxonomy): domain Eukaryota; kingdom Metazoa; phylum Chordata; class Mammalia; order Primates; family Hominidae; genus Homo; species Homo sapiens. Next base: position 22,312,849 of record NC_000006.12, read on the forward strand.
CAACCAGATCTTAAAAGAACTCACTCAGTATTATGAGGACAGCCCCAAGACATTAGGGATTTACACTCATGGCCTAAATACCTGCACCAGCACCCACCTCCAACATTGGGAATTGCATTTCAACATGAGATTTGGGCAGGGACAAATATCCAGACTATATCATTCCACCCCCCACACCCCAATCTCACATCCTTCTCACATTGCAAAACAATCGTGCCTTCCCAATAGTCTCTCAAAGTCTTAACTAATTGCGGTGTTAACCAAAAGTCCAAAGTCCAAAATGTAATCTGAGACAAGGCAATTCCCTTCCACCTATGAGCCTGTAAAATAAAAACAAGTTATTTACTTCCAAGGTACAAAGGAGGTAACAGGAACCGGGTAAACTTTCTTGTTCCAAAAGGGAGAAATTGGCAAAAAAAAAAAAGGGCCTACAGACCCCATGCTAGTTTGAAACCCAGCAGGGTAGTCATTACATCTTAAAGCCCCAAAATATTCTCCTTTGACTCCTTGTACCACATCCAGGGCACACTGGTGGGAGAGGTGGGCTCCCAAGGCCTTGGGCAGCTCCACTCCTTTGGCTTTACAGAATTCAGACTTCTCCACTGCTCTCACAGGTTGGTGTTGAGTGTCTGTGGCTTTTCCAGGCACAGGGTGTAAGCTGCCAGTAGATCTACAATTCTGGGGTCTGGAAGATGGTGCTCTTCTTTCCACAGCTCCACTAGGCAGTGCCCCAGTGGGGACTCCATGTGGGGTGCTCCAACCCCACATTTCCCCTTGGCACTGCCCTAGTAGAGGTTCTCTATTAGGGCTGTCCCCCTCCAGCAGGCTTCTGCCTGGGCACCCAGGCTTTTTTATATATTCTCTGAAAATCTAGGTGGAGGCCATCAAGCCGCCTTCACTCTTGTACTCTGCATGCCTGAAGGCTTAACACCACAGGGAATCTGCCAAGGCTTATAGCTTGCATTCTCTAACGTGGCAGCCTGACTATACCTGGACCCCTTTGAGCCATGGCTGGAGTTGGAGTGGCCAAGATGTGGGGAGCAGTGTCCTGAGTCTTTGCAGGGTAGCGGGATCCTGAGCCTGCCCCTGCCCCCCAAAAGCATTGTTCCTTCCTAGGCCTCTGGGCCTGTGATGGGAGGGGCTACTGTGAATGTCTCTGAAATGCCTTTGAGTCCTTTTTCCCATTGTCTTGGCTATCAGCATCTGGCTCTTTTTCAGTTATGCAAATCTCTTTAACAAGTGGTTACTCCACAGCCTGCCTGATTTCCTCTCCTGAAAAAGCTTTTTCTTTCTCTGCCACTTGGCCAGTCTGAAAATTTTCAAGCTTTTATGTTCTGCTTTCTGTTTAAATATAAATTCCAAGTTTAAGTCACTTCTTTGCTCCCACATTTGAGTGTAGGCTGTTAAAAGCAGCCAGGTCACATCTTGAATGCTTTGCTGCTTATAAATTTCTTCTGCCAAATACCATAAATCTCACTTTTAAGCTCAAACTTCCACAGATCCTAGGGCATAAACAGAATGTAGCTGAGCTCTTTGCTAAGGCATAATATGCGTGACCTTTGCTCCAGTTTCCAGTAAGTTCCTCATTTCTTTTTTTTTTTTAATTATTTTAATTATTTTTTTTTTTTGAGATGGAGTCTCGCCCTTTCGCCCAGGCCAGACTGCAGTGGTGTCATCTTGGCTCACTGCAAACTCCACCTCCCGAGTTCACGCCATTCTCCTGCCTCAGCCTCCCAAGTAGCTGGGACTACAGGCGCCCACCACTGTGCCCGGCTAATTTTTTGTATTTTTATTAGAGATGGGGTTTCACCGTGTTAGCCAGGATGGTCTCAATCTCCTGACCTCATGATCCACCTGCCTCGGCCTCCCAAAGTGCTGGGATTACAGGCATGAGCCACTGTGACTGGCCTAAGTTCCTCATTTCTATCTGAGATCTTATCAGCCTGGATTTCACTGTCCATATCACTATCAGCATTTTGGTCACAACCATTTTACCAGTCTCTAAGAATTTCCAAACGTTCCCTCATTTTCCTGTCTTCTGAGCCTTCCACACTCTTCCAACCTCTACCCATTAACCAGTTCCAAAGCTCCTCCCACATTTTCAGGTTTCTTTATAGCAATGCCCCACTCCTCAATATCAATTTTCTGTTAGGCCGTTCTTGCATTGTTATAAAGGAGTACCTGAGACTGGGCAATTTATAAGAGAAGAGGTTTAATTGACTTACAGTTCTGCAAGCTGTACAGGAGACATAGTGCCAGCATCTGCTTCTGGGGAAGCCTCAGGAAGCTTCCCATCATGGCGGAAGGCAAGCAGGGAGCAAGTGTCTCATATGGTGGCAGCAGGAGCAAGTGAGCAAAAGTAGGGGTGGTGGTGGTTTATTGTGTGCCACAAGAGAGTGGGGGAATTGTTCAAGTGTGTGGCACACATTCAAACAACCAGATCTCACAAAAATTCACCATGATGAGGACAGCACCAAGCCACGAGGGATCTGGCCTTATGGCCCAAACACCTCCCATCAGGCCCCATCTCCAATATGGGGGATACATTTCAACACAAGATTTGGGCAGGGACAAATATCCAAACTATATCAACAACCATTTACTCATTTTACTTTTTTATAGAAAAGATACCAGAGGACAAACAAATTTTTTTGCTATCTAAAGTATTTAATATTCTTATTTGTTTTAAATACCCTTATTTTTAAAGCCTCATTAAAAATATCTCTGAGAAAAAAATTTTGAAAATATGTCTGCCAAGGCTACCACTGTCAGGTCAGCACTAGTTTTCAAGCTGCCATCAACTTTTAATAAACCTTGGTATACTTTTTTGCCCCTAAAATTAGAAAAACAATATTAAGGAGCTGATTTTAGGGTAGAAAAATAACGTAGCTAGTGATCTTTGTAAATAAGTAGAATTTAAGACTTAAGTGAGCAAGAATTTAGCCTGGGCAATGATTGATGGATAAAAGAAATTGTATCATCCTTAATGAGGTCTGATCATGGTTCTTCCAATTTATTAGAAGAGTAGTAATTAAATAATGATAAAATATTAGCACCTACCAGGGTTTCTCTACTCTTAGTCAATTGGGAATGGCCATAGTATCTAAGAACATTGTTATTTATAATGAGGTGATAAAAACAAAATTAATGGCCCTCAAAAGAAAGAATGAGTTGTGATTACAGCCCTTGACATACTAAGAGCTTATTGTGGCAAGGAAAGCGGCATGATAGTTCAGGTAGCATAGATAGGTAGGTCCCCATGTATTTCTGTGTAGATATATATGTGCTGTGCATAAATATAAATATGCATTATATTCTTATATGACACTTTGAGTCTCATCTAAAGTAGATTTTGTATGTGGCAATAAATATATCAGAATATCCTAGGTCCTGATGTAATCAATCATTTTATTGGTAAATGAGCAAATGTATAACTTTGTCCCATGAAAATGTTATTATTATTTATTTATTTATTTTTGAGACAGGTCTCACTCTGTGGCCCAGGCTGGAGTGCAGTGGCATAATCTCAGCTCACTGCAACCTCTGCCTCCGGGGTTCAAACGATTCTCCTGCCTCAGCCTCTTGAGCAGCTGGGATTACAGGCATGCGCCACCACGTCCGGTTAATTTTTGTATTTTTAATAAAGACGGGGTTTCACCATCTTGGCCAGGCTGGTCACAAACTCCTGACCTCAAGTGATCCGCCTGCCTCGGCCTCCCAAAGTGCTGGGATTACAGGCATGAGCCACTGTGCTTGGCCGAAAATGTTACTTTATGAACAAATTACATATATGATTAGCTAATATATCACCAAAGATGGTCTCAATGGCTCTTCCAGACTGTAATCTGAAGACTTCAATAATCAATGGATAAATATGCATGATTTTTATAGTTTAATGAGAAAAATAAACTGACAAATACTATTGTCTTTGATTCAGTGTCACAGCGAGATTTAATCTCTGCCTGCTTTCATTTGCAGATGCCATAGTATACAAGTGTTAAAATTGTGGTGGATCCCAGAAGCGTGCAGACGTGAGTATTGCTTGTCAGTTTTTACTCTGGGTACTGGAGCCTCTTCTGTTTCCTGGTCCATCCAGTCCCCAACTTTCACTCCTCAGCATCCTCTGGTTCTGCACCAGCCTTTGTATTTTAGCTTTCCCCTTTGTCTCCTCTTATTCTTTTGATGAGACTAAAGAGCCTGTTGATGGTTTACTTTTCGGGCCCTTTTGTACTTTGATTTTCCTGATACTCATTAGTGTAGTTGGTCTCAGATCTGCCTCTGCTCCTGAATTTCAGTATCTACGTAAACCCTGCTCAGCCGCTGTTATTCATCGAAATTTTGGCTTTCACCTTCATTGTACTTTTTATGGACTTAGTTTTCCTTCTGGGCAGTTTCTGGTATACACACTAAGCTTGTTCCTCACACCTGGCTTGTTCTTGGCTTCTTAAGTAACTTTGAGAACTTTGCTTTGTCTTTTAAGCTATGCCATCCCTCATTATGATCCTACTGCTGACTCTAATTACATTTTCTGTCTTTGTCTTTATCACCATAACTTCAATACCATGTGCCTCTATTTCGGTATTAGTTTTTGGTATTTGGTATTAACCTAATAAGCCAGATAATTAAAAGTAATAAAAAACAGCAGTCATAATACATATCCTCTGGAATGATATAATCCATGTGCTACCATTTTTTCATGATTAAGTACCCATCTATATTATTGATGTCTCTTGCTTATTATCCCTGATTATATTGTGTCTGGAATTGGTGGGTTCTTGGTCTTGCTGACTTCAGGAATGAAACCGCAGACCCTCGTGGTGAGTCTTACAGTTCTCAAAGAAGGTGTGTCTGGGGTTTTTTCCTTCAGATGTTCAGATGTGTCCAGAGTTCCTTTCTTCTGGTGGGTTCGTGGTCTCCCTGACTTCAGGAGTGAAGCTGCAGATCTTCATGGTGAGTGTTACAGCTCATTAAGGCAGTGCACAGACCCAAAGAGTGAGCAACAACAACATTTATTGCAAAGAGCAAAAGAACAAAGCTTCCACAGCATGGAAGGGGACCCAGGTTGCCTCTGCTGGTGTGGGTAGCCTGCTTTTAGTCCCTTATCCGGCCCCATCCACATCCTGCTTATTGGTCCATTTTACAGAGAGCTGATTGGTCCATTTTACAGAGAGCTGATTGGTCCATTTTTACAGAGTGCTGATTGGTGCGTTTACAATCCCTGAGCTAGACGCAGAGTGCTCATTGGTGCATTTACAATCCTCTAGCTAGACATGAAAGTTCTCCAAGTCCCCACTAGATGAGCTGGACACAGAGCACTGATTGGTGCATTTACAAATCTTTAGCTAGACACAGAGTGCTGATTGGTCCATTTGCAATCCTCTAGCTAGACATAAAAGTTCTCCAAGTCCCCACCAGATTAGCTAGATATAGAGTGCTGATTGGTGCATATACAATCCTCCAGCTAGACATTGAAGTTCTCCAAAACCCCACCCAACTCAGGAGCCCAGCTAGCTTTGCCTAGTGGATCCTGGGCCTGTCCCCGGGGAGCTGCCTGACAGTCCTGAGCCATGCGCCCACACATCTCAGCCCTTGGGCGGTGGATAGGACCAGGCGCCATGCAGCAGGGGGTGGTGCCCATTGGGGAGGCTGCAGGGGAGCCCACCGGGGGTGGGGGCCCAGGCATGGCAGGCTGCAGGTCCCGAGCCCTGCCCCGGGGGGAGGCGAGTGAGGCTCGGTGAGAATTCCAGCACGGCGTGGCGGGCCGGCAGTGCTGGGGGACTGGGGCACCCTCCACAGCTGCTGGCCCAGGTGCTAAGCCCCTCATTGCCTGGGGCTGGCAGCTGCTCTGAGTGCGGGGCTTGCCGAGGCACGCCCACCTGGAACTGGCACTGGCCTGCGAGCACCGCGCACAGCCTCGATTCCCGCCAGCGCCTCTACCTCCACACCTCCCCGCAAGCAGAGGGAGCCGGCTCCGGCCTCGGCCAGCCCAGAGAGGGGCTCCCATAGTGCAGCAGTGGGCTGAAGGGCTCAAGTGCAGCCAGAGTGGACACCGAGGCTGAGGAGGCACCGAGAGCGAGTGAGGGCTGCTAGCAAGTTGTCACCTCTCAATACGACTCAGTTTAGAATAGAATTTAGAGAACAGTGGATTGTTAAACTGTTGAAATTATCTTGCTTTTTATATGTCTCATTAATAATTATGTGAATATTGGTTATTGCCCAATTTGGGGATGCCCTGGGGCCCCTGTTATAGTTCACTGTAGGGTGATTTCTATTGAGTGAAGGAGGTACACTGTGGGCTGCCAGACAGACACCAACATCCTTTGGTGCTTGGGAGGGAAGAGCGCATCATGCCTCTCATCTGGAGTTTAATCTTCAGACTTATCAAAATTCTTACTCTTCTTCCTATGTGCGATTTGTGACTGTAGTTATATTGGTGTTGGTGTCTAAGTAGGAAAAAAAGAACTTGTAAAGGCTGGGTCTGGTGGCTAACTCCTGTAATGCCAGTGCTTTCGGAGGCCTAGTCAGGAGGATTGCCTGAGATCAGGAGCTTGAGTCCAGCCTGTGCAACATAGTTAGACCCCCATCTTTACAGAAATAAATAAATAAATAAATAAATAATAAAAGTTGGGCATGGTTGCCCATGTCTGTAGTCCCAGCTACTTGGGAGGCTGAAGTGGGATCTGAATTTGAATCTGCAATGAGCTATGATTGCACCACTGCACTCCAGCCTGGGTGAAAGAGCATGACCCTGCCTCTCAAACAAACAAACAAACAAAACCCTCTTTTTCTTGGAAGCATCTTCTTGAGAGACAGAATCCAGAAGTCATTGAATGATTTAAACAAAAGTGTTATTTCAGTAGTTCCTGGTGGATGAAGGTAGATGACTGGCAATTTGCTTTTCATAGGCCCCTGTTTTTTGTTTGTTTGTTTGTTTGCCTGTGCAATATATTTGTAGAAGGCATCTCTTTCAGGGCAAATAAACATGCCAGCCTTCCTAAAAATGGTCATTGGTATTACTGGGTGGCTGATCCCCAGAAACGCCAAATTTCCTTATTATTTGAAACAGCTTGCATGGAATAAAAACCACTCACTCTCTCACTTGTGTTTTTGGGGCGATCGTTCCAAGGGAGGGGTTTCGTTTTCCAAGCTGAGGGCCTCCTCCTGTCAGGAAGAGGTAGATGGTGTATGAGACTTCTGAAGCTGTTTGAGCAGCAGTGGAGGCTGTAAATATGTAGTCGTGTACCACTTACACACTCACACTCACTTCCTATCATAAAGCTATTGGCTTGGGACTGAAAGTGAGAATCCCACTTTCCACTCCACAAAGAGACCTAAAATTTACACTCACTTCTGTGGATTTTTGTTTTCATCCTAATTTTCCTCTTTTCAGGGTAAAATCTGAAAAGACAGAAATGAAGATAACACACCACAGACCATGGAAATCAGGAGAAATTTTAACTTTCCTTCCATTCTCTGAAAAAAAATACACACATAAATAAAAATACACATATGTACATACATACACATATACATAAAGTGTAGCTGAGAGATCCCTTAACAGGGATGCCCTTAACTTTTTTCTGCCAGGACTGTGACAGTGTTTATGATGACCAGTCACTGAAAGGATAAAAGCTTTTGATTTGCCTGAACTATTTTTTTCCTGGACACATCAGGTTCTAAAGGCTTTGTGGAGCAACAAATAGAAACAGATAACCTTGCTGTTGCATTATTATGATCATCTCTGTAATCCAGTTTTGAGCTCTTTGGAGATTCTTGTAAACAGAAGTTTCATCTGAAATGGCTGCTGTTAAGGTTCCTACTTATCATGTAGTGCATATTTTATTTTTAAAACAATTCCATTGTGTATCAGCATAATAGATGGAATTTTAAAATGATTTTCCAGTAATAGGAGATGTATTATTTTTTGATGGGTGTGTACATATTAAAGTGATAAGGACTTCACATAGTTTTTTAAAATTATTTTTATTTTTATTTTTTATAACCCTTTGACCATTTGGAGCTGGCAAATACTATTGGGGTGAGCTAATCATTCTCATTCCTTTTGCTTGGTCACACAGTGTGAACCACATCAGACGGTGACCATTCTGCCCCTTCTAGAATTCCTGGGAAGGTCAGACCACAGTCTCCTTTAATGATTCATCCACTCTTGTGCTCAACAAACCAGACTGCTGGAATTTCTTATTATATATACCTTGAAGCTTGAACTTACCCCATATCTTTTTTCCCTTGTTTTCCACAGTTTGAGAACCTACTTACTCTAACACTTCTTTACATACTTAAAGGTTGTTCTCAAATTTTATTGCTATGATTAAATTTTTTAATAACAATTTTTAAGGTAAGCAATCTTAAGCATTTCGACATTTTTGTATGTTTTACTTTCCACTTACTCTATCTTGTGTCTATTTCAGTATATGATTAATAATCATAATAGAAATTATTACAAAGCTTCATAGTTTGCAAGGCACTTTCCCATTCATGTTCTCTTTCATTTGATCCTTCCAAAAACCTTGTGATACACAGGGAGATGATATGTTCATTTGGTCAGGCCAGAAAGGAAAGAATCTGGAAGGAAGGTGAAGTTATTCTGATGTGAAATGAAGACTCTTACAGAGAAGGAGATAGATATGAGAGCATGAGATAGTGCTACAATTCTGTATTTCTTTTGCCAAGCAATATAGGAGAGATGTATGTGCCTAGGGTAGTTTCCCTTTTCGGATCCACTAATTTTCATATCAAAATCAAAGCCCCTCATTTTGGCAGGCTCTTCTAGTTGGGTGGACACTAAATTCCACTGTAATTGAGTTGGTGCACGAATGTACAGCATGCTGCGTGTACACACGCAGATCTTTATAAATGAAGTGAGTTGGTTACCCACATTGTGGCTACTTAGGTACTCTTCATTCTCCCCTCCAATTTGTTTCCCTCCCATTTTCTGTCCAGTACCTCTTTCACTAGGTGGGTAGGGAGAGCGCGGAGTTCAGACACGTCGTTATATTAAGATCTCTGGGATAAAGTTGGCTCACAAAATGTTGAAGTCACCTCCATTTAGGTAAACCTCTGATAAATCATTTCTCCATTATTCTTTTCTAAGCAATGCTGAATATGATTTAAAAGCTGAATGCTTTATGTTGTATTAAAAATAAGAATTACTTGCAAATGTTCTCACTAAAGAATGAACAGATAAACTCAGTCCCTGAATGTTTAAAACCCTAGAACTTCTTTATGTCATGATGAGACCAGGTTGCAAAACAGAAGTTCAGGTCTTGTTTCCACAGTGAGTTGACTGGCAGATGATGGGTTGTGCTTTGAGCTTGCTGGGGACTGTCTGCTTGTCTCCAGCTGGAGGAACAAGAAAGTCTAACAGGCTATTAGAGTTTTTGTGTTAGATACCCAATGGCAAAAATTTCCCCCAGTCCCCAGTCCCACAAAGAAAACAACCCCGTTTTGAAATTGGAAACTTTGAAGGAAGATTTATGCACCTTTGGGTTTATGAAACCCGAAAGCACCATCTGGTGCTTTGGAGTTTGCAGGCTGGTTGCTTTGACAGACCTAAGTTTGGACCAGCCCCCATCCCCTCTTCTAGAATTCAGTCTCTACATTGATACCAAAAAGGCTAGTCTTCTAAACTTATTGGATAACTTGTAAAAATCAGTAGGATTTAGGATAGTATACCTGTGACTTTGAAAGGACAGTTTTATTGTTTGCTGCATGGCACATTAAGGAGTCCAGTTTGTGAATTCCGAGTCTCCACTCTGCTTAGCTTCCTTGCAGGAGCGCTGTGTAATTTTGGTTTTGTTTTGACAGTTGGTGACCTTTGACCCCTCTGAGTAAAATGTTTAGGCTGAGGAAGACTGAAAAGAGCTTTCAGATGGGATATTTCCAACCTCTTTCAAGCTACAGCAATCTTCCCCTCAGCACAGCAAACCCTTATATAGAAGTGGTTTCAGCCTCTCTACAACGTTCTGGTGGAACAAATCAGATCAAAGCCTTTCTTAATATGTTTGAAAAATGCACATCCGCATTGCAGAGCAAAAACATGTTATGGAAATCAATAATATCATATTCAGGCAGCCCTAACTTCAAAGTGAATCCTATGTGTGTTCTCAATTTCAAAAGAAAATGGAGAAAATGAGAACACGGTGCATAAGTTTTCTCTGCTTAATTCTATTTGTAACTGAGCTGAGATCTCGAATGTCTCTTTACTGCTTTTTGACGGGTCCCTAAGGACTCTGGGCATAGGGAAATCTGCTTATTAATTGCCTGCACCTGTGATAATCTTGAACACTTAGGTTCCAAGAGTGGCAAACTTTCTTCCACCTCATGCTTTGGAATGCAAATTATTTACATTTTATTGGAAAAGTAGCATTTTAGGGGAGAATATAAAATGAGAAACACAAAGATAATGTAGATTAACCTTGCAGATTCTTTTATTGAAAATCGTTTTGTATTGATAGCTTTTTTTTCCATTGTTAGTTACAATATTTGTTGAGGTCCCATTATATGGCTATCTGCCATTTTCCAAGGTACAGTATGATTATATATTTAAATTATAAAATGTTTTGAGGGTGGGACTGAATTTTTTAACACACTGAACATACTTTATGATAATATTAGAACACATAATTGTATGTGTAGTTTTATGCATTTAATTATTTAGTATATAATATCAATACTTGACACGTGTGCCATGCATGCATATATCCTCTTATTTGCTGGGAAGTAAATATTAGCCATATTTTACTGGAAGGATTGTATAAAAATTAATTAACTGGCCTACTCTTCTTTTTTTCCTCTGTGCATCTTTCCTGCAATGGTGATGGTAAACTATAATATTGTGTTGTTCAGGTTCAGGATTTAAAACCCAAAAGGAGATGCCCAGGGACTGAATCTTGATATCCAATCTGTTTCTTAACTTTGCTGTTACCTGTTGGACATCATGTCAAAGGTCAGGCAATGCAATATGGTTCTTTCCACAGCAATGTCTCTTATTTTGCTTCTCAATATCTGATATATTTACTTGCTTACAACCTTTTTCCAACATAGTGTAAACATGTCAAAGTTTGTGTGATAGACTGAAATGAAACTGTTTAAATTGTGGGTTTTTAAATGATACTACACAGTCATTTGTTTAGAAAATGGGGAGACTCCAAGTTGACCAGATATGATAGACTCAGATACTTGTCTAAATTGATCCTGGACCTGACTCATCTGGGACTGAAGTTTGGTTACCAGAACTGCCTTTCATTTCAACTTAAACTTCAAAAATGCATCAAAGATTTTGATAAGCTTTCTTTGAGTTTACTTTTAGATAATTCCCCCAGATGTAGCTTATAGACTAAAGCATGCCTCTTGACTCGCTACAAAAGAAAATTTCATCCCCTGAAATGGTTCCTTCTTATGCTGCTCAGTAACTGGGGTTGTAAAGAGGCAGACTCACTTGGACTGCTTTCCTTTGGACCATGTTGGAATTGGTAGGAAAGAAAAGGTAAGCATTCTTAAATGAATACACAGAAGCTCAGGACCTTGGGGCCACTTTCACCGGCCCCTCCCTTTGTTATCCCTGTATCCTAGCTGTCACCAGTTCTCTCAGACTTTTCCTTAAAACAGCAGGAATTTTCATTTGACTTTCACGTCAAGTGTTATAAAAATATTTCTGAGTTTTGAAAGAAGTATCAACTTCTGTTTTTCTAACTAGTAGCACCAAATAAACTCTGTCCTGGGGATTACTGCCCTTCAGTCTGCTGATTAGTTTGGTCAATGTTTGCCATAGTTTTTTAGAAAGGCATGTTAAAAAAAAAATTACATGATGTAGAGTTAGATGAACCCTCAGAATCCTGACTCAGTGATTTATCTCTGAAATTGTGATATATACACCTTTGAGAGATCTCTCTCTCTCTCTCAAAAAAAAAATATATATAAAATCATATGTATGGCTATTGGGTTTTTAAGTACCTTTTATTTTTCAACAAGAAAAAACAAAAACAAATTCTACCCAGTCTTTCAAGTTAGCACATTTGTCCTTTCTCCCAAATTCATGAATCAAGTTCTAATTAGTGCCAATAAATCTGAAAAGGATTTTCTTTTAAAAAAAAAAAGAAAGAAAGAAATTTTATTCCAGCGAGGTTTGCAAATTGGGGAGATGTAGCCTTGGGTACAAAACAAAGGTGTGTTCCAAGAGAACAAAGAGGGTTTGTGTTGGGTTCCTGCCCAAGTTCCCACTCTGGTCCACTTTCTTAGTGGTGACTGGTTGGCATTTGTTGAATTCTGATTGGTTGATGCAGGTTGCACTCTAATGGCTGATTCAGGTGGTGTGGACAAGAATAGAAGGCAATGAAAGTCCTAAAGTTTAGTGAGTGTGGGGGTTATCCAGAAACGCAGAGTGCATGTGTGACTTCTGGTCAGCAAATGGCTGCTTGGCACTGTTTTGAATTTAGGTCCAATTAGCCACTCAAGATCTATCTTGAAGGATTGGCTCCTTCAGGGTTCACATTTGTAAGCTCCAGACAAAGTTTGTTACTATTCCCTGACTGATTAAATGCTTCATCCTGGGGTCTTCTTCATTTGTTTTTTGACCGCTAAGTTTCACCAGTGCAAACCACAGATTGCTTCAAACCCATAACAAGAGTTTTCCATCCTTGACCTCTTGATCATTGATTTGGGATTTTTATACTCACATGTAACCATGCTTTTCTGCAATACTATGGTAAAAATCCCAGTCAAGTTGTTTTCAAAAGGGAGTGAGGAAGCTGTATTTTTAGTATTACAGTGACCCCTGGGTCCTGGGTAAAGGGCAGTTGCAGAAAAAAAGACATGACCAGTTGAGGAACTTTGGCCTTTGGCTCAGAAATATGTCTTGATGGTTCTCTGGCTGAATTTCCACAGAGATTCTTAGCACAATAAAACTGACAACCATGAGTTTCTCTCAAATGTTTATACTGTAGTTTCTCAACAATATGTGAACACAATTGAAGCATTAGAAATAATCTTGAGATTCTTGAAGTTCACAAACATTTGTCCGACCTCAAAAATGCTATAAGTAAGGAATGTTGAATCCCTAGTTCAGAAAAACCAAATTAAATGAGATAATGTATGTGAACGTATGCTGTGGCTTGTAACTTCCATACAGATGTCATATTTATAGTTTGATAATTTTCTTTTGCTTCCATGAAACAAGGTTCAGGTTAGGTCAGTGTTATTCGATTTATATATATGTCGATAGTAAAACACAAATTGAATGGGGTTTAGAATAAGAATTGACTCCTTTCTTGTTTCTAAATACCAGAGATATCTGTTGTTTTTGCCTGTGCAGCATTCCTTTTATCCCTACTGCTGAGGAAAGTTGTTGTTTTTATTTCAAGAGTAATTGATTCTCCATCTCAGTTTTTTGAGTGTGGCTCATTCTATTATCCAATTCCAGGGATGGACAGTAATCTTAACCTGACCAATTAGAATTCTCTGTGATTAGTTCATGGGTGAGCACAGGACTGCTGCTAACTCGGTGATAATCATGTAGGACTTCCAAGAGAAGTAATCTTATAGTTTCTGGCACTTATGTTTTTGATTGTGTGGGGACAGCCTGCCTGAGAATGAAGCCAATGTGGAGAAGAGAGGGATGAAGAAAGGAGACACTTTTCTGTTGTCAAAAGTCAAGCTCCTGCATCTACCAGCGCTCAAAGTCAGTTCTCTTGAATTTCCCGGCTATGTGATCCAATAAACATCTCCATCTTTTTGTCTGTTTAATTAGTTCCAGAGAAGTTTCTGTTACTGGCAGCGGAGTGTTCTGTTTTAGTCCCTCTCTGTCGGTCATTGACTGGCTAAGTAGCTGTGTTCCCTTGGGCATGCCACCTAAATTTTATCAGATTGTTTCTCCATCTGTAAAATTAAATTGTATAATTTAGATCCCAAACGGAAAGCAGATGGCACACTGAAATTAGAATAGTGCAAGCAGTGTTTATTTATAAATGCGTGGGAATTGGGTAGTATTGGATGAGCTGCTAACACCCCAGCTCCAAAGGGATGAGAGGAGGAGACGTATCAGATAGTCTCACAGAGGACAACACCTTGAAGGAATAGTGAGCTGTGTCCTGGACAAACTTAACAGGATGGAACCAGGGGAATAAATTCGCTGTCTTCTGTCTCCTTCCTTCCATCCACCTCCTGTGAGGGTTTCCCACTTGCTAAACACAGCAGGAAGGCAGAAGCAAGAGGGCCTGTTGATGTGGTCCATGGAGCTCACCCTGTGGAGGAAAACAAAACAACAACAACAAAAAACTGGAAGCAGGGAGAGTGGACCTGGAGGGAAATAGCAGATAACCTTGAACTTGGCTGCTATTTCCAAAATTAAAGAGGAATCAATGAAGGAATTGGAATGAAGTGAGTTTGAAATTACTTTGGATTCATGTACATATGTAAGTGAGACAAGAGGAGGAAAATATTAAAATTTGTTTTGTTGTCTTTTTTCACATTTAACATTTCAATTCATTAAGAACACAAATAAGCTGGATGCGGTGTCTCAAGCCTGTAATCCCAGCACTTTGGAGGCCCAGGTGGGCGGAGCACGAGGTCAGGAGTTCGAGACCAGCCTGGCCAATATGGTGAAGCCTGATCTCTACTAAAAATACAAAAATTAACTGGGCATGGTGGTGTGTGCCTGTAGTCCCAGCTACTTGGGAGGCTGAGGCAGAAGAATCACTTGAACCAGGGAGGCAGAGGTTGCAGTGAGCCGAGATCGTGCCACTGCACTCCAGCCTGGGCATCAGGGTGAGAGTCTGATTCAATAAAACAAAACAAAACAACACAACACAACACAAAAAATAGTTTGATTAATGTCATTTTATTACTTCTAATGACATGGACAAAAAGGGTGAACATATTTGCTAGAGAAATTAGATAATACCATTGTTCAAGTTGTTCTTGAAAGTTTCTTTCAATAATTAGAATGGGATTTTATCTGAGCTTCAATGTTTAAAGTGGAGAAAAAACTAATTTCATTTCACCTACAGTGGGGTTATATGGCTTTAAATTGCTCAACTACATGGGCTTAATAAAAGTACAAAAAACAGACACTTTTTTTTTTCCTTGTTTCCAATATAGCTGTTAAATGCAGGCCTGGTATTTCATCTGGTTTCTCTATTGAAGAAACAGTAATTTGTTTCAGTGCTGGAAGAAAAGCTAACTGTGTGAGGTTTATTTACAGACAGTGAAGTATGTACAAAACCAGGGATATTGTTCTTCATGGGCAACTTAAGGAATGTTCGAGAGTGACTTTGACTCTATGCAGCTTTTTCCCCACTGACTTAATTGTTGAGTAGGATGTGTCTCCACTGCATGGCACATAGAATGCTGAGGGAGAAAATAATACTTTCGCATAATGTTATGCAGGTCTTGTTAATTTGGAAAATGCTCACTCAATTCCTGTTCTTTGATCAGAACTGTGTCCTTATAAATGTGAAGTATAAATATATGTGTGTTAACACGTAGCATAGAAAGTCCACCTCCTCCTTGTTGGGAGCGATGGCCTGTGTCTGTAGTAAAATGAGCAGATCAGGCTCCTCCTGTCCTGCATTGCTGTCTTTCTTCTGTACTCTGATCTAGGGGGGGTCCACATATGGCCAATGGGAGAAGTGCCCACTCAGTATACATGCACCTAATGCGTGGTCCTAAATGCAGTTCTGCAGACCCCCAAGACTGTTTTGGCCACGGTGGGTTGCAAAATATGCACTGTCTCAAGATTTTATTCATTCCCAAAGGCTTTCCCCACGAGGGGCTTAGCCTACTGCAGTAAAAATAGACTTCATTGGAAAAGAATGCAAACATATGGTCTTCATTGTCTTCACAAACTTAATTAGAAATCTTACCAAACTGGTGGAGATATATTCTCAAATGTTTTTTATTGGTTGCTCAAGGAATATCTGCAACATGTAAAGGAAAACAATAACTAATCTGGAGGACTCACTATAGGCAATTTCTACATCGTAATAGACAATGCGACACTGGCCACACTTATTCCCATTTGCATTGGGGCAATTTCCCATCACTGCTATTTGCATTTCTGCACTCTGTCCTTAAACACAATAGAAGAGTTCAAAGCTATTGGATATGACCCAGAAAAAAATAATCCAGTTGCATTACTTGTGAGAAGCATGAAGTTTGGTTTCAAACTAAAAATAGCTATTTTCATTTTTTTTGGATTATCTGTTACTGCAGGAGATATTGAATACACGTTGTCACATTTACATTTCTATTCACACAACAACATAGGTTAGGGTTAATATCATTATTATTATTATTATTATTATTTGAGACAGGGCCTCATTCTGTCACCCAGGCTGGAGTGCAATGGCGCAGTCTTGGCTCACTGCAACCTTTGCCTCCTGGGTTCAAGCGGTTCTCCTGCCTCAGCCTCCCGAGTAGATGAGATTACAGGCACTACTGCCTGGCTAATTTTTGTATTTTTAGTAGAGACGGGGTTTCACCATGTTGGCCAGGCTGGACTCAAACTCCTGACCTCAAATGATCCACTTGCCTTGGCCTTCCAAAGTGCTGGGATTACAGGCGTGAGCCACCGCACCTGGCCAATATCCTTATTTTGTAGTTGGAGAATCTCTTTTTCTCTTGCTATTCTTGTCTGCCCCTGTGTCCCAAATATAACGTTATAAATTTTGATCATTCTTCTCCCTAAATCTCTCACAGATTTCTCCACTTCTTTCCTGATCCTCTACCTCAAACAGATCTCTCCCTCTGCCTGGATAATCCATAGTTCCCTAACTAATATCTCTGTATCCACTTTGCTCCATTGTATGCTCTGCTCTGCAGCTAGACTAAACATCAAAGATAGGCATCAAATTATGTCTTTACTGGTTAAATTCTGGGATGGTTACCCCTTGTCCCTAGAATAAAGTCCAAGCTCCTGTAACATAGTTCATGATCTCTCCTAGCTCTGGCCCATGGCCGCGACTTTAGCCCCACTCTTGCTGCCGTCTTCTGCCTTCTCTCTCCAGTCCATGCATCCACACAGGACTTCATAATTCCCTCGAGCACCCCCATCATCCTGCACTATCTTGCCCTCTTTTATTTCCTCTTTGTCTGAATGCTTTTTCCTACAATTCCCTCAGCTTTCTGCCATGTGTCCCTTAGGTTTTAGCTTACATAGCAGTTCCTTAGACAGTTAGCCCTAATCCTTTAAAGTGGGTTCCCTTGTTTTTGGTCCCACACAGCTCATCCTTCCCCTTTAAGATACTCTTCATGATCGCAATTGCTTTTTAAAATAGCTCTCATTTCCTCTAGAATATAATCTTCATGAAATCAGTGCCCTTGTTTTGTTATCAAGGTATTTTCATCTTGTAATGCAGAACCTGGCACAGTGTAAGCATTCAGTAAGCATATGTTGAATAAGTAAAGATTTTTTTTTTTTTTTTGAGACGGAGTCTCACTCTGTCACCCAGGCTGGAGAGCAGCGGCGTGATCTTGGCTCACTGCAACCTCCTCCTCCCAGGTTCAAGCAAATCTCCTGCTTCAGCCTCCTGAGTAGATGGGATTACAGGCCGCGCACACCCGGCTAATTTCTGTACTTTTTTTTCCTTTTGACACGGAATCTCGCCCTGTTGCCCAGGCTGGAGTGCGCTGGCGCGATCTCGGCTCACTGCAAGCTCCATCTCCCG
The DNA here is from genome assembly GCF_000001405.40 of Homo sapiens. Classification (NCBI taxonomy): domain Eukaryota; kingdom Metazoa; phylum Chordata; class Mammalia; order Primates; family Hominidae; genus Homo; species Homo sapiens. The sequence goes on from NC_000006.12 coordinate 22,330,530, forward strand.
AGTTCACCCCATTCTCCTGCCTCAGCCTCCCGAGTAGCTGGAACTACAGGCGCCCGCCGCCACGCCTGGCTAATTTTTTGTATTTTTTAGTAGAGACGGGGTTTCACCGTGTTAAACAGGATGGTCTCCATCTCCTGACCTCGTGATCCACCCACTTCGGCTTCCCAAAGTGCTGGGATTACAGGCGTGAGCCACCGCACCTGGCCCAATTTTTGTGCTTTTAGTAGAGACGGGATTTCACCATGTTGGTCAGGCTGGTCTCGAAATCCTGACCTTATGATCTGCCTGCCTCAGCGTCCCAAACTGCTGGGATTACAGGCATGAGCCACTGTACCCGGCAAGATTTTTTAAGAAAACAAATACACTGAGAGGTGACATCACCTGCCCGAAGACACATGGTACAGGTGGCAGTACCCAGATTAGAACTCAAGTGCGTTTGACGACGCACGTAGCTCCAGCTTTATCTCCATTTCACTGCTGCCCAGTGGAAGGGCCTTATGTGTACTGGGAAAGTTGATTTATGTTGTTTTCATATTTTTCTTTTAGGGAAAGTATTTGGGGTTCAGTTTTATATAGTGTAAGTCAAACCTCAGCCTGAGTTAACCTGGTTTTTGCTGACATCACAATAAAAAGAGACATAGGCATTGGTTGTACTCTAAGTTCTTTATGATAATATAACATTTTTAATTTTTTTTTTTTTTTTTTTTTTTTTTTTTTTTTTTACTTAGAGACAGGGTCTCATTCTGTCACCCAGGCTGGAGTGCAGTGGTGCAATCATGGCTCACTGCAGCTTTGACTTCCCAGCTTCAGGTGACCCTCCCACCTCAGCCTTGCGAGTAGCTGGGACTACATGTGTGTGCCTGGCTAATTTTTTGCACTTTTGTAGAGATGGAGTTTCACCATGTTACCCAAGCTGACAAAAACATATTTTAAAACAGTTTTTTGAAAAATATGGCTGACTGGTTAGTGAGAAATCTGCAACTTCTTAAAAAGTCATGTAATCTAAAACTCTCCTCTGAAAAGCATTATAGACTCTACTTTTAGTTTTTTGTTTTTTGTTTTTTTAATTTTCTGTTGCCCAGGCTGGAGTGCAATGGCATGATCTTGACTCACTCCAACCTCCACTTTCCAGGTTCAAGTGATTCTCCTGCCTCAGCCTCCCGAATAGCTGGGATTACAGGCATGCACCGCCATACCCAGCTAATTTTTATATTTTTAGTAGAGACAGGGTTTCACCATGTTGGCCAGGCTGATCTCGACCTCCTGATCTCAAGTGATCTGCCTGCCTCAGCCTCCCAAAGTGCTGGGATTACAGGTGTGAGCCACTGCGTCTGGCCTGTTTTTAGTTTTTATTTGGAATTTTATGTTGATTTTCAGTAATTTTTTTTTATCGTCTAATCTTTCTTAAGCAAAATTTTCCTGAAAGATTACTTTTAAATCACACTATTTCTTGGCTATGTACTTTTGCATATGTGTTACCAAGAAGAGAAAGATAAGTTGCTGCTGTATAACTATGTTTATGTATATTAATAAAGAAAAGAGGAGGAATGAATTTGTTGGCAAACCTTTGGGATGTGGAAGGTGAATCTGGCTCATGCTTCTCAGCAGTTAGTTAATTTGTGAAGTTTATGAATTCCTATTCCAAACTATGGTGAGTAACAGAAATGCAAAGATTGGCCCTGGCTTCGTTTAGCATTTTTATGGGTGTTTGCAAGTACCTCTTTAATATTTAACAATTTCCAAAGATTACAGGTTGTCTGAAACCCAAGATAATGAGCAATGTAGAAACACCCCTTATGTATTTCTCTCTTCATATCTTATTTCTTTTTCTGGCATTTCTAATGAGATCAGAATAACTGAAGACATGAAAACAGGTATCTGTGGCTAGTTTGTGGCAGGAGGGTGAGCATTTAAGTTGGTTTTAGTTTTGAACTCAGGAGTAACTGATGTTTGCCATGTGCTTTCTGGAAGTTACCTGATTCCAACTGGCGCCAGCTCAACTCTGAATTGCAGGGATTTATGGAACAGAGAGTCTGCAAGGCAAGGTACCTGGCTTTCTGACTGGTGAAGGTTTGACTTGCTAGGAAGAGTTTTTCTTTCCAACACAACTTGAATACTTGTGGAAGTTATCTTTTTCTCTAGTTATCTTGTTGCCTGCATATAATTTGTAATTTTTCATGGACATTCCTGTGATTCCCAAATTAATTTAGGCAGCTGTGATGTAGCACTTGTGGTGTTTATGGTGTAACAGTAACAGTGACAATTTCTGAAGATTTGTTGGTTTGTTGTTTGAGAGTTAAGAATGTGAGCTCAACCATGCCACTCCCCGTTGTTTGCTTATACAACCGACTAGTTATGGTTGAATTAAGTTGGTTAACATATTTGAGCTTAGAGCTGTCTTCAGCCTCTCCCTGACTCCTGTGATTAACATTACTTAGGTGGCATTTGGGAAACTACGACAATGGTTCAAATGACTCATGAATGCAGAAGAAAATTCTCTGTTGCAGTTCACCTGAAAGATGAACTTGGCTTTGAGTATTAGCAAAGGAATACGTGACTTTTATCTTGAGGTGCTATAAAGCAAAATATCTTTGAAACATTTATTTATTTTACTGATTTATGTCTTTTGCAATTTTAGAACTAAAATGAACATTCTTTAAGGGGGAAAAAACCCCTGGAAGTGACATTTTCACTAAGAACTCAAGATTTACTATTTATTTTCAAATAAAGAGAAATGCTTCATGTGATACTCTTTACAGAGGCCCTTGGTTCATTTCACAACTAATTTCTCAAAATATGAAATTTTTTTTTTTGGTGAAGCAAAGTGAAAGTCCTAAGTTATGCACCTAAATTGTCTGGAACAAATTCTAAGTGGGTATTTGTTACAGGAAGATTCTTGACATTCTTGGTTTGTTTGGTAGAAAAATGAATTTACTTATAATAATAATCAGATAAATGCTGTCTGCAGTAGACAGCTTTGTTTTTGAACTAGATCTTCTACTTGTGCAAATTCGACCATCAGGAGAGAGAAGAACAAGGTGTACACAAGGTGTATGTGCAAATTGACAGGGTAGAAGAGTAATTGGAGCAATAAAGTCATTTGTTTCTCATCTTTTATAACAGCTGCCATAGACTGTTTATCTCGCTGTACTCTCCTGTGGATTTAGAAATGAGGGGTCTGCAAGCTGCTATGTCTTGGACAACTCCTTATTGCTTACTATCACCATTACAAATGGAAGATCTAAAAATCTTGGATGGAGTGGCAAGAAAAGTCACCACTAGATTCTTGATCATTAGATAGACCCTAATTAGACAGCATACTTTCTGCCATAGCTCTGTAAATGCCTCATGAGTTGCAAATGTATTTTGAACCCAAAATGGATGCTTTATCAGTAGGTCATTCATTCCTATCTAAATGCTTTTGTAAACAAACAGTGCCTTGAACTTTCTCATAGTATATTACTACCTTAATTGGTAAAAGACAACATGAATTTGGGATAACTGAGGCCAGCCTTTGAATGACTCAACTAGACAGTGAAAAAATAACAGGCTATGACCAGGATCATCTCATATTGAAGATACTTTTAGCATCACTCATACTGTAATGTATGAATAAATTTATTCAAACTTAAATGTTAACATAGATATTGTGAATACTTTTTCTTGATACAGCATTATGTTATTCACCTCATAAGATAGAAATAATAAACATTATTTTCTACCCTAACAGGCTCTGTAGTCTTCTTGGGAAAATAGGACATACAATGAGAAAAAACTTCATAGTCGATCTTCTTAATGATCAGAGATGATTTTAGATTTGAAAGAGGCTTTCTGACCTCTCAGATCAAGCTCCTTCACAACGTATTTTGCAGAATAGTAGCACACAGTGAACATTCTTGCAAGTGATTCCCCAGTTAACTCTCCAGCTGTAGAGATGCTCTTTGTTCCCTTCTTTCGAGTATGTACTGATGCCCTCTGCTCAGTGAGCAGTCACCAATGGGGGCCATTCTGTAGCTCATCTGTCATAGCTCCCTTCAGGTGAGTTGATGCTAAGAAGGCAGTTTTGTTTGTCTTCATCCTGGATTATGCCCATGGTGCTTGTTACTGTAATTATATACTGTAATGAAATACTGTGTAAATCAGTGACATATGAGTGTGTGAAAAGAACTATATAAATAAAAACTAAAATTGAACTTTAGCAAGACCCTTGAGTCAAGAAACATTACTATCAAATTAGGAATCACCTATCAACTATAAACAATTTTTAAAAATCAAATCGTAAGAGTCTGTACTCAGATTTAGTTTCCATTGTTTTTATATTATTTTAATTAAAAGAACCCAAATCTAGAAATCATAGATGATGTATAGTATGTGTGACTTTTATACACTCACACAAAAGGGAGGGCTGTGCTGGAAACTCCACTCACAGAACCTACTCAAAGTAGAGACCATGGCCACCTAGAAAGTGAAAGTGAAGCTTTTTTTTTTTTTTTTAACATTCGTTGGTTATAATTATTGCCTCTGATAAACTTTTTCAATAAAGAAAGACACTACTGGTGCTGATCACTTGGTTAAGGGAGATTCTACCATTGGCTGTAGTTTCCTGTGAGATAGTCACAGGGTATATACACATATTAAGCTTCTGATAACTTCTGCAGTAAAGAAATTCAATTATGTTTATTTAACTCAGTGTTTCACAAAATTTTTTGGATCTTACAACTCTTTTCTGGTTCACATTTTGGGGAATTATAATTCTAAAGTAAAACGTTCAATTCTCTACTATTTGTGATATATTACCAGTGTTAAAAACTATCCTATGTCCTATGGGGAAGACAAAGATAATTCAGACATAGCCGTAACTCTCAGGAGTTTATTATTTAATGTGAGAAAATATACATGCATAATTAAATGTAATATGCTGAGACAGAGAAAAATATGATAAGATAGATTAAAAATCTTAACTTTATATTTGAAGATACTAGGACACAGAGAGGTTTAAATATCTTAGTTAAAGTTGAGCAGGGTAACATGAACTAGAAGCCTGATACATCTGACTCCTAGTTGGATATTCTCTTTAGTTCAACATGATATAACATATACACATAGAGTCTGAGAAGCAGGAAGCAAAGTTTCACAGTTTTCACCGAAATTAATTATTTTTAAGAGAATTGAATTACAAAAATAATTTTATCACTGATTCAGGTTCCTAATTTTGTTTTATGGAATGTGGAATAATGCATATAAAAAGCAATGTGTATCATTTTTAGTATGCTTCCTTTTAGGTACTTAATTTTTTAAGCATTATTCTTCAATAAGCCATTCAAACATTCTCCCCGCCCCCAATATTGGTATAAAAGTGTTTTCCCTGGAAAGATAGGCTGTATTGATAGCCAGCCAGTCACTAAAACATACAGAATGCCACCTATGACTAGAACAACTAAAGCCTCATCTTCCATGTTATAATACCAAGAAATTTTGGCCTGGCATGGTGGCTCATGCCTATAATTCCAGCACTTTGGGAGGCTGAGGCAGGCAGACAACTTGACGTCAGGTGTTCAAGACCAGCCTGGCCAACATGGTGAAACCCCATCTCTACTAAAAATACAAAAATTAGCCGGTCATGGTGGCGCATGCCTGTAATCCTACTCGGGAGGCTGAGGCAGGAGAATCTCTGGAACCCAGGAGGTGGAGGTTGCAGTGAGCTGAGGTGGTACCACTGCACTCCAGCCTGGGTGACAGGGTGAGGCTGTCTCAAAAAAAAATAAATTTCAAAAAAAGTTTTCATTGAAAAACATATTTCTGGAAAGTCTTTTAGTAGTTTGCTCCAATTTATTGGATTAAAAGATCGGAGAAGAGAATACAGATAGTTTTTTAGAAAAATCTGCTATTTGTATGTATTTAGAAAATATATTTTATGAAAATAATATTCTTGAACAATACACTTATAATGGTTACTTGTTGAGGGGTTATTCTTGGACAATAAACTTATACAATGACAGAATATCATCTATTCCTTTTTCTTTATTGCAGTAAAATTTCTTCCTAGAGAAAGAAAAAGGATAAGTTAAAAAAGAAAACACACGCACAACACCACCTAAGATGTTATTTACAGTAAATACCAATGTCGTTGTTTCTCTTTTTCTCTTTTTTAGAGATAGTGTCTCACTCTGTTGCCCAAGCTGGAGTGCAGTAGTGTGATCATAGCTCACTGTAACCTCAGATTCTTGGCCTCAAATGATCCTTCCATCTTAGCCGCCAGAGTAGGTTGGACTACAGACATGCACCATGATACTCAGCTAATTTTTAATTTTTTTTATAGAGACGGAGTTCTCACTACGTTTTCCATGCTGAGTGTGAGCTCTTGGCCTCAAGTGATCCTCCCACTTCTGCCTCCTAAAGTGCTGGGATAACAGGTGAGAACCACTGTGCTTGGCATGTTGTTTCTTTCTAAAATTCAGTGTAGATGTCTAAAAGGCAAGAGACAATAATGTACATTTAAAATCAATATTTTCAGTTATAAAATTGGAGGATTAAAAATCCCCTTACAATTTTGAAATAGTGCACTTGAATTTTTCATTATTTTATAACCTTCCCTTTTAACCCGTTTCTCTATCTGAAAATGCTTCTTTATTTGGTAGGTCTGTTTGGTTGTAAAATATAATTCTAGGGTTTTAAACATATGTCCTTATTTTCTGGAAGCAAAGTCCAAGAAATGCCTGCATAACTGAGCAGTTTTAGAAGTATAGGAATGGCATGTCAAAAACATGGAGATGGGTGAGTAAGCTTTGTCCAGAGAGCCGCTGAAAGTTCAAAGTTCCTTTTAGCCCATTTTGCCTGGAGCATGGGGTATGTGGTTGGGGTGTATAAAATAATTTAGGGTTAGATTGAGAAGGGACTGATGTGACATGTTGATGACTTTGAGTTATTTTCTTAAAGAATGGTAAACTTTTAAGGAGGTTGGAAGTGAGGAAAATTTTTAGGAGGAATATGAAAGCAACGTTTTTTTCCCCTAGAAAAGCACAGACTAACATAGTTACAGACTATGAGTTTTTCTGTTAAAAACCGGACATCTCAACTATCATTGCCTTAGGTGTAACTACTGTTTCTGCTAAAATAAAAAAGAAGAAAACTGTGTATAGTTCCTCTTGCATGTCAATTATTCATTTTAAAGGTGATGTATAGTTTTTCTTGCATGTCAGTTATTCATTTTAAAGGTGAAGCAGCTGCTTTAAGTGTACATTTATAAGAGTGTTTCACTGAAGCAGGATTTTGTCTGCTTGGATAATCTTCCTTCTTTCAGAGATCTTCATTGCTTTTCCTTTATGAGAGCTCAAAAGAGTATTGGGTATTGAGAAGATTGAGAAAAGACAGGTTTAAAACAAGCTCTGACGTAGTCTGAAAGTGTAATGCAACCTAAAGAAAGGCAAACCAAGGGAGAGAAGACAGGGGGCTCTTGCGAAGTCCAGGCATGGCAGCTCATGATGTGGATAGATACAAAAGATGTGTTGGTAGAATTGCCAGATTTGGATGATTGTAAGGGAAAGGAAGAAAAAAAATTAGTAGAGTTTGTGATTTGGGCAATGAACTATATGGTGAGACAGGAACACTAGACAGGTCAGAGAGAGGCGAGGTAGAGTGCTTTGCAAGTTCTCGCGTGTCTGTTTCCAGACTAAAGAGTTTGAAGCATTTTCAAGAGAGAAAGATCTCCATACTTATCAAAATTACAGGTTCATCAAGAGCTATGATTCCTGCTTCCTGTTAAAGCTGCCTAATGTGATTTTTAGCGTAGCTGCAAACAGATGAGCTTCCCCTTTGATTTGGGCAGGGTAAAACAACCCAGGAGAATACTTGTGTTTTTTGTATGTCTTTATTTATTGGTACTATTGCTTTGGTAGCTCAATACCATTAAGTTAATATATGTAGTGTTATTTAAGAGGAGATGTATTACCCAAAAGATAAATTCAAATCTGTATAACAACAGACTGATATATTGTATCTTTTAGTAAAGGAAGTAATTGTGTGTCTAATTCTGCCTTTGCTATACAGGAAAATAGCTTTTCCTTGCCATAAGAAATATTTGTTTGAAGAAGGCTGAAGACATATATTTATGTATATAGTTGGTTGTTTGAGTGATACAAAAAATGAAGTTAGTAAATATCTGTTACGTCTTCTACCAGAAATTTGACATTCATCGTAAATTGGGCAATGCTATTTTACATTATTACTGAAATGAAATGAAACATGTAAAATGAATGAGTTATATTTTATAAGGTAGGACTACTTTGTGGGTGATGTATTTGTAATGGTATTTTATTATATGTTTCCTGATGTGAGGGAAATATACATTGTGACATGTTCTGAGGTGATTTAGATTTCTACGGGACAAATGAACTGGGCTTTTTGACTGAGATGAATACATCAAATTGTTTGGTTTAACATTTGATGTTGCTTTACATGTAGACTTCATAATAGAGTTTCGAATATATAAAAGGGTATTCATTCAAGAAACTACAGTTAGAAAATCATTTTAAATATTTAATGATTTAATTCAGTTTTATTAGTGTGACACTCTTTGCATTGCCAATTAAAAATTGACAAGGGTCTCATCTGTTTTTTCCCTTTTTGGACAGTATTATTTTAGATTTGTTTGTTCTTATTTTTATAAACAGTGATAAATACTAATTTCTTAAATTGTTTTTCCACATCCAATGAAATTACCGAGAAGAAAAGCAGTAAGAAATTTGAAGCATTGAAAACAACAGGGCCGGGCGCGGTGGCTCATGCCTGTAATCCCAGCACTTTGGGAGGCCCAGGTGGGTGGATCACGAGGTCAGGAGATCGAGACCATCCTGGCTAACGCGGTGAAACCCCGTCTCTACTAAAAATACAAAAAATTAGCCGCGCGTAGTGGCGGGCACGTGTAGTCCCAGCTACCTGGGAGGCTGAGGCAGGAGAATGGCGTGAACCTGGGAGGCAGAGCTTGCAGTGAGCAGAGATGGCGTCACTGCACTCCAGCCTGGGCAACTGAGCAAGACTCCATCTCAAAAACAACAACAACAACAACAACAACAACAACAACAACAACAACAACAACAACAGGATTTGCCTATTATGTTACTCTGTTGATTCAGATTCTGTTACTGTTACTTTATGATCATGTCTCTAGAGAAATCTGATTTGCTTTACTCTATGGTACCAGGCTTTGCCAGAATACTGAAACTGTTTCAAGTCCTAGGACTCAGGCTAGGACACAATGACGCTCTCAATTGCACTGAACCTTGGGGCAAAGAAGAGAGTGAGGCAAGATAGTGGTCAAGCCAACAGTGAGGAAGAATGAAGAGCGAATTGCATGAACACCACCACTCCCCGCAGTGTGTTCACTGTGAGGAGTTTGTGAGAAGGGAAGGAACCTCAGGTTTATACTTCAGGATTATATAGGTATTCCTAGGGTACTGGTTATAGAAATACCATAGAAATCAGAGAGAGACTTTGGCCATATGGGTCACTGTGGTGATTCATATTCACATTCTACCTATATTTATTGATATAAGAATCTATGCCCATGTAGCTCTGGACAATTTGATGGCTTGAGAAATTTTACTGACAAGATGAGGGAAGAGGAAGAGAGTATATAGATTGTAATATTTACCCAATGGGCAGCAGTTGGCCCCGGGTAGCAAAAGATATAGTTCTCTAGAGTCTCCTAGCTTATTCAACCTGCCCACAGGCTGCATGCGGCCAAGGATGGCTTTGAATGTGGCTCAACACAAATTCATAAACTTTGTTAAAACATTATATAAGATTTATTTGTGAGTATTACTTTTTAGCTAATTAGTTATTGTTAGTGCTAGTGTATGTTATGTGTGGCCCAAGACAATTCTTCTTCCAGTGTGGCCCAGGGAAGCCAAAAGATTGGACACCCCTGCTCTAGACTCTCCTGATGAACCCCCTGCCCTATGCCCGCTGGTAATCAACCACAAAAGTTACCTTTAAATATGCTTCTGAAGAAAACATAATATATGTTTTAGAGATAATAGATGTAGATCATTGTTAGCCATCTTCTTTAATTTTGGAAAAACAAATTTAATTCACCAAAATTCACCCCTACTTCTGTGAAACTGTTCAAGACTTAGCACCACAGGCTACAGGAAAGTAGGAAGTTATGCTGAAAAATGCCTTGGATTTTCTCTATACTGTTGAAAGTTGGAAAGTTATTACCAAAGGTGAGAACTGAGCTTCTCATTATGGTAGTCACATGCAGATATTTAAATTTAAGTATAAATTAATTAAAATTAAATAAATAAAAATTTAATTCTTTCCATAGTCCTGTGTGGTTCATGGCTGCCATGTTGGATTGTCAGAAATGTTTCCATCACCGCAGAAAGTTCTATTGGGCAGGATTGGATTTGAAATTATGTGATCATGTTGCCTAGAAAACAGCATTCTTACATAGGGTACTATGAGGCACAGTGACAAGCAAAAGCCAACATTTCAGTTCTGATGAGCATTGCTCATTCATTAACCTTCTAATGTAGATGTTTCCTGTTCTCAGGTAGCTTTTCTCCTTGTGGTGAAGGTCCAGACTCCTTCCATCCTGTGATTCTGCTATGTCCTAACTCCCTGGAGTTCTGCTACCAGCTGCTGGAAGGGAAAAGAAAGGGCACTGGCTTCTTAACTATCTTGGCCTGAAAGTGATAAAATCATTTCCTTGTAATCTATTGGTGACAACAAGTTTTACAGCCCATCCAGATGTGAGGCTTTCCGGTAGCAACTCTATCTTATGATAGAAGTCGTTGAGAAACCACCACAGACAGTTTCTCGGTAGTTGAGAAACCGTGCAAAATAAATGTGAAATTTTTATGGAAAAGTAACTAATGGTCGAGGGATCGTTTTGTAAATTGTTAAACTAATTACATTCTTTCATCTTCAGTATATATGTGTTTTCTACCTTTTTAAATGAATTGGTTTTCACACTGTAATTTGATAATCTCTAAGAACCAATGAATATTATTTTCATTTTCTTAGTCATGGAAACTCTGTTTTACAAACTAAGAACAGCTCAGTAAGACAACCTCATTTTTACTCATTCTTATAAAAAGTTATAGATTCATGGGAAATTTAAATGAAATTGATTATATATATTTATATGTATAATCTTATATATAAAAACCTACATATAAATTTATGTAGAGTTTTTTATTTTATAGAAGCAATAGTGATACTCTTTGTTTCTAGAATTTTCCTTTGAACATTTAAATATTATATAATAGAGAAGAATAGAGTTTATATAAAATTACGATTTCATGTATTATATGGAGTAAAGTACACTTGCAAAGGAGCATCCCTTATTGTTATATATATGGAGTTGTTGGCAGAACTCTCATGAAATTGTCTCTTGTAAATCAACAATCAAGTTAAAGATAAATTTCCAGATGACCCATACCCAAAGTGTGCATGTTTTATGATTGTAAATATGGTAATTGGATATCCACTGTAAATACATACATCCTCAGTGAATTATGAAGTCCCTTATTGACTTTGGCACTTGGGAGCACACACAAAAAAAGACAGTGGTGCAAAGTTACCACTGTATCTAGATTCAGTTTTAACCTTTTTCTTCCCTCCATCCCTCTCTCCTATCTATCTTTTAAGTTTTATTTTAAATTCAGGGGTATATGTGCAGGTTTGTTACATAGGTAGACTTGTGTCATGAGAGTTTGTTATACAGATTATTTCATCTCCCAGGTATTAAGCCTAGTACTCATTTGTTATTTTTCCTGATCCTCTCCTTCTTCCTACTCGCCACCCTCTGATAGGCCCCGTTGTATGTCGTTCTCCTCTATGTGTCCATGTATTCTCATCATTTAGCCTCCACTTATGAGTAATAACATGTGGTATTTGGTTTTCTGTTCCTGTGTTAGTTTGCTAAGGGTAGTGGCCTCCAGCTCCATCAATGTCCTTGCAAAGGACATGATCTTGTTCTTTTTTATGGCTGCATAGTATTCCATAGCATTTATGTATCACATTTCCTTCTATCCAGCCTATCACTGATGGACATTTAGGTTGATTCCATCTCTTTGCTATTGTGAATAGTGCTGCCAAGAACATATATGTGCATGTGTCTTTATAATAGAATAATTTATATTTCTTTGGGTATATGCCCTATCTATCTATCTATCTATCTGTCTGTCTATCATCTATCTCTCCATCTATCTACCTACCTACCTATTATCTATGTATTTATCTAAACAATCATTGCTTTGCAGAAGTGTGGGATTGTAACAATGACCTTTCAAACTGAAATTGCACAAAGCAATGTTAATTATCCATGGGAAAAATTAGTATTCTTTCATGACCTTTAAAATTTTTGTCAAAACATTAAAAAAAATTATTTCAGTCTTAAATGTGTAAGGTAATTAAAAATCTGTAAAGGTACTTATTTAGCATATTATTTTTTAAAACAGAAATATTGAGAATTAAAGTGTTTTATTTATTTGTAAAAGCTTATCAAGGGTAGTTGGAACCATGGTTGCCTTCTTTCTATATAACTTAATGATATGGAGCTAACATCTTTTCTATGCCTTGGTGAATTGTCATAATCCTCTTTAAGTTTAGATCAGCTTCCAACGTTTTATCCTTTGTGCATGCAATGTCACAAATTTTCCCCAAGAGTTTTTTTAATGTGAATTTTTTTCTGACATCTCTTCCTCTGGGACATCTTTCTTTTCATCACAGTCACTTTCCTCATTTATGTTGGTAAGTTCTCTTTCACTAAGTGTTTATGGATACATGTCTAGAGTCTCTGGAATGGTGAAAAGATCCACATTCCCATGGTCAGCTATTTATGAAATGTTCTAATTTCATGTCCAGTGTCAACACTTTCTTTTATTTGCTGTAATTTCATCTTTGTTGGCCAATTCTCTCTTTTGGTTATCTATTTTGTAAAATGTCATGTGGGATTATCAATGGAAGACAATGGGGAGACATAATTACATGCTTTTCTGTCTGTGCATGCAGTGAATAACATAAGGACAACAACCAATCACCAAAAGACTTTGAAAGATGCCCATAAATTCTTAACGTAGTGATTTGTTGACTGAAGAGCTAGCTGTGACGTTTGACCTTCAAGTATTACTCCCAGTTAATACATTGTAGTCATTGAAATTTGAATCATACTGTTGGAGACTGATGTTGTTTAAATAAATCATGGTAAGTTCAATTTGTATATGTTAGAATCATGCAAACAAAGACTGCCTCTGTGTGTGTGTGTGTCTTCTCTTGTTGAAATCTTTCTCGGGCCCTTAGGTTATTTCCCATTTTCTGCTATCATTGCTACTGCTACATACCGTATAAAATGAAGCCCCCAAATCCTTTTATTTACTCTCCTGCAATGTGTCTGTGACATATACAGGGGCAGGTTTGAGGAAAGTAAGCACCAGCATTGAGTGACGTTCATAAAACACTTACCTTTGGAAATAGAATATTGCATTAAATGATAGAAGGCTATAGAACACTGCAGTCTGTAGGGGGTGCCATACCCAGGTGAACCTATAGAATCTGTTGATGTGATAGTATTCTAATTCAAGAGTAAAATGTTCATTACTTGAAATAGAAAGTATAATTTGAAACTAGTTAATTACTGGCTTTGGGAAAGAACAATGCTGATATTTACAAATAAACTAGATGTGTCTTTGGTGTGTCTACAAAGCAAATTAGAACAACTTTAAACTACATTTTAGTAGATAAGTTTTTCCTTTGGGTTATCTCTAGTGGAATTTAGATCAGTACTTTTTAAACTTTAAAATGCATTTGAGTCACCAAGAGTTTCTGTTAAAACACAGATTCTGGGTGGAGTGGGGTTTGAGCTTCTGTATTTTTTACTGGCTTGCAGGAGATGCTGATGCTGCTGACCAAACATTGAGTATCAAGGATCTCCAGCACCCTAGGTCTGCTGTATGAAAATGTAGGAAGCCAATGGCTTGACAAAACTGGCTTATTTAAAATTGTTTTATCTGACCATTTTCCTTTTTTAAGAAGTTGGAACAACTTTGGAACCTTCCCTATCTCCCAAGCTTCCCCCTTGTGTCTCTCTTTCTTTTTGACACCCTCTGAAAGACTCATCTTTCTCTGAGTCCTACATCATCACCTTCCATTCATTCACCAGCTCACCAAATCTGGCTTCAATTTGTGTCTAAACTGTCTGATAAAAACTTTCTAAATACAAATAGGAACCTCTCTGTGCCAACTTGTATGGTGTGTTTATAAGGCCTGATAGACACTATTGAGCTCCTCTAATGAAATCCTTACCTCTTTTGGTTTCTGGAACATCGGTTCTTCTCTTGTTTCTTCTTCAACTTTTTTGGTGTCACCTGCGCCATTTCCTACATGGGCACCTCTGTTTGTCCAATCCCTTCAATGCTGGTCTCCCTGGGATTCATTCTTTTCTCTTCTAACTGACCAGGTGCTCTCCACCCATAATTTCCCCCCATAACCCCAGTTATCATATATATTTCAGTGACTTCCAGCTTTTGATTTTTCTACCTCCCAGACTGTCATAGTTCTACTCCCAGGCTAACTGTGTGACCTTGGTCAAGGTTCTTAACTATTCTGATTCTCGGTTTCCACCTACAATATTCTGTGGGGATTAAACAATTTACCACATGTAAACTGCCTGGAAGAGTGCTTAGCACCTATAAAATATTACAAAATTCAGGCTATTGTGTATTTGTTAGAATTTTGAGCAACAAAGGGAGGCTTTTTTTTTACATTTACATTTCATTCTTTTTTTACATTTTTTTCTGTTATGCTGCATAATTTAGGTATATACTTAGGTGTTTTAAATAACAAGGATCATGAAATTCCTCTGATTTTCTTTCCCATTTCTCTGCATTGCAAAGGAGCAAGCTACAATAAATACATTAATTTGAATTACTCTGGGATGGGACTGGCTAGAGTTTTGGCTTTACGTACTTAGTAACGTCTGACTTAATGGATACATCTAATATATAAATATGACATATTTTCTTGGTCATGTTTTTAGTTGTGGACATCCCTCTTCATTTAAAGCCATACAACATATAACTATTGGTTTTTATCAAGGATTATGTTATATGTCAAATATCTGTCTTTTTAGATGGAATTTTTGGAATCAGTCACGTTTGGAAAATATTTTAAACTGATTTTAAATTTACGATTCTATTCCTTTACATTAATAAAAACATGATATTAACCTAAGACCTAGCCTAAAGAATTTTAGCATGACAAATGAGCTTGATAACCAATTTATAAATAAATTATGCATTTAGTGCATTTAATTCAATACACATTTATTAAATATTAATAAAGGGTCACTCATTGAAGTTAAGTCTTGCTGGCCTCAAATTTCTCATGAGGAGGCAAATATGTAAATAAATAATTATAGTCAGGTATGTTAAGTTCTATAGTAAATGATGGTAAAACATGCTAGTAAACCAAAGGAGAGAACAGCTAATCTGTCTAGAGAAGTCATGGGGATTTTTGAAAAGGAAGTGGAATTGGATCTGGAGGACATCACCAGGAGTGAGGGGGAATGGAATTTCAGGCTTGGAGAAAAGCAGGTGCAAAGACATTTAAACTCAGAAGAGCACTGTGGGTTTGGGAAAATGATACACAGGTGCATTCCATCATCTATGTGGAGGCTGAGCAAAAGCACTCATGGAGGCCCTGACTATGTCCAGCACCTTCCTCTTTCTCCTTACAGCTTTGTCTCTATTTAGAGTGGCCTCTGGGCAGAAGAGTGGGCACAACAAGCCTGGGGATGAACACCTCACCGTCCATCTGCTCCAGGGATAGGCACTCTGCCCTTGAAGAGGGCTTAGGATACTTGAGGAAGGGAATTCCAGGGCTTCGGGGTTTCAGAGTTCTGGGTCTAGAAAGGTGAAGGCCTGGGCTCTGTGGGGGAATGTCTCCTTGGTCCCAGGGAAGATGGCCAGAGTAGGGTTTTCTACAGTCATGCCCAGAGCAGGGACACCACGGCAGGTCTGACAATGGAGCCCAAGTTCCTTGTGGCTCATAAATGGGTTGCTTAGAAGTGGCTGGATATGGAGGATGGAGCTGAGCATTTGGATTAGGGGCAGACTATGATTAGGTTTTTTAAAAATATAATGACCATTGCCTTTGATGACATAATTGGTGTAATCTAATTTTACTGTGTGAGATCAAAAAGTTAAACCAGAAAAATTATACTCCTCAGTTTATGACATAGCTGTGAATGAATTATTGATTAATGATAATATTGTTCATTTTCAAAGAATTAGAACGCCAAGAACTATACTTAAGCCAAAAGTTATGTTGGACATAAGTAAATCTTTTTTTCCCCTTCAAATTTGATTGTTGCCAGAACTTTAAATTTTATAGTGATTCAAACAATTTAAACACAGTCTATTAGATGCTGTTAACATCAACAAATTAAAGAGTTGTGATGATATTAATACTTTTACTTGTGCTGTAACTACCCTTTATTATAATTCATATGTACTAAAGTTATTTTACAAATATCTAACATAAGGGTGCTTATATTTCTTAAATATTAAGCATCATATCCATGAGTGAGGCCTAGCAAATACATAGCTAAAACTTTCAGCCAAGGTAGAAAGTTGCAAATAAAGAGCTATATTACCTTCAGATAAATGCAAGATTTTTTCTTTTATTTTTTTCCACCATTTTCAACGTTTCTTCTAGTAATTCTAATTTCTATCTGAAAGTATTCATCATAGAACATAACACAAATTTGCAATAATTCTACCAAATTTGCTAAGAAATCCTGTGACTGCCAGTGTTACAATTGGGAAATCAAATGGAAAGAAAAGATAAAAAAGAAGTATGTAAAGAAGGAAATGGAGAAAAAGAAGAAAGGAGAATAAGAAGGATTAGAAAATTGAGGGATAAATGAATTCTATGCACTGGATAAACTGTTGGTGATAAGGTGATAACTATTTGCCCCTTAATGAATAGTCACTGGAGATGTATACCTCTAATATACATGTATGTTTTACAGACATGCAGAATATTAAAGCCCAGGGTACACATTTTGCTATAGAACTTCTATTTTCTGAGGATTGTGGATAATAAAAAATTAAAATTTGGCTGCATTTTGATAAGTACAATTTTTAAAAGTGTTTTTATAACCCAAAATATGAAAACCAAGCCAAAATCCTTATTGCTATCTTGAACTTTGGAACCAAATTATGAACATGATTGTGAGTTCTAAACTCTTGTTGCAACTAATCAAACATTGATTTTTCAGGCTCCTCTCTTGTTAATTTCAGGTAACTATGATAATAGAATACCACTATACTACACCAGTAAGCTCTCATTTCACATGCCCCAAAGATTAAAATAGAAAGAAAGAAAAAATGTTCCCATGGCAACTGTAACTCAAAATGTTGTTTTAAATCTTTATTCTCCTTGGTTTCTTGTAAGTAGAACTCATTTATTTTGCTAGAGAAAATTTAATGTAGAGGAGATACATTGGGTGTGGCAGGAAAAAGTCACTTTTCTCAGCAAAAGACATCTTAATCTCAGTGCATATTCTAGAATTAGCAAGGATATTATAAGGCAGGCAGTTGCACCATCTCATAAAAATAAAATAAAACACCGTTCAGTTGGTCAGTAGAGATTCATAATCTTCAGTGTTAGATGAAACATCCGGCTGCCTCAGAAAAAACAGTTTTGTTAAATCGCCCAGATATCGTAACACTGTGTAGATAAAGTCTTGGTTCTATAAAGGTTAAATTAGACAATATCAGGTTTTTCTGCTAAGTCGACGAATATGACTCAAATGACTGGCTGAAACACTAAATATTCAGGTAAAACAAGTATGATTTGGCCTTTAAAATACATAAAAATGTTAAATTGTTGAGGTCCATTTGTTTCCAATTGGTTGGTAGATATTATGTAAAAACTTAAAACCATGCCTAGAGAAAAAAAATGCCGTATAGAATAACGTGGTTAGTTTTCTGTCCTAATAATAACTTTGTACAATTATAGAGTTCTCTACATTTTTCAAATGTTTCTATTTGTATTTTCTTATTTAATTGTCCAAACAATTTTTTTAGCAATAGAAATGAATTATTATTTCAAATTTAGAGATTAAGAAATTGAGTCTTGGCTGGGCACGGTGGCTCACGCCTGTAATCCCAGAACTTTGTGAGGCCAAGGTGGGTGGATCACCTGAGGTCTGTAGTTCGAGACCAGCCTGGCCAACATGGTGAAACCCCATCTCTACTAAAAGTACAAAAATTAGCCAGGTATGGTGGCGGGTGCCTGTAATCCCAGCTACTCCAGAGGTTGAGACAGGAGCATCTCTTGAACCAGGGGGGCAGAGATTGCAGTAAGCCGAGATCACGCCATTGCACTCCAGCCTGGGCAACAAGAACGAAACTCTATCTCAAAAAAAAAAAAAAAAAAAAAAAAAGAGATGGAGTCTTGGGTTAATTGACTAGCCTCCAGCGGTGGATCATTAGGATAATATCCCCCACATTGTTTTCACTTCCCACTGTCTATATCTATTCCTTTTAAGTAGTCAGTCTTTCCCTGCACCCCCACCACTGTTGAGCTTAGTCGTATGATTGTTTCTGGCCAATGGGATAATAGCAAATGAGGTGCAAACACAGGCCTGACGAGTGCTTGCGCATTGCGCATGCCATTTCTTTCTGACAGGAATCATTCCGCCACAAGCGAACGAGCCTGGGCTGGCCTTGTGGAAGCCTAGCCGAGGCCTCAGAATATGGATGAGATCATCTGAGACCATCCACCCCAGGAAGCCAGCAAAGTGGCTAGAACCCGCCATACCACCGCAGAATCACGATTGCTGTTCTGAGTCACTACATTTCAGGTGACTTGTTGAGCAGCAAACGAGCTGACGAACCTAAAGTCAGAAGATGCTAGCGGAAGAAACAGGACCCAGAACTCCATTGGAAAATGGGTGAGTATTTTACCCAGAAGGTGGACAGAAATAATCTACAGGATTATAAAAATGGAAAAGGGAGAAATCAAATCCTTTTTATAGTGAGTATCAAAGGCTTTAATTTTAGTTTATTTTTACAAAATTCTTTTATCTTTTAGTTAAAATAGATGTTATCTCCAGACACATTTTTCTGCTTCTATATTTGTCCTGTAGTCTCTTGCATCATAGTATGTGACTTTTATGTGGTTAAATTTTCTAGGAAAGATGTAAGATAAAACAGTTCAGGTTCATTTATTATGTTGACATATTTATAATTCATGGCATATGTATTTTACCTTATTCAGGTCTATAGAGTTTAATAAAATGACCAAGGAAATATAAAGTAACATTTTTTATTTTTGAGCTTCCTTCTATAGTGGTTTTGTGATCTCAAATCAGTAGTTCAGAATTGCTTTAAAATACAACAGGTTATTTTTTGTTTTTGCTGTTTACATGATATCAGGATGTTGTACTAAATATCCCAATGGGAAAAAAAAATCATTTTTCAGTGTTTGTCATCTTAGTAGTTGCCTTGGTGAATTTCCTTCAATTCTTCATCAAGTTTTCTACTGGTTTTGTACTGAGATTGATCACTTTCAGGAACAAAATAATGTTTTTAAATTAAGATTTAATTTGCAGGGGTCTGGGGAAGAGGGTAAAACAATGGCTTTTCAGAGGAGGCTGGCAGTCACTTTAAAGTCCAGAGCTGTAGCATGGCTTCATAATACCCCACTTAAAAAAAATATATCTCACAGTAAAGTAAATATTTTGACAAGGATCTAGACATCAGTTGGAGCTTATCCAGTATTAAACAGAAACACGTGCTTTGTTCAAGGCATTTGCAGAAAACAAAACCATCTTGCTTTCTTATATTTATTTATTTATTTTTCAAGTTCAATCTTCTATTTATGTCAGGTCATGGCAAAAGGAGGCCAGGGAGTTGGAAACAAAGGCAGATTTTTTTCATTTCATCTAAAAGCTGAAACAGTCTCTCATCCTCCTCTTCCCCAAATGCCTTTATCCATTACCTCAAAGCCTAGGCTCTCACCCTACCCAGACTTACCCCTCCATCTGTGAATATATAGACATGCTTTGGTCCAGGGGTAATTGTAAGTGCCAATAAAAAGGAAGCTGAACACACACCCCTCCCTTTGAAGAAAATGCTGGGAATCCACTTTCTTTTTGGTTTTATTTTCCACCTTATCTGAGCTGTACCTGCTGGTACTGCTGTTCCTTGTGATATGAGAGCTTCCCATTCTGGAAATGGGGAGAACGTTTTCTCTTCTAAACTAAAAGTTTAAAACGTTATTAATATCTCATACAACAGTGCCAGGAGAGAGTGTACCTGCTTCCTCTGGACCATACAAGCCCCCAAATTTGAGGCACTACCCTATATTAAGTGGCACAGACAACAGCTATGCAAAACCAAATAGCCAAGTGACTTCTATCCAGTAGGATAAACAAACACCAAAAAAAGGAAATGCACCTCCAACCCACAATATTTTTGTTTGTTTTTATAGGGATGATGTAACTGGTTAAAGTTTTCACTTTTCAACTTGTTACAATGATGTGACTTTGATGACTTTTTTAGCTCCACTCAGAATAAAATATTGGGGTAATTTTAGAGTTGTAGGGACGATGAAGCACTGACAATGTTTTGGTTAAGTTTTTAAAAATATTTTTTATTTTCAAATGGTAAAATTATCTGTGTCAGGTAGTTTTACATGTTAAACTTCAAATTACCCATTTACAAAATGTAAAGGTAGTAAAATGGGAAAACACCCATTTTTAATATTTCCATAAAATCACAATTGTAACTGATGTTTCCATGGTCACCCATCTGAGGAGGGGGAGGACAATATGGTCATAAAAGTGACTAGATCCAAATGGTAATTCCATGGCTCATGCTCACCAATTGACTTTCTGAAAGGAGCTTGAGATCTCGTTACTTCTTTCGAGAATTTCTTTCTCAGACGTAGGCAGAAGAAAGGGAACTCACAAACATTTTCCCATTAAGATCACCTTTTGGGACTGGACACGGTGGCTCAAGCCTGTAATCCTTGCATTTTGGGAGGCTGAGGCGGGTGGATCACTTGAGGTCAGGGGTTCGAGACCAGCCTGGCCAAAATGGCGAAACCCTATCTCTACTGAAAATACAAAAACTAGCCGGGCAAGATGGCATCCTGTGATTCCAGCTACTCGGGAGGCTGAGGCAGGAGAATCGCTTGAATCGGGAGGCGGAGGTTGCAGTGAGCTGAGATCGTGCCACTGCACTCCAGCCTGGGTGACAAAAACAAACAAACAAACAAACAAAAAAAGTACACCTTTTGGTGATTAGGACTGGCTGATGCTGCTCACTGACTGGAGTCTATTTTGTAGCCTTGTCATTTTCTCTTACCATTACCAACATCATGTTTTGGATACCACTAGCAGCAGTGGGGATCTTGCCCTGCCATTCTCAGAAGGGTTGTGTGCTGAGCCACTCCTCCATGGTGCTACCTGAAGTTAGACCACATCACTTTCCCTGCCCAAGGTTGGTGGGGGGCCTGTTTCTCACAGCACCACTAGGTCCACATCTTACCAGTCATCATTCATTATAAAAATTAAAATTCCACTCTCTCTCTCTCCTTCACTTGGACTTCAGATTAAATTCTCCATATCTTCCATTCTATTTTCAGGACTCCTATCCCAGTTTATTTATTAATTATTATCGGTCCATTGGTTCATGGCAGCTTTTCTAAAATTTAAGAAGTTGGTTTAAGAAATTGGATCAGTCAGACTAGTTGTTACCAAACTAAGTATCCTGGGGTACATGAAGATTCCCAGGGAACATGCTCGCATGGAGAGCTTTAAGGGAACAATTTTCAGACTCTGAACATTCTATGTGTTTTCTGTTGTAACTTTTTCTTTCTGAGAAGACGTTTGTGTTTGAAGACCCAAGCAGGTCTGCTTTCTTACCTCCCCTTTCAGAATTGCCCTTATCTTGTTTATAAAGAAAGGCATGTCTTTCACTAATTCAGAACCTTATTATTGTTTGGTGCCCCAGGGTATACAGACTTCGAGGATGCCAGACAAAAAGATCATTTGAAATATTGTTGTCACTAAGCCTTCTTTGATCAAGACACCATGAGCTCATGGTAAGTCTTCATGTTGTTCTGCCTTATATTTATTTTTAAGTGAGAAGAGTTGTATGTTGCAACATTCTGAGGTCACGTGTACCATGGAACAGGACAGCAGGACTAGACAATTTTCACTCAACAATCTTGCCTTCTTTGGCTATGCATATGCCTGTGGACATCTATTTCAAATGGAAGAGGCTGTGTGCCTATGAACATGGACTCTGGACTCATATAGCCCTTGTATATAATCCATCTTCATTACTCACTAGCTCTGTAACCATAGGCAAGCCTCAGTTCCTCATCCATAAAATGCCATTAAAAATAATGCCTACCTCATAGTGCTGCAATGAGGATTAATAGAGACAATGCTGGAAATGCATTTCAGAGAAGAACCAGAACAAAACAAATGCTTGCTTAACAAATGCTCATCTCATATATAACCATGCTATAGATTTCCTTATCATAAAGTTACAACAGGAGAACATCCTCAGGCAAAACCAACTGTCCAGCTGAGTTGTAAAGACTATTTAATCTTGCCCAAAGAAAGTCTGGCTTTTGCCCTTGTCTCATGGGAGGTAATCTCTAAATCCTTGGGATATCCTATCTGATAAATGTATCTCTGTCACATGCAGGCTTTGGGCCAACTGGATAATAACAATGTGATTTAGAATAGGGGTTTTGGTTATGCAATATCTGCTGGACTTCTGGAAGGGCTGGAGACTGAAATCAGCCATGTGGGCAGTCAGTCATGCCTGTGTAAGAGAGTCTCAATAAAATCTCTGGACACCAAGGCTTGGATGAACTCCCTTGTTTGGAAATGCTCTGTGCATATTGTCACGCGTTGATGCTGGGAAAGTAACACTATTCATAATTCCATGGGGAGAGGGCAACTAGAAGCTCCATGTTTTGTGATTTCCAGGACTGTGTCCTATATGCCTTTTCCCTTGGCTGATTTTAATCTGTATTCTTTAGCTGTAATAAGCTGCAACCATGAGCATAACAGCCTTCAGAGAGTTCCATGAATCGTTCTAGCTAATTATCAAATCCAAGAGTCATTGTGGAGGCCCCTGAATTTGCATTTGATTGTCAGAAGTGAGTGCAGTTTTGTGGACTGTTCTTTCTAAACTTTGCATCAACAAAACATCTTTTTCCTTGCATCCATAGGGGTTGATGTTTTTCCGTTGGCCAACTTGAGTTTTGTGATAATTTGTCCAGGAACTCAACAATTAACTCTATCTTTCCTAGTAATAGCACACATGGAGGAGAATTGCTTCTCCTGACTGACAATCAAGGAAGAACCTGGAAATGCTCAGTGGTAAATGTTCCTCATGCAGCTGGCAGAGTACCTTGGCTTCCAGTCATCCCCACAGGGCACTCAACAAGGATGAAGAACTGAGTTACCCTTGACAAGTCAGTGTCCACACTGGCATGATTAAGTGGGAAAAAGTTTGTCACTTTCTCTATCCCTTCCATACTAGTGAAGGTGGTGCAGGAAGCATAGATATCCCATTCCAAATTGAGTGATGCGTGGATGGTAGTGTATTCCACTTAGCTTCAAAGTTCCTTTCTAAAATCTTGGACATGCTTTTTATGTCTTTAGACACTCACTTTACTCCACCTGCTTGCATTTAGTAGGCACTGTAAGTTGGGAGTTGTGATGGTTAACTTACGCATCCACTTGCACTTGGCTAGTCAGTGGTGTGTAGTTGTCAAACACCAGTCTAGATGTTGTAGTGAAAGTATTTTTCTTAAGATTTGCTTAACTTTTAAATCAGTAGACTTTAGGCCGGGCATGGTGGCTCATGCCTATTATTTCAGCACTTTGTGAAGCCAAGGAAGGTGAATTACTTGAACCCAGGAGTTTGGCACCAGCCTGGGCAACATGGCAAAACCCCGTCTCTGCAAAAAAAAAAAAAAAAAAAAAAAAAGCAAAATATTCACTTGTTGTGGTGGCGTGCACGTGTAGTCCCAACTACCCAGGAGGCTGAGGTGGGAAAATCACCTGAGCCCAGGAGGTCAAGGCTGCAGTGTGCCATGATTGCACTACTGCACTCTAGTCTGGGCCACAAGGTGAGACCCTGTCTCAAAATAAAAGAAAAAAAATTAATAAATCAGAAGACTTTAAGTAATGTGGGTGGATCTCATTCAGTTAATTGAAGGCCTTAAGAGCAAATACTGAGGTTTCCCAAAGTAAATGCAACTCGGCCTCAAGAGTATGACATATAAACCTGCCTGAATTTCTAGCTTTCAGATTTTGACTAAAGACTAAAACATCAACTTTTTCCTGAATTTCCAGTCAGATGGCCTGTTCTACAAATTTCATACTTGCCACACCCTATAATCACGTGAGCCAATTTCTTAAAATAAATCTCTCTCCCTGCTCTGTCCCTCTCTGTACACTCTATTGGTCCTGTTTCTCTGGAGAACTCCAAAACAGGGGTTGAGGTACTTGAGCATTATCTCAAGCTTATCATTGAATATGAGCTTGACCTAGCCTACTGGAATAAAGGAAACAATAAAAACAGAATGGCTTTGTGGGGACAATGTATAGAATGCTTTTCCATTTTTCTCAAAGTCTTCTATTTGTATCATTTTGCTTGTGCAAAGATAATTTGCCAGGAATATATTGGTCCCAGTGTGTCTGGAATTGGTGGGTTCTTGGTCTCACTGACTTCAAGAATGAAGCCGCGAACCCTCGCGGTGAGTGTTAACAGTTCTTAAAGGTGGCGTGTCTGGAGTTTGTTCCTTCTGATGTTCGGATATGTTCGCAGTTTCTTCCTTCTGGTGGGTTCGTGGTCTTGCTGGCTCAGGATTGAAGCTGCAGAGCTTCACAGTGAGTGTTACAGCTCTTAAGGCAGCGCATCTGGAGTTGTTCGTTCCTCCTGGTGGGTTCGTGGTCTCACTGGCTTCAGGAGTAAAGCTGCAGACCTTCACAGTGAGTGTTACAGCTCATAAAGGCAGTGTGGACCCAAAGAGTGAGAAGCAGCAAGATTTATTGCAAAGAGCAAAACAACAAAGCTTCCACACTGTGGAAGGGGACCCGAGCGGATTGCCACTGCTGGCTCCGGCAGCCTGCTTTTTATTCCCTTATTTGGCCCCATCCACATCCTGCTTATTGGTCCATTTTACAGAGAGCTGATTGGTCTGTTTTACAGAGAGCTGATTGGTCTGTTTTGACAGGGTGCTGATTGGTGTGTTTACAATCCCTGAGCTAGACACAAAAGTTCTCCAAGTCCCCACTAGATTAGCTAGATACAGAGTGCTGATTGGTGTATTTATGAACCCTGAGCTAGACACAGAGTGCTGATTGGTGCATTTACAAACCTTGAGCTAGATACAGAGTGCTGATTGGTATATTCACAATCCCTTAGCTAGACATAAAGGTTCTCTAAGTCCCCACCGGATCAGCTAGACACAGAGCACTGATTGGTGCATTTACAAACCTTGAGCCAGACACAGAGTGCTGATTGGTGTATTCACAATACCTTAGCTAGACATATCCTCCAAGTCCCTACCAGATTAGCTAGATACAGAGTGCAAATTGGTGCATCCACAAACCCTGAGCTAGACACAGGGTGCTGATTGGTGTGTTTACAAACCTTGAGCTAGATACAGAGTGCTGATTGGTGTATTTACAATACCTTAGCTAGACATAAAGGTTCTCCAAGTTCCCACTAGCCTCAGGAGCCCAGTTGGCTTCACCCAGTGGATCCTGCACCAGGGCCGCAGGTGGAGCTGCCTCCCAGTCCCATGCAGTGTGCCCACACTCCTCAGCCCTTGGGCGGTTGATGGGACCAGGGCGTGGAGCAGGGGGTGGGGCTGGTGGGGGAGGCTTGGGCCACCTAGGAGCAGGGGTGGGGGGTGGTGGGGGGTGGTGTGCTTAGGCATGGCGGGCTGCAGGTCCTGAGCTCTGCCCCGCCGGGAGGCATCTGAGGCCCTGTGAGAATTCGAGTGCAGTGCTGGCAGGCTGGCACTGCTGGGGGACCCGGTGCACCCTCCGCAACTGCTGGCCTGGGTGCTAAGCCCCTCACTGCCAGGGGCTGGCGGGGCCACCGACCGGCTGCTCCGAGTGCTTGCCTGCTGAGCCCACACCCACCTGGAACTCGCGCCGGCCCTCAAGCGCCGTGCACTGCCCTGGTTTCCGCCCGTGCCTCTCCCTCCACACCTCCCTGAAAGCTGAGGGAGCCGGCGGCCTCGGCCAGCCCAGAAAGGGGCTCCCACAGTGCAGCGGTTGGCTGAAGGGCTCCTCAGGTGCGGCCAGAGTGGGTGCCGAGGCCGAGGTGGTGCCGAGAGTGAGCGAGAGCTGCGAGGGCTGGCAGCACGCTGTCACCTCTCACCAGTATATTCCCAATAGATTGTTTCCCAGTCTTCTGGAAAGGACATATTCTGCTAATAGTATCCACAGAACAATGACAACTCAGAAAATCTAGTGGAAACTTCTAGCCTAAACCTAAGGACAACAATGGCAAACCTCTATGAATTGCTGATCATCTTCCATGGGATAAACACTACTGATACATTATCTCATTGAATCCCCATCACAACAATGCCCAGTAGTCATCATGTCTCCTGTTTTAAAAATGGAGAAAGTGAGGCTCAGGAATCTTAAGAAATTGTGACAGGTATGAAGACAGTACAAACAGAAGCAGGATTGACAGTCAGGATCTCTGATTCCAAAGTTCCTTATGTTTTGTTGCATCTGTTAAAAGATTCTTTCTAGTCAGGGCTTCCTGGAGGGAAGAGTTATTAGGTCAACCTGATATAGGAAGCACAGATGGTAAAATGGGACCACTACCTGAAGGAGGCTTTATCTTGGCAAGGAAAATGAGATTGTCATGCAAGAGATAAACAGCACAGGCCAACAGGGCATACGTTGCCACCAGAAGTCTGGGTTGCCATGTCTAGGGAGTCATATATGTAAGTCATGAATTGTGGATATCAACTTGTAAGAAGTAGACAAGAGACAGAGACTCAGAGATGGAGCAACTAGAGGGGCAGCTGGAGCAGCTCAGGCCAGAGGCTGAGTTCCAGGCTGCATTCTAATTTAACTGCTCTTTGACTTGGAACAGTTATTTCCACTTCTCTAGGCCTAAACTTTCTCACCTATGAAAGGAAACTGGATTAGAAATGATTTACTTGTGTAGGTCTCTATTTAAAACATAGTCCCCAGCAGAGCATCTGGTGGCTTTCTCAAGCAGAAATGTATTTGTTGTGCAGTTTCCCCATTTGAGTCACTTATATTTCTCATTATCTACTCTTTCTCACAATGTATTTGTCTAGATCAGTTTTAGAAAAAAATAATCTTGGGTAGGAATAATAACTACTGCTATGAAGCACTATTTTAGCTTATTTGGTCTTCTATTTAAAAGCCTGTGTTGTGGTCAGCATACTCTAGGGGAAGAAATTATTTCAGAATGTCAGCACATCACCTTGAAAAAGTTTACCTCTTTAAAAATGTGTCTTGAAGTGTACAGAAGAGGCATAATTTGCATACTTTTGTTTCCTGAAACAGTGTTTTTCCAAATAACTCATCTGTTAAGTCCCTATTTGCCTGCAGCAATATAGAATGCATACTCTCTTTGACAGAGAAAATTAATAGTGCATTAGGGAACTTTCATTTCTGGAATAGCAGTTCAGATTTAGTCTAGTCATCTAATCCAAGATATTAGTATCATTTTGGGAGCATGATCCTTGGGAGAGTAAAATTCCATATAAATGGCCATCGGTGTCAATTCTGTGTTTCAATTTGACAATCACTCATTTAATATATGCTATGAGCAAGGACCAAAGCCAGGTGAGATGTATAAATAAAAACAACTTCTTTGAGATTCAATTTCTTCACCTCTTGTAAAGTAACACAATTATTTCACTGAAATGGTAATGATTATGGTATATACCTCAAATAAGAATTAAATGAGATGGTGGATATAAAATGCCTGGCACAGCTCCTGGCATGGTGGAGATACTAAAAAAAATAGTAACTTCAATACAAAAAGTGTAGCCCTTGTTGCCCTGAAATAATTGAATTCAAGTAATGGGAATCTAATAAGAGATCCCAAACAATAAGCTATAATGTAAGATAGAATACAATCAGTTTTTATTTCATAAAAAAATGGAAAGAACAAAATTGAGAAGCATAGAGAAAAAGGCAGATAGTATTTTTGTCTAAAGAAATTAGGTGAAAATTCATTAATAAAGTGACATTTTTTGGACCTTACAAGAGAAATTAGGTTTTAATATGCATTGTAAGGGTATTTGGTTTTTAGACTTCTTAAAACAGCAGCCATGATCAGGACAATATAACTAAGAAGTAAAACTTCCATGGTAAAGATTGTAATCCTACAATTAAAAGTAGTTTCAAGTGGCAGGTTTCAGAGCCCTGTCTCTAGTTTTGTCCTAATCAGCCCTTTTGTCAGTGACTTGATTATCACCTTATCAGATGATATGAAAGTGGGAGATAATTTAAATCCAATGAGTGGGCTCAATCTAATAGGATGGTGTTTAAAAGCAATAAATACATTTATAGTTCTGTACTTAGGTCCACATAATTAGGCATGAGAGTTTAGGTTACAAAGAAACCCAATGGTTTTAGGCAATTGTAACTCCATGCATGACATAGCATCCAAAATTTCATGGAGACTTTTTTCTCTTCGTTAATAAAACGATCTCACTGAATAAATATCCAATTAGGTCCTTCTGTATGCAAAGAACATATAGCAGTACAGAGTATGCATACACGTGGATTTTATAATTTTGAAACTAAAATTTCAGTAGAATGAAGAGAAGTGAAACAAATTTCACAGTTAAATGTTGCACGACAATTGTGACAAGTGTTGAGAGGGAGAAGTGCAGGGTGTCATCCATGCACATGAGATGGGGACGGAGACCTGAACTCTCGTCAGAATCAGGGAAGGCTTCCTTGGGAAGTGATTTTTACTGAGATCTGAAAGATGAGTATGAATTAGCCAGGTAAAAAGCAGCAAGAGGGTCCCTCAGGGAGAGGAAATAGCATATTTAAAGGCCATTGAACTGTCCCACAGGGTCTCATACGTATTCCTTCTGCTTCTGATGGTTTGATGCAGATGTATATGGGGGCCTTGGAAGATATGTATTGATGGATGTACAAATTATTACTACCAATTTGGAAAATAATCGGCACTAGCTTCAAAGTTAAAACATTGTCTTACTCCATAGCCAAAAATGAGAAGATAGAGTGAGAAGAGAAGACGTGCCAGGTTTGAGCCTTAAAGGCATTTAGTTAAGTTGGTAAGACTTGTGAGAGCCAGATAACTTATAGACGGTGGATGTGGTCAGTGTTATAAAAGAGATAAGATAAGGCTTTGTAAAGCATAGAAAATATTTTTATTTTATTTTATTTATCAAGATGATGTTTCAGTTGTCTTTACTAAAAGATCTAATTTTGTTGGGCAGAATTAGGGTGATCTCAATATAAAAAGACTGGTTAGAAGAGAATAAGACAGTAAAGATGATTTAACGGAATTAACCAGAGAGGTGAGTGGGAAATCAGGAATGTGTAGGATGATGAGAATTAAGAGAAAAAAGCATTACAAAGAGAGAAGGGTCACAATCTGGAATGATTTGACAGTGCTGAAATCAGATGAGGACTGAACTATATCCACTGTATCCATTGAACTGGAAGTTATTGGTGAACTTAGCATGAGTAGATTGAGCTGTAAACATGAAGTGAGCAAGTGGAAGTGGCAGGTAGTGGGAGGCAGCAAATAGAAAACTCAAAATTGTGGGACTCGAAGGGCGGGATCCTTGCTCTGTTGATTTTTGTGTTTTGGGAAGGAAATGTAGTGCTATAGTCATGTAGTACTCATACAAAAATTAATTTCAGTTGGTGGATGAATGAATATTTGGAAAAAGGTTAATTATATTAGAAATAGGACAAGACTTTGGGGAAAAAGTGTTGAGAGTATACTCTGGCTCTAGCAAATTACTAACTTTGTGACCTTGGGCAAGTCATTTAACCACTCTGAGCCCTAGTTTCCTCATTTATAAAATGAGTGTAATGGTAAGTGACCTAATTTCCCAAGACAGTTGGTGAGAGTGTGAAATAGGAAACTTTACATGGATGTGCTTTATAGACTGTGGTGTGCTTATCAAATAGACACTCGTATTTTCATATTGAAGGATTACAAGCTATGTCAGAGACTGATGAGGTAGCCGGCTCATTTCCTCTTCTTGGACTATGTTTCCCTGTTGCACTTGCAGTGAGGTGGCCATGTAGTTGAGTTTGAGCCAGTGACATGTGACCAGAGGTGATATGTGATATGTGTCTTCCAGACTCAACCACTGAACCCTCCCACAAGGGCTCCTGTGTGCTGCCTCTGCTTCTGATGATTTGATGCAGATACATATGGGGGCCTTAGAAGATACATACTGATGTATATTCAAATTCTTACTACCAATTTGGAAAATAATTTGGTACCAGCTTCAAAATTAAAATATTATCATACTCTAGAGTCCTACTGTTCTACTCATAGGTATATTTATTTCAATGAACCTTGCCAATGTGCATTAGAAGACATCTGTGAGTTTATTGATTATAATAACCCCAAACTGAAAACAGTACAAATGCCTATCAATAGGAAAGCCAAATGTCCATTAACAGAAGACTGGAGAAAATAATTTATATTCACAAAAAGATTATGTAATAATAAAAGCCAGTTACTATAACTACATGCAACTACATAGATGAAAGAAAAATAATGGTAGATGAAAGAAACATAATGGTAAGTGAAGAAAACAAGTCACAAAAGAAAGTATATCTTGTGATACAATTTTTTAAAACTAAAAAAAGAGAGATGGAATGGCAAAACAAAGCAACATATTTTTTCAGGGCTGCAAACATTGTGATTTTTTTTTAAAGAGGAAGGGAATTGTATAAATAATCTATTATTAAAATAATACTGCAAACCACCACCCCAAAACTCAGGAGCTTACAGAAAGTAACGTGTATTATATTATCGATCTGGCTTCCAAGTCAGCTGTGTCTGTCTGATCTTGCCAGTGCTTGGCTGATCTTGGCTGGGCTCTCTGTAGCTTCCGTGAAGCTACAGGCTGGCTGGGTGGTTCTGCTAATCTTGGCTGACACATGCTTATGGCTTGGCTGTTGGCTGATTAAGGATGGCCATGATTTAGGGTGACACAACTCTGCTCCACGTATCTGTCACCATCCAGCTGTCTAACCTGGCCAAGTTCTCAGGTCAGGGCCCAGAGGGAAAGAACAAATAAGGCTGATTCTGCCAGGGGGCACACAAGAACATGCGTGTGCTTTCCAAAGCTCTACTTGCATCTGATTTGCTTACAGCCCACTGGCAAAATCAAGTCACCCTATCAAGCCTGGAATCAGGGGGAGGGGTCCCCATAATGGTATAGAGCAAAGGACATTTGGGAGGCCAATAATTAGGGCTATTAATGCTATCAATCCACTGTGGGAATATATGATCATGACAACCCTTATCAGGGAGGCAGGGGGTGAACTAGAGAAGAACACACAGTTACTGGCAGGTTGTTGGTAATATTTTAATATTTTAATTCTTAAGCAAGGCAGAAGTTAGAGGTTTCACTTTGCAAATTATACTGTATAACTTACATACACATTACATATATTTTTGTATAAGCACAAAATCCTATATGTTTTTTAATTGGACAAAAAAAATTCCAAAACAAAGCAACAACCTTTCAAATGTAAGGAAAACAAAGAAAAGCTGAAGGGCTAATTTGGGAAGTCCAGTGGCAAATTGGGCCTTTGGATTCCATTTCCAGGTTCTGCAAAATAGGATATTAATTGTCTCCTTTTAATAGAAGATTGTGACTTTGACAAAGAAATCACTTATTAAAAGAAGTTGAAGGGCAGGTTTGCCAACTAGGGAGAATGATTCTCTCTTCTAGAGACCTCAGATCAAATTTCAACAATGTAGAAAAGCCACGTTTATTCTGCTCTACTTTCCTGTCTTTTATTGTTTGTTTTATTCCTGGAACAAAGACCACAGCTTGTCTTCGAAAGACTTCCATGTGAGTTTGAAAGGGTGTAGAATTTGGAACATGCTCTAGCTCAGATAAAACTCCTGATTTTTTTTTTTTTTTTTTTCAAAGCGCTCCTCAATCAGACCCAGATCTCAGACCTCCGGGGTTTGATTCATTCATCTCTAGCTAAGACTATGTTTTCTAGCCTCTCTCCAGAAGACTGGGAGATTCACTTTAAAAAGACGCTGCTGCTGCTGCTTTTTTTTCATCACAAAAGAATTAATGTTTTCACAGCCCTTTGAAGACGTGGTGTCACGCATGTGCTGTTATTAATAATAAAATACAGATCTGTTTCACACCATCTGAAAAACAGGGTTTTGCCACCATGAAAGAGCTTTTATTTCTACCAGGTCTTCATGATGCGTAGCCCAGATCCAGCTCAGCCTCAGACTGGGGAACCATGTCCCAGAAAATGGGTAAAGAGAGGAAACAGCTGGAGAGAAACAAAACAATGCACAACACCCAATACGTTAAAAAATAAAAATTCAAAGGAGGCTTTAATCACCATTGGAGATCATTTCCCCTGACTGCAAGCATTTTAGATAGAACTGGATTCAGCACCTGCTAAAGATGGGGCCTGGTGAGTGGATCCTGGATTCTTTATGGATTCTGAAGAAGGTAAACATCCCCAGGTTCATGAGCCTGTTCAGACAGGAAAGACAGTACTGATTGCAATCTGCTGTTAGTGTTTCCTTTTATATTTGTTCAGTGCTTTGAGTCATTCTTTCTCCTTTTCTTCTCTGAAACTACTAACATTGCTCCTCCAGTAGCCTTTTGCATTTACAAGCTACCTTGTCATGCCTTGGTTTTTGGGGAAGAGGAGATAGATGTAAAGTGAGGCTACTGTAAACAACAGTTCAATAGAGGCTTCAGAACAGGGTCCATTTAGGGAGGTGAGTGCAAACATTCCATGAAATAAAAAGAACCGCTTCTGTGAGCTCAACTCACAACAGGCACAGCCACTGGCAATAGCAGCCTGAGAAGGAGCAAATTTGAGAGCTGGGTCTGTTATTCTTATTTTTGTAAATCTTTGCACCTGTCTTTGGTGGCAAGATTCTCAACTCATTTCCCTTGTTTCTGTTCCTCCTCCTCCCTGCACTCCATGCCTCTCTGGGGTTCTGCTTGTTTTGGAACTAGTGATTCAAAATGGACTCCAACATTGTTTCTGAATCACAAAGCGTTTGCAGAAGAGGGAAGTATTTCTTGCTCCATTCCAAGCCCCAACACAGAAGGTGTTGTATGGAAAAGGGAGCTGAAGGGAGAAGAAAAAGAGGAGGAAAAAAAAAGAGGCAAAAGTAAAAAACTCAAGGAAATCAAGACCATGCTGTGCAAAATTGTTACAGCTGTTTCTGTTTTTATTGGCTGTTTCTTTTGGCTTCATTTTTCCAGCAACTGCAGTTCATGTGAGCAGGAAGGCATACAGCATGGCCGAGCTCCACGGTGGGCGGAGGGGAGGACAGAAAAGGGACTGAGAAAAGGATGGAAGGGGCTGGGTGTGGAGGTTATGAATTGTGGCACAGTGCTTAGAGGGGACACACATCAAAGCATTTCTTTTTTTGATAGTTTTGTGGAAGCCTTAGCAATAGAATTTAGAGGCATTTACTGGAAAGCTCCTAAAAGCATCCCATCTCCATGGCTGGATCAGATAGGTGGTCTGTTTAAGGCAGTATACTATCCTTGAAATGATGCTCTGATATCTGTGAGGAAATAATGTGTCAAGACACATCCCTTCCCCTTTCCCTCCTGGATAGTGATTCACCTAGACCAGTGCACAGGGCAGAACATACGGGAAGTGCATATTTTCCCTGGGGGACTCTATTTCTCATGGTTACAAATGGAATGAGTTATATGCCTGCTCAGTGACCCTATGAAGATATTGGCAGCTGGGATACAGCACCTCAGGGCTTGGAGCGAGTTGCTCACCCACCTTGATCCCCCTGCAAAGCAGCTGGAAGGTGAGCCAGAGACAGGCACATGAAAAAAGCTCACAATGAGTCTCTGTCTCTTTCTTAAAGCTTCCTATTAAATATGTGATTTAAATGACATTTTTAAGGTTTATAAGACTGCTTACATTGGAATTCTTGAATGTGATAGTATTTTTAACTGCACTGGCCCTAACACACACACACACGCGCACACACACACACACACACACACACGTTCGCACTGACTCTCACTCTTTTTTTTCTTTTTGAGACGGAGTCTCACTCTGTCACCCAGGCTGGAGTGCAGTGGCATGATCTCGGCTCACTGCAACCTCCACCTCCCGGGTTCAAGCAATTCTCTGCCTCAGCCTCCCGAGTAGCTAGGATTACAGGTACCCGCCACCAGGTAATAATTTTTTGTATTTATAGTAGAGACAGGGTGTCACCATTTTGGCCAGGCTGTTTTTGAACTCCTGACATCGTGATCCACCCGCCTTGGCCTCCCAAAGTGCTGGGATTACAGACTCTCACTCTTAATCAAATTAATTTTCCAAACTCTAAGGAAACATCTTTCTAAAAGTGAAAATTGTGTTCCAAATGAGGGCAAGTGGGTAAGAGAACTGGAAGTTAGAAGATAGAGCAAGAGGAAAAAGTATTTACTTATATTTGACTTGCAGTTATATCCGAAGGGAAAATACAATAAAAAGTTGATTAATAACAACAAAACCTCCCTATATCTGGTGATAAAACATTGTTTGCATGCTTTCACATTTTAAACAAAATTCCAGCTATGCTGTAGAATGAGAGGTGAGCCAGAATCCCAGTGCCCATGCATTGGTTCTGTTTTGGAGACTTGGTTTTACTCTGAACTGGGCTTCTGACTTACTTGGCTACTGGAGGGCAAATCATAACCAATATATCTCAGTGCTGTCATCCAAAAATGGAGGTGGACTTGGGAAGATGGACTAATTAAAGGTTGCAAAGCACTTTTGAGTCTATAAAGCCATATGTAATTGCAACCATTAAACCTAGTAATATAATGAAGTGTTGAAAGTTGTGTCTTCGTCATTTTGTTTTCTAAATTCAGTGAGAGACTCCTTCAAAGCCCATTCTGTTTACTTTCCCAAGGAAATTGTCTCAGTCCATTTTCTGTTGCTGTAACAGAACACCTAAGACTAGGTAATTTATAAAGTAAAGCGATTGATTGGCTCTAGAGGTTGGTAAGTCCAAGAATGAGGGGTTGCATCTGGTAAGGGCCTTCTTGCTGTGTCATAAAATGGCAGAAAGCATGACATGGTGAGAGAGAGCAAGAGTAGGCCAAATTCAGCTTTTATAGCAAGCTTCTGATAAGAATCCATTCATCCAGAGTCCTCATGACATAATCACCTCTTAAAGGTCCTACCTCTCAACACTGTTGCACTGGGGATTAACTTTCCAACACATTAACTGTGGAAAACACATTCAAACCATAACAGAAATTAATGAATGAAAAAACTGGTGATTTGGGCCAATGCGCTCTTGAACAGTTATGTATTTTGAGATATACCAAGCTTTTTTCTGCATTTCCTAATATTATTTTTATGTTCATTATGTTACTATTAAACATTTTTTCATTACGTTATTATTTTCTTATGTATTAATAGTAGTTAATAATACATTTACCAAGAATTAAATTTGTTTAAAATTTCGCAGTTGGGGCAGAGTTTACCAAATGTGGAGTGAGCCTATCTGTTGTGAAATAGAACTCACTAACCTCTTAACACAGGAAAATCAGTGATTTCATCAGATTAGAATTACATAGAGAAGCTATTCTCTGGGTGCAAAGATTGAAATTGCTTCTTGTGAAAGACACAGTTTCACAATTTCTTGTGAAATTGTTTCTTGTATCTAGTTTAAAACAGACACAAGAGAAACTTCATATGTAGTGCTGACACGTAAAGAGTTGGAGAATGAGTTGTCCCTTTGCGCCTCAACTTCTCCCTCAATGTCATGGTGGGCAAAATTATTTTGCCTTAGGCTTTAGCTGTAAAATGGGTTGCTAGCACTTGACCACAAATGGAATAATTACAATGAGGTTTGGAAGCCTACAGCATTTGTATTGAGGACATTTCCCCCTTGTGCATCTGTTAACTGTTATTACAGATTTGAGATACCATTAATCAGTAGCATCTTTAACAAATGTAGAGTAGATTTTTGCATACTGAGGTTCAGCCAGGCACCCCCATTAGCTGGCATACATTGGACCTCACTTGCAAAAACATGTTTCTGCTGTTATTCTTACAGAAGGCTGTATGTTCACACACATGCACAATTATGAGACTGAACACTCCCTTCTTCTTTGGATTGCTCTTTGATCTTTTGTAATTTTGCTGCTTGTGTCCATATGGAAATGTTAGCAACCAGCAGGCAATTCCTTTCTATTATGATTCCTCCTGATTCCTCCTCCATTGTCTTTCCCCTTGTTGTTTCTTGTTTGCATTGGGCTCCAGACTGATGCCAACATTTCAACGGGGTACACCTCATCAGTTTCAAAAGCTCAATTTGCTTTAAGTAGCCAGCAAAGCTTACCCTTATTTTTAAGTACCTGTTTATACCTGAGTTTCCCTGACATGCAATGACAACTTGGGCATCTCAAGAGAAACAGTTTTCTTGTGAGCCTGGAGACCTATGGGATTAGGCATGTAGGTCATAAATGCTGTCAGCATTAAGCTTGTTTTTAGTGCAGTGCTCTCTGGATTTCCATTTTGGTCTTTAATGACTAGGAGTACATATAATAACACACAGGCATGACCTCATCCAAAGACAATTTATTTAAAAATTGTCTTGGAATTAAAAATTCCAAACCCTAAAAAAGCTTAATTTGTGGGTGGTAGTTTATAACCATTTCTAAAATTTCTTCCTGTCTGTAGTACCCAGTAACTTTAGTCCTGGAAATCTCTCTTTTATTATAATGGAAAATACCAAAGATATGAGAGCACAGAAATATGTGCTTACTAAGGGAGCTTTCTTTCTCTTAGAACCTTCTGAAGCTCCTCCCTGGGAGAGATTAAATAATGTCCGCTCTTTCCCACTTCCCAATTCTATCTTCACACATCAAACAAATGAAAATCCTTCCAAAACTCATCTCCCTTCATGCCCACACTCAAATATGCTGTTTTATGTGGGTCGAACAAAGTCTTTTTCTGATTTTTCTCCCCATCTGTTCTTTGAATAAACATGCATCCTAAAGACAAGGAGGACTTAAAGGATCAAATTTGGTTCCTGTATTTGGAAATGCTATCAAAAGACCACACCGCACTTGGCCATTCGGTCAAATTAGATGCCGTTTGCTTCTAATAGCACTTAATTACTTCCCACATCACTTCTTCATCTGCATGACTTGGCTAGTATGAGGTTGGGAAAAGTTAAAAAAAAAAAAATCCCCAGTGTGTGAGCTGGTAGAACTGCTGCCTTTGGCTGTGTCTCCACCAGACCAATGCAACCAGTTCTTTTAGGTAAGCAAATTGGCTGTGCTGGGTGTCTGGAATTGTAGAAACCAAATAATCAGAGACGTAATCAGTTGGTTTTTAAATTTTTAACTTGTTGTTTGGTTGCCCTAGACAAACGCCTCAATTTCCTTCTTCTGTAAATAAATTAATACCTGGTGAGATGTAAAAGCCCACTTGAACGGAAAACAACATGTTTGATGAAATTCTGAGAGAAGATACAACCCAAGGTATGAAAAATTCAGAACAAATTATACTATCTTCAAGGCAGAATTTGGTTACCCTGATTAATTAGGGTTTTTTTTTCTTCAGATAAAAAGAGAGGGGAGAGTGGAGTAAAGAACTGCCTAACCTAATGTAAGTTTTCAGCTTTCAATAAATATTTCCAGCTTAAACCCTCTGAATAGATTGTGAGTATGTTTGTTCATCTGAATTGAATTTTGGTGGTATAATGTACAAAGACTTTTTCTTATCGCAGTTTAGTTCAAACCTGGGGTGGGCAAACTTTTTTTTTTTTTTTTTTTTGTAAAGAGCAAGATACTAAATGACTTAGGCTTAGGCTTTGCAGATCAAAAGCAAAATTGAGGATATTGTGTAGGGACTTCGTATGACAAGAAAGGTAACTCTTGCCCCTTCACCATCCTCTTTGTCCGATGGGCCCTTCTGGACCATGAGTGCACTTCATACACGGTCACTGTCAGCTGGAGGGAAACTTTCTCCAGACATTTGAGGGATTGGGGCCCAGTGGGCTGGCAGGACTGTGTGGGGATGGGGAAGGATGGGTGGTTACAGACACAGTAACAGAGGGGAATGGAGGTGGAGGGGGACACCCCAGATTGGTTTCTGTGTCCTCTGAAGCAGCACACATGAGCCATATGAAAATAGGCATTGGTCTGGATTTGGCCTGAGCTCCAGCTATCTGTTGTACATTTCCTCTTAGCTACTTGGCAGGCTCTTTAAAGAAAGACATTCCAAACTGAACTCATTATTACCTTCTTCCTTCTGTGCCCTATTTCTATAAATAACACCACTACTGATCCATTGCCCAAGTCAGAAGCTTTGTGTTCGTTTTCCACACCTTCTTTCCTTCATCTTCCTTTGTAGTCCCCCTTTTTTTCTTTTTTGCCATATAGCTACTGGGCTGGAAGCAACTAAAAGACAAGAATACATCTGGCTTATATTTATGTGATGAACTCTCTGTAGAGTGGCTGACACTGAGTAGGTTTTTAAAAAAATTGGTTGTGGAATTAATCTATCCATCACCAAGCCCAGTCAATTCCTCTTGATTATTTTATTCTCCCACTCAAAATTCTTCAATTGGTTTCCTTTGGATAGAGAGTAAATATAAAATAGTTACCAGGCTGCAAAACTCTTCCAGTTTTGACTTTGCTTATCCTAAAGAATAACCATAGAGAATCGCATTAAATATACTAACATCTCTCATCTGTTGTGTGTCTGTCAGGCCATGTTGTTTCCACTGCCTGGAGCATGCCTTCCCTCTGTTTTTATATGGTGACCCCCAACTCATCCTTCCTGATTTGACTTAGTTATCACATGCAGAAAGGCTTCCCAAGTACCAGCCTACTCGATAGGTGTCTGTTCTCAGAGCATCAGGACTCTACCTCTTTCAAAACATTTCATCAGTCTGGGCATGATGTCTCATGCCTGTAATCCCAGCACTTTGGGAGGCCAAGGCAGGTGGCTCACCTGAGGTCAGGAGTTCAAGACCAGCCTGACCAACATGGTGAAACCGTGTCTCTACTAAACATACAAAACTAGCCAGATGTGGTGGCGCACGCCTGTAATCCCAGCTACATGGGAGGCTGAGGCAGGAGAATCACTTGAACCTGCGAGGCAGAGATTGTAGTGAGCTGAGATCACACCATTGCACTCCAGCCTGGGCAACAAGAGTGAAACTTTATCTTAAACAAAACAAAACAAGACAATACTTCATCAGTGCTAAGATTAGTTGCTAAGTGTGTTTAGCTCTTACTAGATTATATACAGCTTGAAGGGAAGACTTTGTCTTTGTTTCTTTGCATCCTAGTTTGGCGCTTGGAATACAGCAGACAAGAAATGATCATCTGACTGAAATGAACAGGATGCATACCTCAGTGTAACTGAGAAACCGCAGAACATCATCCACATTCATGCAGACCTAAGAAGGCATTTCTAGGCTCCTCTGGGCCTTTCCCAAGCCTTCTATTTGTCTGGAGCCAGAGGGAACCAACTATGATCAAGCTGTATCAGGGTTTGTTTTGTGTGCTGAAAGTCACAAGGTTCCAAAGGGAAAGGATCTGGCAGGAGAGGAAAGAGGATAAAAATGGTTGGGGGGACCTCCTCTTTTAGCTTTGGAGCTCCCCCCCAGACTGTCTCTGTACTGGGGAGCTTCTTTCTTCTGTCTTCTCCCTTTCTCCTTGCCTATTAAACTCTCCGCTCCTTAAAACCACTCCATGTGTGTCCATGTCATATTATCTAAACCGGCATGAGGACCAAGAACCCTGGTGTTCCTCCACTCATCAGAGCCGTATCATTTTGGTGCATGGGGCGGGAAAGGAAATTCAATCATCAGACTGGTGAATATGGAGCAGATTTCAACTTTAAATCTGTCCTTTAATCTCAAGGCTCTCTTCTAGCTACCCTGTCACCAAACTTTCTCTTTCTATCTGTGGTCTCTTGCCTTCTCTCTGTGTGTCTTATGTGCAGGAATCTTTACAGTTCAGGGAAACAGTTCTGTTGGAAAAGATCGTGAATCATGGCAGGCAGTAACTCAATCAATGTCTCCCTCTCTACATTTTCTCTGGTGAGCACATGGTATTTCTAAGCTACCTAGTAGAAATCAGGCCCTAGGCCTCTTCTGGGAATGGGAAGTTTCTGCTTTTAACGGTTTGGAGTAAGATGCCTTCCAAAGCCAAGTTTGAGTCTTGATACTGTCCCACAGGCAGGAAAACAGCCATTCGGTTCTTATGTTCTGTTAAGGCATCGATTTTGTCTCCTATTAAGACAGTACTTAATTAGTAAGGGGATTTTGAGTCTGGAGGTTAACCGGAACCATTCTTCTATGGGTACATGCTTTAGCATGGGCCATAATAGCAGAATATAGAGTTCAACCTAGCACGCCCCCCTCCCTTAAAGGGGCCTTGCCCAATTACATGGTTTTTTTGAGATCCATTTTTTGGAAGGCACATAGGCCACACAAGTCTAGGAGATCGAAGGGAAATAAAAGGCAGAGAACTGATTGCTTGGGGACATGGTGACTAAGGCCCAAAACTCAGTTCCTCTGGTGCCATGGCTTGGAGCGTCATGCCTGCAGTCATGGGCAGCACATTTAAGCTGGTGCCGGGAATCCAGGAGCGACGGAGAGAAAATAGTTGGGAGGACACCCTCTACTGTTTTCATCTCCATCCTGGATCACATACTGAAAGGAAGGAGACTAAAAGGATGCTTTTATTCTCACTTCTCTTTCTAGATGGGTAACAGATCATCTTCAACATGCACTCCACTGGAGTGTATGTTGAAGCATTGGGACTCCTTTGACCTTGAAACTTTGAAGAACAGTGGCTTATTTTCTTTTGCACAAGGGTATGGCCTTTCTACTAGACCTTTGCAAGTGTTGCAAGATCAACCCAGCTCTTTTAGCAACGATATCGGACAGGCCCAGGCAAAATAGTTCCCCCAAATTAAAAAAGTAACTTTCAAGGAAATCATCTGAGGGTCTTCCTTATTTGGGGCCCCTTCAAGTTCCCTTCTTATTGCAGGACCTTAGGCAAGTAAAGGGAAACTGAGGCTGACTTTTCTGACGACCCTGAGAGGTATATAGAAGCTTTCCAAAATTTAACTCAGGTATTTGATCTCACATGGAGGGATGTTATATTGCTGCTAAGTCAAACCCTCACTGCAGCTAAAAACAGGCAACTCAGCAAGCAGAAGAAAATTCTGGAGATGAGCAGTATGTCTCCTATAGTAGGCCAGAAGGGAAAAGAGAAAATAGGGAAGGCCAAGAAATAGGGGAATCACCATTCCCAATAGGAAGAGAGGTATTACCTCTTAACAACCCTAATTGAAACTCCTTTCTATGGTGTTTTTTCCTTCTTTTGTGGTTTAAAATGGCTTCTATCTCTTGTATAATGTTCTTACAACCTGCCTGGGAAAAGTTAATTTTCCAAATCTTAAAATGCTTGGTGTAGAGTTGAGCTAGGGACGAGGGAACCCAGAAGCCTGGCCGGCAAAAGGGTAAACATTTCTTACCAGGTGGGCTTTTGGCTTCTCTCTCCCTGTGCAAACTGGTAAAAGGGATAATAAGGATCACCGTTGATGTTCTCTGTAAATGTATAATTAATGAAAAAGGATTTGTAAGGTTGGTCTTAAGCTGCAGACAATCTTGTGTACTTTGCATGTCTTTCTATATGGTTCTGTCGGAGAAAGGGTGTCTTAGGTTAGGATGCAGGCCCAGGAGCCATTAAGCCTGCTGTTCAAGCCAGCCCAAGAAAGCGGTCGCTGGAAAACTTGGCTACAGGTCTCCATCTTGTTTCATGTCTTTGGAAACATAATCTGTAACCGCGTGGCAATACTTTATTTTAGTCTCCGCCATTTTACAATCGTGGCTGTCTTCTTGTGCTAAATCAGATATGCCAGTTTGTCAATCTGGGTGGTGCCAGCTGATCCATCAAGGGCAGGGTTTACAAAATATCTTAAGCACTATCTTCAGAGCAGTTTAGGGAGGGTCAAAATCTCGTAGCCTCCAGCTGCATGGCTCTTGGGCCATAGTTTATAATCCTGTGGCTAGTTTCTTGGTCTGGTCTCCAGGTAAGAGGGAAATATATCTTGGAAAGCTGCTGTTACCATCTTTGTTTTAGACTATAGACTGTAAACCCGGCTGCTCCCAAAATTGGTTCAGTCTATGGCCAGGAATGGGCAAGAACAGCTTGGGGGCTGGAAACAAAATGGAGTTGTTTGGGTCAAATCTCTTTCACTCTCTCAGTGACAGTTTTGCATTGACAGTTTCAAAAGCTGCCTATCACGCCTTAAAAAATATCTTGTACACTTGTGGTTAAGTCATAACCTAATTAAG
The DNA here is from genome assembly GCF_000001405.40 of Homo sapiens. NCBI lineage: Eukaryota > Metazoa > Chordata > Mammalia > Primates > Hominidae > Homo > Homo sapiens. Next base: position 22,373,171 of record NC_000006.12, read on the forward strand.
GCTCATTGGTTTCACCCAGAAGGGTACTTTTTGTAAAGTTCAAAAGGTGAAAATCTGAACTGCTTGGTGTGGCTAAAGTCAAGTAACAAGAGATATAAAAGGATTTTTTTAAAGAATGCACAGCTTAATTAAAAGTAGATATTCAAGTTTTAGGTATATTTTAAAGGTCTTTATGTTTTTCTTTTCTCGAATCTTGTTTTTCTAGAAAAAGGCTCTTTTCTTCTCAGTTAACTGAATTATTTTTCTCCATTTTTTGTCTTACCACTCTTAATGCATGCATAAAAGGCCCTAAAATAACTTCTGGTAGTGTGGGACTCCTGGGGAAAAACAGAGGAGGTGCCACAAACCCCGTTTTGGGGAAAAAACCCTCCGTTTTCCTCGTGAAACTCCGGGAATTAAAAGGAGATAGATCCCTTTCAAAATCAAAGGCTCTGTCCTGTTTTGCATTGTGTTATCTGCCAGTTTTGAGTTTGGGGGGGATCAGAAATACTTTGCATTATGAGAGAACTTTGGTCTGTAATAACTAGCTAAAAAATACACTGTAAGGGATGGCTAATAGTAGTTATAAATCAGAGAAGCATGCTCTTGGCCACCTGGAAGATAAGGAAGCATCCCCACTCCCTACTGGGAGATGAGACTCCCATCAGGGATGGGCTAATTACAAAATAAACCAATTGGCTTTGGGTTGCTTTGTAATGAAATGCATGGTAGAAGCACTGCACCATCTTCTCCCATAACATCTATATGGTCTTTTCATAAATTAAGCATTAAAATAAAAGCATAGCAAGGAGGTCTTAAGACACTCATCTGCCCTTTAGTAAAAGGGTTATTATAAAAGGTTTGTAAAGATTTCACCTCATGGTCAAATTAGTTAGGATTACATGGAATAATCTATAAGGTTTCATGTAAACGAATTGGGGTTAACATTAATAAACTAATACAAGGGTAAAATTTTGCTTTGAACAAAATTTTCATGTCATAGTAAAGGCTAATAAAGGTTTTTGCCTTTTGAGTCATCATTTTGGCAAAATAATTTATGGCAACCTGGAAATTGTCCTTCCTGATGCCTGGCTTTTTGGATGGTTCAAAGGGCTCCTGAAACATTCAGAAAAGAGGTAGACAGGATCATTTGACATGTTTAGTCATATGAGATTGCCAAAATGATGTCCAAACTTCTTTAAGTTATATTTTGGTGAATAATACTAATATATGTTCCAAAATTATATGGGATTTCTAAAATTCTAATATCTAAGTATATACTATCAATTATAATTAAGGGTAAAGTTATTATAAGCCACAAAGATAAATAAACTTGTCAGTCGTATTTTTAACTGGAACTATCCTGGAAATTTGTCATTTTGCAGAAAATTGTTATCTTGCTTTGTTCCTTCTCAAAAGATGGTTTATAATCAAGCTATATTAAGGACTTTAATAGGTGTTCACAAATGCAGGTTTTTAATAGCTTTAAAGATTGTAACATTGAAATAAAGAATGTATGAGACTCATAAAGAGCTGACATGTTGACAAATGTAAAGCAAAACGAAAGTTAACTGAGTGGACTACACTTAGAAAGTTAAAGGAACCTTTTTAACTTTTGCTTGGAATACTGCTGATCCTTGTTTTGATTTTCAGAGTCAAGGAAAGTTATTTTAAACTATTTATGGCCTTTAATAATTGAGTAGGGTATACTCCTGTGAACAAAATTTGGACCATGTTTATTTTTCTCTGCCTGGTTCCTCTAGAATTTGGAGACTCTCTGTGAGTACTCTTACGGCAATATAGTTGTTTGCATCAGTGCAATAAGAATCCATTTTTCTTTGTCAACAGGACACAATTGGAAAAACTGGTTACTTTACCAATGCTTTTACTGAAAGGGTGTGTTTCCCTTTAAGGAATCAAGCTTGACATGCAGAGCCAATACAAGCCCCTTGGGGAGAACTGGCCTCATATCTTGTCTACACAGTCCCCACACAGGGTTCCTAACCTGTGGTCAGTAAAGAATGTTACTTTCTAACAGGTCTGGAAGCTCTGAGTTTATCTTGGGACCTCAAGAGGAGAGGATCACACAACTCACAGGTATTAGAGGATACAAACCCATGGGTGGGCTCAGCTTTAAAAGTCTTATCGGAAATTTTTGGTGGAACAGAGTTTCATCAAAGCGAATCCAAAAGGCCTATGTAAAAGTAACATTCTTGCTGCACTTTATGCAAATAATCAGGCCAAGTATAAGACTTAAGTTTACTGATAATTAGTTTTTAGCAAAAATGAGGACTGGAGAGAAAAATTTTGCTCCAAAGCTTATCATACATTTGTCATTAAATCCTAGTCTCATTAATTGTTTTTAAGCCTTTTGCCTACATTTTAGACTAACTCTGCTTATTCCTGTCAATCAAGTGGTGATCTTCTGCAGGTTGGGAAAAAAAAAAAAGGGATGGGTAATGTAAAAATGTGAATCAATATGCTAGTTCTGGGCAATTATCTTGCAAATTCTGCCAGGTAATGAAAGTGAGTAAGGTGCCCATAACCTGGAGGTTTCTTTGGGAAAATAAAACCAAGGAACTTCATAGACCCCCAAAGGGGAATTCTATATCTTGGCAAGTAAAATTTTAGATGGAAGTTACCTACCACACCATACTTGTGGGAATTGCTGTCCTCACTCTACTATTTGCAATAGGGTTATACATGGTAGCACCTTCTAACTGTAATATTGGACAGAGAGTTTCCATTGCTGTAGTATTTTGCTTAATTATTATCCTTATAGCAGAGATAATAGTTGACAAAAAGGAAGCATGAAAATTTTACTATCACTGAGTCAGCTAGGACTTTTTATTGGGTTTAGTAATGCAGTTTCAGATGAAACATGCTGCTTTTGGATTAACACGTCTAGTACAGTAGAGGAAAATCTACAGGTACTTAAAAATCAAACCAAAGTTATTGACAGGCTTAGGGAAAATGCATGCTTCAGCCCCGAGTGGCTACAATTCCTCTTTAATAAATTCAAGCCTCTTTTTTTTTTATACTTTAAGTTCTGGGGTACATGTGCAGAACGTGCAGTTTTGCTACATAGGTATACATGTGCCATGGTGATTTGCTGCACCCATCAACCTGTCACCTACATTAGGTATTTCTCCTAATGCTATCCCTCCCTTAGTCCCTGACCCCTCAACAGGCCCCAGTGTGTGATGTTCCCTGCCCTGTGTCCATGTTTTTTTATTGTTCAGCTCCCATTTATGAGTGAGAACATGTGGTGTTTGGTTTTCTGTTCTTGTGTTAGTTTGCTGAGAATGATGGTTTTCAGCATCATCCATGTCCCTGCAAAGGATATGAACTCATCCTTTTTTATGGCTGCATAATATTCCATGGTGTATATGTGCCACATTTTCTTTATGCAGTCTATCATTGCTGGACATTTGTGTTGGTTCCAAGTCTTTGCTATTGTGAATAGTGCCACAGTAGACATGTGTATGCATGTGTTTTTATAGTAGAATGATTTATAATCCTTTGGGTATATACCTAGTAATGGGATTGCTGGGTCAAATGGTATTTCTAGTTCTAGATCCTTGAGGAATCACCACACTGTCTTCCACAATAGTTGAACTAATTTACACTTTCACCAACAGTGTAAAAGTGTTCCTATTTTTCCACATCCTTTCCAGCATCTGCCGTTTCCTGACTTTTTAATGATCGCCATTCTAACTGGCATGAGATGGTATCTCATTGTGGTTTTTATTTGCATTTCTCTAATGACTAGTGATGATGAGCATTTTTTCATATGTTTGTTCCCTGCATAAATGTCTTCTTTTGAGAAGTGTCTGTTCATATCCTTTGCTGACTTTTTGATGGGGTTGTTTGTTTTTTCCTTGTAAATTTGTTTAAGTTCTTTGTAGATTCTTGATATTAGCCCTTTGTCAGGTGGATAGATTGCAAAAACTTTCTCCCATTCTGTAGGTTGCCTCTTCCCTCTGATGATAGTTTCTTTTGCTGTGCAGAAGCTCTTTAGTTTAATTAGATCCCATTTGTCAATTTTGGCTTTTGTTGCCATTGCTTTTGGTGTTTTGGACATGAATTGTTTGCCCATGCCTATGTCCTTAATGGTATTGCCTGAGTTTTCTTCTAGGACTTTCATGTCTTTAGGTCTTACGTTTAAGTCTTTAATTCATCTTAAGTTAATTTTTGTACAAGGTTTAAGGAAGGGGTCCAGTTTCAGTTTTCTGCTCATGGCTGGCCAGTTTTCCCAACACCATTTATTAAATAGAGGATCTTTCCCCATTGCTTGTTTGTGTCACGTTTGTCAAAGATCAGATGGTTGTAGATGTGTGGTGTTATTTCTGATGCCTCTGTTGTGTTCCATTGGTCTACGTATCTGTTTTGGTACCAGTACCATGCTGTTTTGGTTACTGTAGCCTTGTAGTAGAGTTTGAAGTCAGGTAGCGTGATGCCTCCAGCTTTGTTCTTTTTGCTTAGGATTGTCTTGGATACGCGGGCTCTAATTTGGTTCCATATGAAGTTTAAAGTGGTTTTTTCCAATTCTGTGAAGAAAGTCAATGGTAGCTTGATGGGGATAGCACTGAATCTATAAATTACTTTGGGCAGTGTGGCCATTTTCCCGATATTGATTCTTCCTATCTATGAGCATGGAATGTTTTTTCCATTTGTTTGTGTCCTCTCTTATTTCTGTGAGCAGTGGCTTGTAGTTCTCCTTGAAGAGGTCCTTCACATCCCTTGTATGTTGTATTCCTGGGTGTTTTATTCTCTTTGTAGCAATTGTGAATGGGAGTTCACTCATGATTTGGCTCTCTGTCTGTTGTTGGTGTATAGGAATGCCTGTGATTTTTGCAGATTGATTTTGTATAATGAGACTTTGCAGAAGTTGCTTATCAGCTTAAGGAGATTTTGGGCTGAGACGGTGGGGTTTTCTAAATATACAGTCATGTCATCTGCAAACAGAGACAATTTGACTTCCTCTTTTCCTATTTGAATACCCTTTATTTCTTTTTCTTGCCTGATTGCCCTGGTCAGAACTTCCAATACTATGTTGAATAGGAGTGGTGAGAGAGGGCATCCTTGTCTTGTGCCGGTTTTCAAAGGGCATGCTTCCAGCTTTTGCCCATTCAGTATGATATTGGCTGTGGGTTTGTCATAAATAGCTCTTATTGTTTTGAGATATGTTCCATTGATACCTAGTTTATTGAGAGTTTTTAGCATGAAGGGATGTTGAATTTTGTCAAAGGCCTTTTCTGCATCTATTGAGATAATCATGTGGTTTTTGTCATGGGTTCTGTTTATGTGATGGGTTATGTTTATTGATTTGCATAGGTTGAACTCAGGTCTTCTTTATGGAATTGGTTAACCCCCATTATTAAGCACTTTCTTGCTTATAAGTCTTGTATTGATATTTGGACCCTGTATACTCAATACTATAACTCAAATTGTTTCTTCTTGCCTAGAAGCAATCAAACTTCAAATGGTGGTGTAAATTGAACCACACATGGACATGCCATTCTTCTGAGGACCATTAGATTGACCCCAAAAGGAGCCCTAGCAGCTGTTCCCCATTCAATGCCCCTTTTCAGCAGGAAGTAGCCAGAAGGAGTCGTCACTCAAAACTCCCTAACAGCAGTTAGTGTGGCATCTCCACAGGGGGGAATGTTGTAGGAAAAGGGGTCCTTGGGAAGTTTTCATTTTTTAAAGCATCTCCAATAAAGTTTGTTGTAAAGCCCAGGCTCTTAGAGCAAGGCCAGCAACCTTTGATATGCAAATGCCAGCCATTAGAAACTGGGTCCACCCAAACATGGAGATTCCCGCTGCCTTCTTGCCCTTTTCCCCACATGTTCCTGGCAACATGGCTGCTCCCACATATCACCACGGGTGTAGAACATCACGGTGTCCTGCATTTGCATATTAAAAGGCTAGGGTGGGAGGGCCAGCTATTTTGAAGGCTAAGTAAATGACATACCTAGTCAAACAAATCCCCTGAGCCCTACGCAAATCAAACACCACCTCCTCCAGCCTCTGCATGTATACCTGGCTGGTACCCATGGCAGGTGGGGACCTCCTCTTTCGGCTTTGGAGCCCCACTCCCTCTGTCTCTGTACAGGGGAGCTTCTTCATTTTCTCTTATCCCTTCCTTCTTGGCTATTAAACTCTCTGCTCCTTAAAACAACAACAACAACAACAACAGCAACAGCAGTGGTTTGAAGCCCCAGTGCATGAAATTTGGAGTAGAAATTCCCCTGACTCTGGTTTTGTATCACACAGGAGAAGGTAATTGCAGGTACAAGTTACCTAGACAAAAAGTGGCTGAGTCTGACTGGGGCCTGCCATTTGCGGACAGCACTGAGGTTAAAATTTTGTCTTAAGGCCACAGAAGGGATGCTGGAACAACTCCAGACAACACTATTAGAACCTTGAGATTTTTCTTTATGTGCTTAAAATGAGAAGAGTCCAGAATGATTACTGTGATCAGTGATTATAATATCCTCTATTTGCATGTCAAAATGAAAACACCCAAGTGATAGCCACAAAATCAAGCAATACATGACTTAATTTGTTTCTTTCCTTTCTGAAGCCTAGGTAGATAGAGAATTACAAATGGGCAAAGGTACAAAGGGTAAGTAATCATATCAGTGCATTAATTTAGAATGTCTGAAACAGGGCCTGGTGGCAATGACACCAGGAGAGAAGGTAATATTAACAAAGCTGCTATTTGGGTATCAGCATTATATTTTATAATGTGCCCATCATATAATTAGGCATTGTTATCAATGGCAAAGATATGGAATCAACCTAAGTGTCCATTAATAGATAAATGGCTAAAGAAAATGTGGGTATACATATGCACACACCATAGTATATATGCACCATGGTATATATACACTCCCCCCCTCTCTCTGTTCCCTGCCCCATCTCTTTGTCTCCTTGTTATTGTCCCTTTCTTGCTCTCCTCTTCCCCTCCTCCTTCTCTGTATCCCCCGAACCCCATCCTCCTCAAAGTGGTCAAGGGCACAGCTGCAGAGGTGTTCCTTACCTGCCCTCAAGGATGGCTTTGGCTTTGCCCGAGGCCACAGTGGGGGCGATGCCCAGAGCCTGGCAGAACGACCTCACCACTTATTGAGCACCTGCTCTGTGAGAGGCGGGGATCCATTGGCTGAGAGGGACCCATCTGGAGTCACACAGACCTGGGCTTGCCTCTCCCATCCCTTGTTTAGCTGTGTGACCAGGGGAAAGTCACCCTCTCTGGGTGTCTGCTTCCTCACTGGTGAATTGGGGTAAATGCCACAGGGCTGCTGTGAAGACTGAGTGAAAGCATGTATGTAAATCACTTGGTGTAGTGCCTGGCCAGAAAATAATGCTGGAGAGAACACCATAATCTTGGCTGGCATTATTTGTATTGTTGGGCCCTGTACTGGGAGCTTCTCATTTACTATTTCCTTGAATCTCTCTTTTTTTTTTTCTTAAGAAAAAAAAAAAAAGATTTCCTTCTTTAAAGTAGGAAATCCTGTCATTTGCAACAACATGGATGAACTTGAAGAATGTTATGTTAAAATTAATAAGCCAGACACAGAAAAACAAATACTGCATGATCTCACTTACACGTGGAATCTAAAAAAGTTGAACTCATAGAAGTAGAGAGTAGAATGGTGGTTACCAGGGAGTGGGGTGGGCTTGGGAGTGGAGGACATTAGAGAGATGTTGGTCAAAGCATATACTAAATAGTTAGATAGAATCAATAAGTTCAAGTGATCTATTGTAGAACATGGTGATTATAGTAAAAAGCGATGTATTGTATACTAGAAAATTGCTGAGAGAGTAGATTTTAAATATCCTCACCACAAAAAATAATTATAAGTATTTGAGGTAATTATTTAAATATAATTAATATATATTATTAATATAATAAATAAAGCCAAATAAATATAATAAAGCCAAATATATTAATTGGCTTTATTTAGTTATTATACAATGTATACATATATCAAAGCATCGTGTTGTGCATCATAAATATATACAGTTTTGTAAATTAATAAGAAATAATTTAAAAAATAAAAAATAAGGCGTTGTTAAAAGCTCTTTAATATGCAGTGATGATTAGGATATTATGAAGGAAGAGAGGCAGTAGAGGGAAAATTATAGACTGTCGGAGGAAGTTGCTTTTTTGAATTTAATAAGGAATATAAGAAAGTACCTGAGGCTATTTTCTGTTAGACTTTTGAGTTACAATCTTTTGCCATGAAGGCAGGAAGTTAGATGAATTTGGACTATTACTATAAAGGAGGAAAAACTACAAAATTGGATGCTTAGGGAATGCCTATTTCACTTCTTTTCCCCTGCCTGCCTTCCACTCCTGTAAAAAAAGGGATACAAAATTTCCAAAAAATCCACTTCCAAATTATTTTTCTGTTAGATAATAGGACATTTTAATAACCAAAAAACCATCCAAAATGATGCAATTAATTTATCAAACTTGTGACATAGGTCCTTTAGGGAGAAGGCTTTCTATGCCCTCCTATCTTCCTTTTTCTGATAAAGAAAATAATGTGGTATGGTTTATTAATGGTCATAACTAATTACAAGGGAATAGAATTCATTTTTGTCCTGAAAATATTGATATGGGTGGGCGGTGGCAAATAGTCACCCCCCTCCTTTTTTTCTTTCTTTCTTTCTCACAGTTGGGAGGAAACTGGCAGAAATAAATGAACCACAAAATTGTGGACAAATCAAAGCACTGGAATTAATGAGATCTCTCCGAGTAGAACTTTCTCTGAGGCCAGGTTTAGTGTCTGGGGAAAAAAAATAAACCAAACCGAAACAAAACCAAAAAAACCCAGTATATTCTTGCAGGGCTTTAAAGATGGAAACCGTTTCCTCAGCATGGTAATATAGAAAAAGGATTTACCCCATAAAATTTCCCCAGAGTCCTCACTAATAAGATAAAGTCAGTTGAAAATCACTTTGCTCAGGATAGACTGTGACTTCTAAAAGGCGTGTTGAAATTAATCAGTACATTCCTGTCTTACGCTGCCTTTGTGTTTCACATCCAAGAGCATTCGTTAGGACAAAGTGAGGAAGAGATGGTTTCCCAGACACGGGGCTCTGGTGGTCTTGGCAGGCATCACTTAGTTGCAAGGGCAGGTGAGCTGAAAGCAGCACATCTTAAAGGTTTTGTATGTTGTTGTAGCTGACATACATGATGAATGGGGCTGACAAGCCTCTGTGTTATCTGCTTTTCTCATTCTGGATTATTCTGCTATGTAGCAGTTCATGGAAAGCTTCTAAACCAGTAAAAGACTGAGTGACTGCACCACTAGTCAGAAATTAAAGGGAGCAAGCAGCCGGGGGAAATATACCAAGTGCTCAGTGCTGCACAACGTACTGGCAAAATAGTATATTCCTTTGGGGAGACCCCAGTGCTTCTTTCTAAGCCTAGTGTTTTCATGGATTACTTTGAGATTCAATTGCAAAAGATGTTGTCCTTTTATTTCAGGCATGACTGCTTTTCTCATTCATTGGAGTATAATATTTTAGAGGGTGGGGACTGCCTCTGGTTGCATTTCTTCGGGCTTGCCATAGAACCTTGCTCAGTGCTATGAAGAAAGAAGACGCTAAATAGAATTTGAGAAATTGAAATAATAAAGTCAGTGACTGAAATGACACATAAACCCTTGTCCTAAAGCAAGATAGGCCTACATTTTTCTGTCACTTTTGACATTTGAAGAAAACCTTTTAGGCCACTTTGCTTGTTTATGCATAAGTCCTTCTTAATGACCACACTAACTTTTTTTTTTCTGATATAGTTTCTGATTCTTTCCTCTTTTCTTAGTTGAATCAATACATATATATCTCTTTATGTCTCTCCATCCAGGAAGTTTTGTTTCATTTGTAATCCGTGACCTCACTTGCTAATTCTTAAGCTTTTGCTATTTTCTTGTACATCCTGGATCTATTTCATAAGGATGATGTGGCAGAGATCATGCCATGTGTTTGCCAAATTTTAATTTATTTTCCTCCCCCTTGTATGCATAGTGAGTCAACTTCTCAGTGCCACTGAATTAGGTGGGGCATGTGATGGATTCTGGCTAATGAGATGTGAAAGGAAGGAACACGTGGCATTTCCAGGAAGCCACCACAAAAAGCTCCTGAAGAATCCTTCGGTCAGTTTCTTTCCCTGCTGCGGAGGATGTCAGGGCCTCACTTCGAGATGGAAAAGCTTCCAGATCAAAGCCGTTGGATCACTGCAAGGGCACCTGCATGGAGAATGGCCTGGTTGCACTGTCAGAATTTGCATCTGTTTTGTTAAAATACTAAGATGATGGGGTGGTTGTTCACATAGCATGAGTGCATACTATTCTAGATAGTCCGATAATGACATACACAGTACTTTTTTTTCCCTATGAGCTCCTTCTGTTTCATCACTGGGGATAACAAGGACTGAAAACAGTCCTGAGCTGAGAACCGTCGATTTTTTGGGTGGGAGGCTCCTCAATTATTATGAGTGTGCTAGTCACATCCAGTGAAAAGGTAAAATAATGTGAATAAGATATAAATTGAGCGCGAGATGCCATGGTGGGAAAAAATAAGTGTGTTGTAGTAGACAGCTCTGGATATGATTCCCAATTTGTCTCTTACTAATTCTCTTCACTTGAGCCTTGTTATTTGATTTTGAGTCTTGTTTACCTCATAATTAAAACAAGAATAATAACATCTACTTTATAGAATTGACAGGAGAATGTATTTGCATATGCTTGATTTGCAATAAAACCATTAGATTTGGTTTCACCACTGATAAGTTAAGTGACCTTGAGAGAGACATGTGATCTTTGTAAGCATGAGTTTCTTTATGTCTGTTTGTTTATTAATTTTTTAAATTTTACTTTAAGTTCCAGGATCCGTGTGCAGAACGTGCAGGCTTGTTACATAGGTATACGTGTGCTGTGGTGGTTTGCTGCACCTATTGACCCATCTTCTAAGTTCCCTCCCCTCACGCTCCATCCCGCAACAGGCCCTGGTGTGTGTTGTTCCCCTCTGTGTCCATGTGTTCTCAATGTTCAACCCCCACTTATGAGTGAGAACATGCGGTGTTTGGTTTTCTGTTCCTGTGTTCGTTTGCCAAGGATGATGGCTTCCAGCTTCATTCATGTCCCTGCAAAGGACATTATCTCATTCCTTTCTGTGGCTGTGTAGTATTCTATGGTGTATATGTACCACATTTTCTTTATCCAGTCTATCATTGATGGGCATTTGGGTTGGTTCCATGACTTTGCTATTGTAAATAGTGCTGCAATAAACATACATGTGCATGTGTCTTTATAGCAGAATGATTTGTATTCCTTTGGGGATATACCCAGTAATGGGATTGCTGGGTCAAATGGTATTTCTGATTGTTGTTCCTTGAGGAATCACCATAGTGTCTTCCACAGTGGTTGAACTAATTTACATTCCCACCAACAATGTAAAAGCATTCTTATTTCTCCACAGTCTTGCCAGCATCTGTTGTTTCTTGACTTTTTAATAATTGCCATCCTGACTGGCATGAGATGGCATCTCATTGTGGTTTTGATTTGCATTTCTCTCATGATCAGTGATGTTGAGCTTTTTCTCATGTATTTGTTGCCACATAAATATCTTCTTTGGAGAAGTGTCTGTTCATATCCTTTGCCCACTTTTTGATGGGGTTGTTTGATTTTTCTTGTAAATTTGTTTAAGTTCCTTGTAAATTCTGGATATTAGACCTTTGTCAGGTAGATAGATTGCAAAAATTTTCTCCCATTCTTTAGGTGGCCTGTTCACTCTGATGATGCTGTGCAGAAGTTCTTTAGTTTAATTAGATCCCATTTGTCAATTCTGGCTGTTGCAATTGCTTTTGGCATTTTTGTCATGAAGTCTTTGCCCATGCGTATGTCCTGAATGGTATTGCCTAGGTGTTCTTCTAGGGTTTTTATGGTTTTGTGTTTTACATTTAAGTCTTTAATCCATCTTGAGTTAATTTTTGTATAAGGTGTAAGGAAGGAGTCCAGTTTCAGTTTTCTGCATATGGCTAGCCAGTTTTCACAGCACCATCTATTGAATAGGAGATCCTTTCACCGTTGCTTGTTTTTGTCAGATTTGTTGAAGATCAGATGATTGTAGATGTGTGGTGTTATTTCTGAGGTCCCTGTTCTGTTCCATTGGTCCATATGCCTGTTTTGGTACCAGTACCATGCTGTTTTGGTTTCTGTAGCATTGTAGTATAGTTTGATGTCAGGTAGCTTGATGCCTCCAGCTTCATTTCTTTTGCTTTTGTCTTGGCTATACAGGGTCTTCCTTGATTCCATATGAAATTTAAAGTAGTTTTTTCTAATTCTGTGAAGAATGCCAATGGTGGTTTGATGGGAATAGCATTGAATCTATAAATTACTTTGGGCAGTATGGCCATTTTCATGATATTGATTCTTCCTATCCATGAGGATGGAATGTTTTTCCATTTGTTTGTGTCCTCTCTTATTTTCTTGAGCAGTGGTTTGTAGTTCTCCTTGAAGGGATCCGTCACATCCCTTGTAAGCTGTATTCCTAAGTATTTTATTCTCTTTGTAATGATTGTGAATAGGAGTTCATTCATGATTTGGCTCTCTGCTTGTCTATTGTTGGTGTAAAGGAATGCTTGTGATTTTTGTACATTGATTTTGTATCCTGAGACTTTGCAGAAGTTGCTTATCAGCTTAAGGAGTTTTTGACTGAGATGATGGGGTTTTCTAAATATATAATCATGTCATCTGCAAACAGAGACAATTTGACTTTCTCTCTCCTATGTGAATACCCTTTATTTCTGTCACTTGCCTGATTGCCCTGGCCAGAACTTCCAATACTGTGTTAATAGAAGTGGTGAGAGAGGGCATCCTTGTCTTGTACCGGTTTTCAAAGGAAATGCTTCCAGCTTTTGGCCACTCAATATGATATTGGGCTGTGGTTTTGCCATAAATAGCTCTTAATATCTTGAGATATGTTCCATCAATACTTAGTTTATTGAGAGTTTTTAACATGAAAGAATGTTGAATATTATCAAAGGCCTTTTCCGCATCTATTGAGACAATCGTGGTTTTTGTCTTTGGTTCTGTTTATGTGATGTATTATGTTTATTGATTTGCGTATGTTGAATCAGCCTTGCATCCCATGAATAAAGCTGACTTGACTGTGGTGGATAAATTTTTTGGTGTGCTGCTAGATTCAGTTTGCCAGTATTTTATTGAGGATTTTCACATCAATGTTCATCAGGGATATTGACCTGATGTTTTATTTTCTTGTTGTGTCTCTGCTTGGTTTTGGTATCAGGATGGTGCTGGCTTCACGAAATGAGTTAGGGAGGAGTCCTTCCTTTTCAATTGTTTGGAATAGTTTCAGAAGGAATGGTACCAACTCCTCTTTGTATCTCTGGTAGAATTCGGCTGTGAATCCTTCTGGTCCTGGGCTTTTTTTGGTTGGTAGGCTATTGATTACTGTCTCATTTTCAGAACTTGTTATTAGTCTATTCAGGGATTTGACTTCTTCCTGGTTTAGCCTTGGGAGGGTGTATGTGTCCAGGAATTTATCCATTTCTTCTAGATTTTCTAGTTTATTTGCATAGAGGTGTTTATAGAATTCTGTGATGGTACTTTGTATTTCTGTGGGGTCAGTGGTGATATCCCCTTTATCATTTTTTTATTGTGTCTATCTGATTCTTCTCATTTCTTCTTTATTAGTCTGGCTAGTGGTCTATTTTGCTAATTTTTTCAAAAAACCATCTCCTGGACTCATTGATTTTTTGGAGGGTTTTTCGTGTGTCTGTCTCCTTCAATTATGCTCTGATCTTAGTTATTTCTTTTCTTCCTTTAGCTTTTGGATTAGTTTGCTCTTGCCTCTCTAGCTCTTTTAATTGCGATGTTAGGGTGTCGATTTGAGATCTTTCTAGCATTCTGATGTCACCATTTAGTGCTATAAATTTCCCTCTTAACACTGTGTTAGCTGTGTCCCAGAGATTCTGCTGCGTTGTCTCTTTGTTCTCATTGGTTTCAAAGAACTTTGTGATTTCTGCCTGAATTTTATTATTTGCCCAGGAGTCATTCAGGAGCAGGTTGTTCAATGTCCATGTAATTGTGTGGTTTTGAGTGAGTTTCTTAATCCTGAGTTCTAATTTGATTGCACTGTGGTCTGAGAGACTGTTATGATTTCAGTTCTTTTGCATTTGCTGAGAAATGTTTTACTTCCAATTATGTGGTCGATTTTAGAATAAGTGCCATGTGTCGCTGAGAAGAATGTATATTCTGTTGGTTTGGTGTGGAGAATTCTGTAGATGTCTATTAGGTCCACTTTATTCAGAGCTGAGTTCAAGTCCTGAATATCCTTGTTAATTTTCTGTCTTGTTGATCTATCAGTATTGACAGTGGGGTGTTAAAGTCTGCTGCTATTATTGTGTGGGAGTCTAAGTCTCTTTGTAGGTCTCTAAGAACTTGCTTTATGAATCTGGGTGCTCCTGTATTGGGTCATATATATTTAGAGTAATTAGCTCTTCTTGTTGAATTGTTCCCTTTACCATTATGTAATGCCCCTCTTTGTCCTTTTTGATCTTTGTTGGTTTAAAGTCTGTTTTGTCAGAGACTAGAATTGCAACCCCTGCTTTTTTTTTGCTTTCCATTTTCTTGGTAAATTTTCCTCCATCCCTTTATTTTGAGCCTATGTGTGTCTTTGCACGTGAGATGGGTCTCCTGAATACAGCACACCGATGGATCTTGACTCTATACAATTGGCCAGTCTGTGTCTTTTAATTGGGGCATTTAGCCCATTTACATTTAAGGTTAATATTGTTATGTGTGAATTTGATCCTGTCATCATGATGCTGGCTGGTTATTTTGCACACTTTTTGTTGCAGTTTCTTCATAGTGTTATTGGTCTTGAAATTTTGGTGTGTTTTTGCAGTGGCTAGTACCAGTTTTTCCTTTCCATATTTAGTGCTTCCTTCAGGAGCAAGGCAGGACTGGTGGTAACAAAATCCCTCAGCATTTGCTTGTCTGGAAAGGATTTTATTTCTCCTTCACTTATGAAGCTTAGTTTGGCTGGATATGAAATTCTGGGTTGAAAATTCTTTTCTTTAAGAATGTTCCATATTGGCCCCCAATCTCTTCTGGCTTGTAGAGTTTCTGCTGAGATGCCTGCTGTTAGTCTAATGGGCTTCCCTTTGTAGGTCACCTGGCCTTTCTCTCTGGCTGCCCTTAACATTTTTTCCTTCATTTTGACCTTGGAGAACCTGATGATCAAGTGTCTTAGGGTTGCTCTTCTAGAGGAGTATCTTTATGGTGTTCTCTGTATTTCCTGAATTTGCATGTTGGTCTGTCTTGATAGCTTGGGGAAGTTCTGCTGGATAATATCCTGAAGTGTGTTTTCCAACTTGGTTCCATTCCCCTCATCTCCTTCAGGTACTCCAATCAATCATAGGTTTGGTCTTTTTACAAAGTCCCATATTTCTTGGAGGCTTTATTTGTTCCCTTTCATTCTTTTTTCTCTAATCTTGTCTCTGTGCTTTATTTCAGCAAGGTGGCCTTCAAAGTCTGATATATTTTCTTCTGCTTGGTCGATTCGACTATTAATACTTGTGTACGCTTCATGAAGTTCTTGTGCTGTGTTTTTCAGCTCCATCAGGTCATTTATGTTCCTCCCTAAACTGGTTATTCTAGTTAGCAGCTCCTCTAACCTTTTATCAAGGTTCTTAGCTTCTTTGCATTGGGTTAGAACATGTTCCTTTAGCTCAGCAGAATTTTTTATTACCCATCTTTTGAAACCTACTTCTGTCAAGTCATCCATTTCATCCTCATCCTGTTCTGTGCCCTTGCTGGAGAGGCGTTGTGATCATTTGGAGGAGAAGAGGCACTCGGGCCTTTGGGGTTTTCAGTGTTTTTTTTTGTTGTTGTTGATTCTTTCTCATCTTTGTGAGTTTGTCTAGTTTCGATCTTTGAGGCTGCTGATCCTTGGATGGGGTTTTTGTGGGGACTTATTTTTGTTGATGCTGTTGTTGTTTTCTCTTTGTGTGTTTGTCTTTCAATGATCAGGTCCCCCTTCTGTAGGGCTGCTGCGGTTTGCTGGGAGTTTACTTCAGGGCCCTATTCTTCCAGTTCGCTCCCATGCCTGGAGATATCACTCAAGG
Organism: Homo sapiens; assembly: GCF_000001405.40. Classification (NCBI taxonomy): domain Eukaryota; kingdom Metazoa; phylum Chordata; class Mammalia; order Primates; family Hominidae; genus Homo; species Homo sapiens. The sequence goes on from NC_000006.12 coordinate 22,389,318, forward strand.
AGGCTGGAGAGCAGGATGGGTGCCTGCTCCTTCTTCTGGCATCTCTGACCTCGAGGGGCACAAACATGATGCCAGAAGGATTGCTTGTGTATAGGGTGTCTGACAACCCCTGTTAGAGTGTCTCACCCAGTTGGGTGGCATGGGGAACAGGACCCATTTTAATGAAGCACTTTGTCCCTTGGTGGAAGGGGTGTGCTTCACTGGGGGGAAACCCACTCTTCTGGGCTGCCCGGATTCCTCAGAACTACCAGGAGGAAAGGCTAAGTCTGCTGGTCCACAGAGACTGTGGCCACTCCTCCCGCTAAGGGCTCAGGCCCAGGGAGATCTGGGTTCTGTCCCTGAGCCTCTAGCTGGAGTTATTGGAGTTCCTGCAGGGAATCCCCGCCCAGTGAGGAAGGATGTGTCAGAGTCAGGCCTGAGCAGATGCTGTGGCCATAGTCTGCCATAGTCGGTGTGTTGGGCTATGGGGGACACCTCTTGGGGACCAAGCCATCCAGCCTCCCTGGCTCCAGCAGGGAAAAATTGCGGCCTGGACCTATGGAGATGGATGCTGCCCTTCCTCTGCCCAGGGAGCTTAGTGCGTTAGGCAGTTATGAGTCCTAGTGCTGGCTGCTGTCCGTCCCCCAAGGAGCTCAGGCAGCCATAGCTGTGGTGCCGGTTGCCCCTCCCCCGGGAGCTTGGCAGGCTTAGGCATATTCCAGCTGAGAGGCTGTTGAGAATCTGCGCAGCTCCAGGGTTGGGACCCTAGGCCCTGGTGGTGTGGGTTTGCAAGTGGGATCTTCCGATCCATGGGTTGCACGGTTCCACGGAGAAAGCATGGTAGCATGCTCACTCACTGCCTCCCTTGGCTGTGGGGTGGGGGCTCCCCTGCCTTGTGTGGCTCTGAAGTGGGCCACCGCACCACACTGCTCTTCCTTCCTCTCTGTGGATCACGTCAGCCACCTAGTCAGTTCTGATGAGAGAACCTGCATACCTTCGTTGCCAGTGACAGGGAAGGATTCCCACACTAATTATGTTTCTTTTCAATGGGAGCCTCTGATCGCCACTGTTTCTAGTTGGTCATCTTGTCCTCGCTTCCCTCTTTATGTTTAAAAGTAGAAGCAATACCTGCTTGTGGGATTGTGATAAGGATTAAGGAGAATGCACGTGTTCTGCAGTGCCTGGAACATAGTAGATGCTCAATAAATGATGATTCCTACCAGAAATCTATGAGCAGCGACATTGGGATTTATTCTCCATAGCAGCATCTCCAAAGGCTGGGTCCTATACCTTAGTTAAAGTCATGAAGATGCTAGGCTTAATACCTGGGTGATGGGTTGATAAGTGCAGCAAACCACCATGGCACACGTTTACCTGTGTAACAAACCTGCATATCCTACACATGTGTCAAATAAAATAAAATAAAATAAATAAAATAAAATAAGTCATGAAGAGGCTCCCTTACCCAAGGTTCCATATAGAGCCAAACAATTCCTTTTGCTTTTTTGTTATGTGTAGTGGTGCAGATTAATAAAATGAGACTATCCTTTATTGTGCTAAAGCCCTATCATTCAGTGTTTTTAGGAACAACTCTACAAGTCCATTTTGGCTTCTGCATGGAGAGAAGTGTGCTCTTACCTTGTCCTGTGGTAACGATGTCACAGATATTTCTGAGTATAATTTGTGGTTAAAAACCTAGTTTGAGTTTTCCTGTGATTTTCAAGAAAGCATATACACCGTCTATCCCTGCACTTTCACTGGTTAGTATTTTAAACATTCCTGATCTGTTTTTACTGAAAATGTACATATATAGGACAGAAATGTAAGATAGGTTTGCTCTCCTACATCTAGTGACAGCCTTTCCAGTCCTGATTTGCTCCTGATTTTTGACAGTTGAGTTTATTTAAGAAGTGGAAGCACAACTATCAAACTAGCATCTTGCATACATTATTGTAACAGTACAATAAACAGCTGTTAATAAAGAGTTTCAGAGTAGAGATATCTGATTTTATGATTTACTCTGTAGAACTAATTAGAAAAAGAAATCTTTATTGCCTCATAGTCATCTAGCCCCTTCACATTGATGTCTTCTGGCATCTTTTTTCTTCAAATTTTGTGAGTGATAGTGGTCCACATTAGCTCCTGCTCAAGACAGATTAGGACATAAGTGAAGTTTCTCTTCAATCTCTGCAGCGATATATATATATATATATATATATATATATATATTTTTTTTTTTTTTTTTTTTTTTTTTGCCTGCTTCTTACATGTTAGGCCTTCCATGCACAGGAATTCCAACACTTTTTGGCTGACTAGGCCCACCTGCTAGTTATCAGTTAAAGGGAATAATTTTAAGTTGCCAATGGCTTTACTATGCACTAAATAACTTCATTAATTTGAGCAAGTCATTTATGTCTTTATCTGTAAAATAATGACATTTGGCTAGATGACATACTGTCAGTCTTTCATGGATTAGGATTCTATGGAAAACATGAGATTATGTCAAGAGCATGAGGGCTTTATTTTATTTATTTAATTTTTGCTTTTTTTGTGAGATGGCATTTCACTTTTGTTGCCCAGGCTGGAGTGCAATGGCGCGATAACGGCTCACTGCAACCTCCGCCTCCTGGGTTCAAGTGATTCTCCTGCCTCAGCCTTCCGAGTAGCTGGGATTACAGGCATGCGCCACCATGCCTGGATAATTTTGTATTTTTAGTAGATACAGGATTTCTCCATGTTGGTCACGCTGGTCTCGAACTCCCGACCTCAGGTGATCCACCCGCCTTGGCCTCCCAAAGTGCTGGGATTACAGACATGAGCCACCACGCCTTGCCAGCATGAGGGCTTTAAAACATAAGGCTGGAAGGAAGTGATGCTGAGTTTAACTGAAAGAACAAATTTCGAATGATAGACTACACTGTAAACATTCACAAATGTTTGTGGAACACATACCATATGCATAGCACTGTGTTTTATAGCAGAACACAAAAAATGCAGCAGACACCATTCTTGTCCTTAAGGAGTTTTCAGTTCAGTCGCAGAGACATGTATACTATAATTTTATGTCATATAATTAAATTAAATTAATAGCATAATGGAGAGACAATCAGTGTGATGGTTATTTGACATCTGTATTACTCTGTGTTTTTTTTCTATAAATACCTGATACTGAGTAATTTATAAAGAAAAAAGTTATATTTTGGCTCATGATTCGGCTGATAGTACAGGAAGCATGGTGCCAGCATCTGCTTCTGGTGACGGGCTCAGGAAGCTTACAATCATGGTAGAAGGGGATGGGGGAGCAGGCGTGTCACATAATGAGAGCGAGAGCATAAGAGAAAGAAGGGGGAGGTCCCAGACACTTTTATTTGTTTAATTTTTAATTTAATTCAATTTTTAATTTTTTTTTTGAGTTGAAGTCTCGCTCTGTCTCCCAGGCTGGAGTGCAGTGGCGCGACTTCTGCTCACTGCAACCTCCGCCTCCCAGGTTCAAGCAATTCTCCTGCCTCAGCCACCGCACCCAGCCCCTCAGACACTTTTAAACAACTAGATTTCATGTGAACTAACTAAGCAAAACTCACTCATCGCCAAGGGGATGGCACCAAGCCATTCATGAGGGATCTTCTCCCATGACTCAGTCACCTCCCACCAGGCTCCCTCTCCATCACTGGAAGTCACATTTCAACATGAGACTGGAAGGGGAGAAACATCCAAAACATATTAATGTCCATTTTAGTTTAGCTAGAGTTCGGTAGGTAATTATAGATGTTTACTGCATCAAAAACAGGATCACTTTTAACAGCGAAAACAATACTTGACATAGTTGCCAGTATCCTCTTGGAGATTTAAGGTTGGTTTGTTGCAAGGAAAATACTGTTTCACATGTTCTCTAGAAACACATTAAAATCTAACAAGTTCTCCATTTTGAATTTCTGGGAAGCAAAGGAGCTGGACTCAAGATAAAAAGACACAGTTTAGGGGCTTAAAACAGCCATTTTATTTTGCCCACAATGTTGGATAGGTCAGGAATTTAGGAAGGAGTCACTGTGATCTCTATTCTGCGTGGCTTCATTTGGAGTTGCAGATCAATTGGAGGCTCCACTTCCGTGATGGCTTCTTCACTCACATATTTGGCACCTCCGTATTCCTTGGTCATTTTTGTCCACATGGTGTCTCATTTTCCAAGGCCTCTCAATGTGATTTGGGCTAAAGTAGTCTTCCTTTTCCCTGCTGGCTGGACTTTAAGAGATCAGGACAGAAGTAATCCATTCACTTAAAGATTAGGCCCAGGAATGGGCCATGTCTGGTCAAAGCTGCCAGAGGGAATACTTCCCTTGATGAGAAGAGTGTGAAAAACGTGAGGCCATCTTTAATTTGCCACACACTCTTTGGGGCACATGGTGTGATATGAAATCCTAAAGTCTTGATTTTTTATTTATGTGATTTTTTTTTTTTTTTTTTTTTTACGAGTAGGGAGTAAATAAGTGGCGAATCCAACCAGCTTTCTCAAAAGTAGACTACTGGCATTTTGAGAGAGACAATTATTTCTGTAGATATGTGCCAAAAGCGATAGGATATTTAGCATTCCTGGCCAGCACTCACTAAATACCATTTTGCCTTACCTTGTTATTAGACGATACAAAAACATGATCTAAAACATTTCAAAACTACCCCTGCAGGAGCGGGCAGTGCTTCTCCCAGGCGAAAACCACCAGTTTAATGTCTTAAAATGGCAGATTTCATAGTGAGGTGCTGATGAGGATACTGTTTGGCCAGTTTGGACATAGATAATGATAAAATGATTTGTTTCTGCTCCATTCCATTCTAGACAACTCAGACTTCTTACTGAGAGCATCTATGTCCTCTATGTTTCTATCATTGCAAAATGTTGCAAAGGTATAAATGCATATATTATGCATCCTGTCCACAAGTGGGATATAATGTTATATTAGTCAGTCATCAATAAAAATACTTCATACTACTTTCAAAAGGAGAAATATATTCATTTTATAAGGCATTAGAAGACACACACATACCTTGAACCACACAATTCAGATGTGAACACTATTGATGTTTTGATGTATATCATCGTGATTATTAATATATGTAGCTATATGAAAAGATTTCATATATCTAGTAGATTACATACAGTACTTTGTATTACTCTCTATATAGTACTATATATAGTGCTTTTTGGTAATATACTTTTGTTAATTCTTAAGTCTGGGAAAGCAATATAAAACATTAAGTAATGTGTTAAATATAGCCAAAGGGCAAAGTTTTACTATGCAGGGGGATGTCAGATGAAGTTACTGTGGAAGGATGCTTAATCAGGAGCCTGAAGAGTAGAATTAAAATTGACAAGGTTCTGATCAGTTATTCCATGATCAGAATCAGCATAATATAATTGGAAGACAGTCTAGTTTGTACCTGTGTTATTTTTCTCTAACTTTGGTAAACATCTTATTGTTTTTTTAAAATTAGGTTTTACTGTACAAAGCTTTGAATTTGAAAATGGTAATGTTTTTAAGAGCTACAGGGAAATTTGGAGCAGGCGTTTGTTTTTTAAAACACTCTCTTAAAGATGTCATTAACATTTGCATAGTGTTCTAAATAAACCAACAGCTGGATTCGGTGACAGCTGTGATATATTGATCCTGCATGGAATGGTGGGGTGGGGATTTCAGAAGTTGGTGAGTGATAAAATAATGAAAGACACCCTCTAAAGATCACCCATAATTCACAGTAAGATCAAATCCAGAAATTATATTTCTTACCCAAAGTGAAAGGAATGAGAAAAAGCCTTCTCTTTATTATTCTCAATTTACTGTTACCATGATAAAGGTTAGATAGTCATCACCAACTGCCTTAGCAATAAATATTAATATTCTAAACAATATTAACAGATTTACTACTTTTACTCATTATATCAATAACCCAAATTACTAATATATGAATGAAACAATTAAAAACAGTGTAAGTTACTTGAGGTAAAGGCAGAAACTTAATTTTATTCTCTACTCTTTCCTACCACTCAAAAGTAACTAGTATTTGGTAACTTTGAATGACTGAGTGAATGAATGAAAGTCTCCACAATAAGAACTATATTTTCTTATGAAAAATGGTAAGAGAAATAAATGGCATGAGCAAAAAGAAGGAATTACTTCCATAGCAAGTATGATTTTTGCCTATAAAAACTGGCCTGTAAAATGCCTTTTTTATACAATTACAACTCGATTGAGTGTAATCTACCCAACAGCAAATCCAGAAAATCTTTATGTAAACAAAATGAACTTGAGGTTGTTGCCTGCATCTGTCTAGCAAATTAGCTATAACTAGTGTAGCTAAAACTGATGTGAGGCAAGATATTAAAACCAACTAAAGGATTATTTTGTTATAATTTAAGAGGGTGGGATTGTTATTAAAATTCTTACAATTGTATAAAGAAAAATAGACTGATGAATGAAGAAACAATACATTATTTTAAACGGTAACTAGTACAGGGTGAATTACATAACAGGCACTATGTAAACATTTGTTGTTATTGAATGAATGAATGGTCAGTTGGTATTACATTATAATGAAAATGGCACAACCTGAAAGAGGCTACTGCAGGTGGTTTCTAAAGGAAATAAGCCTATTAAAATAGTATTTTAAGTTCTTATAAACCTTTCATTAAACAATAAACATCATAAAATATACTGGGATAGAATCATAACGATACATAGACCAACACATTCTGGCCAAATAAAAATAACATTGTCTTGGTTAATTGATAATTCAAATACCTCACTTGAGAAAGTTAACATTGCAAGTAATGTTATTGTACATGGTAGGAATCATGGAAAGAACCACTATTAGGCACTATAATTGTTTTTAAATTTCACTGGTCAGAAGAAGCAGTTGAGGTACCTATTAAACGTCAAATTTCTTGGCCTCAACACTGAGTGATTCTGATTCAGCAAGTCCAGGTGAGTTTCCTGAATCTGCATTTGTAACATGCATTTCAGGTGATTTCTAAGCCAGTCATCTGCAATCCGTATTTTGTAAAACAGTTCTTGGGATTCCTGCTATTGTGCTCCCACTCATAAAATTCAAGCCATGAGTAATTAATGGACCTGAAGTTTTGTAATTTTGGGGTGGCATTCTTTCAGGGCCTGCCTTCCAACTGGATCAAATTCTTCTAAAGTCTGCTGTCTCTAAAATAACTACCTTCACTCACTGAAGACATAATGTTCACAGTAAGACTGGTCTAAAAATTCCATTGTTGTGTCATCTTTATTGAGTTTTAATAACTGTGTTATACAAGCCTTTCTTCCCTTCCATACTGTGAAACAGATTAAGTAGCATTAGAATCAGCTGCATTAAAAATTGGGTAAATGCTGTGGACTGAATGTGTATGCCCTTGCAAAATTATTATGTTGAATTACTAACTCCCAATGTGATGGTATTAGGAGGTGGGGCATTTGGTAAGTAATTAGGTTATGAGAGCAAAGCCCTTATGAATGGAATTCTTGCCCTTGGAAACTCCAGAGAGTGTGCTTTTCCTCCCATAACTATCTGTAAAGACACAGAGAAAAGATGGTTGTCTAGGAGCCGGGAAGTGGGCCCTCACCAGACACCAAATCTGTCGTTGCTTTGATCGTGGGCTTCCCAGCCCCCGGAACTGTGGGAAATAAATTTTTGCTGTTTATAAGCCACTCAGTCTGTGGTATTCTGTTATAGCAGCCAAACAAATAGAACAAGAAAATATTCACCCCACCAAGAAACCATATGGATCTGGTGCTTTTTCTAAGGGGGGAGGGCTAGCTCTTTGAGCAATTCCTCTATTTCTTTTATGTGTATTGGAACTCTGATATTTTATCACTTCTAGAGTAAATTTTAATTTTTGGAAAATTATACATTTTATCCATGTTTTCAAATGTTTTTGTTTGTGTAGGGTTGCATAAATGAGTTTTATATGCTTTAAATGTCTTCCATATTGATGGCTATTTCTCCTTCTCTCTTATTTTGTGTATGGCTGATTTTTCACTTCCCCCACTTCAGTTAGCTTGTAAGTGAGCCATGGAGAAAATGGCAACAAATACTTTAAAGAAGATAATTTTTAAAATGAGAATAACAATTTAATTTCTTTAGAAGATGAGAAAGGTACACACTAACATACATATTATATAAATACAAATAATATCTGTCATTTTCTCTTCCAGTTTATCTTGTAGTGTCCTTGACGAATGTGACCAGTAGCGTTCTAGTGGATTTACCCCTTATGTATATGGAAGTATAGGTAAAAATAATACAATTCTTTTTTCGTATAGGTTGGTACAAAAGTAATTGCAGCTTTACCATTACTTTTAAATGGCAAAAACTAAAATTACTTTTGCACCAAGCTAATAATAGTATATGTTGACTATCGACTGTTTAATTTTTGACATTGATGTGTCAATGTTGATTACATTTTGAATACCTATCAGTTTATATGTATATGTATGTGTGTTTGTGTGTGTGTGTGTATATATATATATCTCCATGAATTTTATTAGGTTAAATGTTTTCAAAGGGTAAAATGCTTACAGATTGATAAAATGCTTTTAACTAGCTGATTGAGAACTGAGATCAGAAAATATTACAGAATGAGATAGAAAGAAAGTCAGCTGCGTTCAATGCATGTGAGTGTCAGATGGTCATTTGTCCTTGCTGAATCCTCCCTACGTTTTTTATTTGATTGTTATTAGTCAAAATTATGTTGGCTAAGCTGAAAAGTAGGAGAAATAATTGTAATATTAAGTGTCTTAATTATATTGGTTAATATTAGTCACATTTTACTTCTTTCTTTCTTTTTGAGACAGGGTCTTGTCCCTCTGTCACTCAGGCTGGAGTGCAGTGGCACCGTCATGGCTCACTGCAGCCTCAACCACGCTGGCTCAAGCAATCCTCCCAGCTCAGCCTCCCACATAGCTGGGGCTATAGACATGCACAATGCCAATGCCTGGCTAATTTTTTTTTTTTTTTTTTGAGATGGAGTCTCAGTCTGTCGCCCAGGCTGGAGTGCAGTGGCGCAGTCTCAACTCACTGCAAGCTCCGCCTCTCTGGTTCACGCCATTCTCCTGCCTCAGCCTCCTGAGTAGCTGGGACTACAGGCACCTGCCACCACGCCCGGCTAGTTTTTTTTTTTTGTATTTTTAGTAGAGAGGGGTTTCACTGTGTTAGCTAGGATGGTCTCGATTTGCTAACCTCGTGATCCTTCCATCTTGGCCTCCCAAAGTGCTGGGATTAGAGGCACTTTTAATTTTTAACTTTTTTTTTTTTTTAGATAGATGAGTTACTCATTTTATTCTAATAGGTATGGTTCTGCTAATCTCATGGGCCTACAAGCTTGTAGAAGAAAGATGCTTAAGCTTTGGTCTTTTTTGTTTATAAAAGTAAAATTTTCTTTTCTCCAAAGCTCATTTGTAGCACTACAGAGGTTGTTTCCTACCTGTAGGCAAGTGATAGATGGAAGGCAGAATTCTAATAACTTTTTCAGCACATGTTGACACCCGTGGTCTTTTCTTTCCCTTGAGGGGGTGGGGTGGTGGTAGCTCTAGTTATGTCCAGAATTGTGATGAAAATGCTCTCTGTCACAGTCGGCACAAGGTGCCCTGCTAGTGCACAATACCTAATGGATAATGACGGGACATATTCACACCTTGAAAATGAGGTGGTGAATTTTTTGAATTTTCTTATAGAGCTCAGTGCAATGAGAGTCCCCATGGAGATACACGGGTTCAAGATCTGTCCTAGCAATAGCAGGCGATGACAGAGGGCTCTGTTTCAATATGTTTCGTACAGGAAATCACAGCTTTGGCGTGCTGAAGCTGGTAAGTTTTCATCAGGTATACACTAGTGGTGTCACAGACTTGTAGAATCTGTCACTCTGAAAGTATTCTGAGAGCCAGAGAATGACTCTTATTCCAGATGACATCGGCATCCCCTGGCATTGATAATTAAATGCATGAAGTGAGAACTTCTCTAAAAACAATAAAACAAACAAATATAACTTTGAAGGCACACAAGAAGGTGGTGCTTTTCAGGTTGAGAATGGAATGAAAGCTTTCAATCTAATTTATAGTCACTCTCACATGACTACACAAATTATAGACAGACAGGTAAAATCAGTATTTGGAGTGGATTTAATCCCGTTCAAATTCTTTAATAATTGCAGATTAGAAAAAAACACCTACTAGACAACTGAAATTGGGTTTCAGACTGGCATCTAAGGGCTGTTGTTCTCCTGCAAGAAAAGGTGGAATTGTAAGTCAATTAGTACTCTAGTGAGAATCTGTATTGGAGAACCTTATTAAAAGTGACCCTGATTGTGTAGTTTTAAGTTTCTCCAGGAAGACTGTGAGGTGTATTATAATATATGGTGGACCTTGTCCAATATCATTTATGAAAAATGCAGGTAACCCCATTGGTTTGGAGGTTTACATTTTCTCACTGGGGCACCCAAAGGGCAGTTCATCTGCATGGAGTAAGATGAGGGCAGTTGGGACTAGTCCACCTACCCAGTTCCGCCCGAAGTCATCTGGCTTAGGTCAGAGATCCATGGCAATTAAACCCTTCCTCCGCTTACTTACTCAGTGAGTCACCGCTTGGCTGAACAGACACAGCCACCTCCTGAGGTCCTGCTGCCTCTAAAGGTCTGGTCCCCATGCATTGAGAAAAAGGACAGGGTCAGCAAAAGAGGCTCACTTTGGGTCATACTAACCTGGGATCCTAGGAGATGGACACTGGACTTTTAAAAAATAATAATTTCCTTTCTAATCCTTTCCTCATGCATTTTTTTCTTCTTCTCTAATTTGCCCCAGTTCCTTTCATGATTCTCGAAACAGCTGTTTTCCCGAACCCCTTGTTAGGGTAAGCCTAACTATCACAGGCCATGTCTCTGTGGTTTAGGGATGGTACATCACTCTTTGAAACTGTTTTCAGGTGTTTTGCCAGAAGAATTTCAGCCCCTAAATAGGATATTTCATGGAGTCTTATGAAAAGGCTGCTTTACTACCGTGTTGTGAAGCTGTGGGTTTATAGCACTCCTAAATATTTAGATAGACCATGAAAATGCAGTCAATTAAGAAAAGTGTGATGGGTTTTAATGACCAGGTGGATTCAATTATTCAGCTTCAATTTCCTTTCTCTAGGATGTAAGTAGGTTTTAAAAAATTTAACTTGGTAAATTAACTCCTTAATTTAAAGGAACTGGTCCTCTGAAGACAGTGTCTGCAATGAAGCTGAGTCCTCTCTCTCTCCCAGGCCCGAGTGTCTACCTCTAATTTATTCCTGATGAATGACAGCAAGTTCACAGCCTCAGGTACTTTTTCATTCTTTCATTTCTCAAAGCTGCCTTCTCTTTTCTTTGTGTTTGTCTTAAGGTTCTGTTTGGGCATGCATTGGAGGGCTTTAAGGGTTTCACCTTAAGATCCTTGGATTGGAGCCTTTGATTTGAGTTCCTGCTGAAGATCACCCAGGAGTCAGCAGTCCTGCTGTGAGCAGCATCATTTAGTGGAGGCTGGGCCCATCCTGACCCCTAGCAGTACCATGGGGATAGCTTAGGCAAGTGTGTGTGCTCAGAGACACACCTTGAAGCTCTATGGTGGCTTGCAACTCCAGAGTTTACTTTTTGGCTTTAGAAAAGTGCTCTGAGGCTCACGCCTGTAATCCCAGCACTTTGGAAGGCCGAGGTGGGCAGATCACCTGAGTTCAGGAGTGTGAGACCAGCCTGGCCAACATGGTAAAACACCGTCTCTACTAAAAATACAAAAAAATTAGCCAGGCATGGTGATGTGTGCCTGTAATCCCAGCTACTCGGAAGGCTGAGGCAAGAGAATTGCTTGAACCCAGGAGGGAGAAGTTGCAGTGAGCTGTGATCTCGCCACTGCACTCCAGCCTGGGAGACAGAGTAAGACTGTCTCAAAAAAAAAAAAAAAAGGAAAAAAGAAAAGAGAGAAAAGAAAAGTGCTCTGAGATCTCACACTATTTCACCCATTTTTAAAATAATGATCAGTTGGAAACCACAGACATCAGTGGAGTTTGTAAACAAATGGAGAATGAGGTCATTTGTTGACTCATGTTCCTCCTTACTAGCCTTCAGGTTTTGGTCTGTGGGGTTTTGGAATGGGGTTGTAAAAGTACAAGAGCCACCGGGCCTATGGGTTGTCCATGCTAGATATTAAGGCTTTTCTGAGCTAGAGTGCTAAGATTTTAAGCAATTATTTTCTTTTTAACCTAATGATAAATGTGAAAGAGAAAAAGGAAATTTGTTTGCTTTTTCAATTCTAGAAGTATCACCTATGGATCTACAGGCTCCTGTCTTTTAGGATATAGACAATGGGCTTAGAACCTAAGGGGACTGATAATGGCTTGGCTTTGTGTTCCTACCCAAATCTCATCTTGAATAGTAATCCCCAGATGTGGTCCCCAGAGGGACCTGGTGAGAGGTGATTGGATCATGGGGGTGGTTTCCCCCATGTTGTTCTCATGGCAGTCAGTGAATTCTCACGAGATCTGATGGTTTTATAAGGGGCTCTTCCCCCTTCGCTCTCTCTCTTTTTCCTGCTGCTTTGTGATAGAAGTTACTTGCTTCTCCTTCCCCTTCCATCATGATTGTAAGTTTTCTGAGGCCTCCCCAGCCATGCAGAACTGAGTCAATTAAACCTCTTTTCTTCATAAATTACCCACTCTTGGGTATGTCTTTAATAGCAGTGTGAAAATGGACTAATACAGGGACATAAATCTGAGCTACCAGAGCTATGAAACAGAGGACTGGAGGGACTGAGCTTGCAGAGATGGTCACCCTGGCGACTGGTGCTTGTGCCAAATGCTTGTCATTGTGTGTCTGGGTACCAAAGAACCAGGGAAATAAAAACTTGCGTTCAGCAGTGTGGTCTCTGCAAAACCCTCTATGAAGACTGTTGAATCCTTTCTTCCATTTGATATGACCCTCAGGTGGTCATAAACCCTTGCTCCTTGGTTGGAGAACAGATGTTTTTAGATGGGGTAACCTGAATGTCCTCCCGCTGTGGTTGTCTTGGGTGTGGTACAGAGCAGACTTCCTATGGTAAGCTTTCCTAGGAATGAGGCTTAGAATATGGTTAGAAATGAAAGCGAAGGGAGGAGGAAGGAGAGGAACTCCCCAACCTAGGAATTCAGATGCTGCTCCTCTGCAAGATGCCTCATGTCTCGAAGTGGGAAAATAGCAAAACATTGAAAGGATTTGCTGAACACTGGAGCACTCTCAAAACAAAACCAGCTCAGGCAAATGGAGACGAAGAAGTATATGGAAAAATGCCTCATAATTTCCCCAATAAAATGTCTCTCTGGTTTTCTGTGAGAGCACTGTTCTAGCAGAGGGCTTGTGCTGCTGAGAGAGAAGTCCATTTAGGGTAAATGCTGAGGTAACAAACACTGCATTTCCGGTAAAAGTCAACTAGAAAAGCTATTTTTAGGTAATTAAAATTTATACTTAATCTGAATTATTTTCTTTGTTTTCAACATTGACTGAATTAGTTTCTGTCTAGAGAACAAGCAAAGTTTTATCATAGTTTCTGTTTTTGTTATTTGGCCTACCGTATTAATCATTTCAGTATTTTAAGGAATATATACCATTTTCCGTGGCTTATTTAAGGAATTACAGATTTAGAATGTAGGCAAGCGAGAAAACTATGCCCCAGAAGAGTCACCGTGTCCCTTGGGATGAACACTGCCCTTTATATCTTTGTGTTTCTTTGAGATTTTAACATTGATTGCCCACATGATTATAATCTTTTTTGGGGGCACTGAAATTGTGAGAACTGGCTGCTTCCACACTCATGCGGCAAGATTATTTCTTAGTTTGCATTTGTCAAAATGTGCATCACAGGCAGTTATTTGTACATGTTTCGATTGGGAGTTTTGTAGCTGTGGTTCTTGTCAGTGGGGTGGCATTCCTTGTTAGGTTGGTCCAGTATTATATTGATTAGTTCTTCCTTCCACCCTCCAAGGACACTGGTTTTCTTTAGCAGAATATATCTTCAGTCAGTGTTGAACTTCCAATGTTAAATCTACTGTAGGTCCTCTCCTTTATATTGCTGAAGGGAAGATTTCAACTTACCCAGCATTCTTGTATATAACAAATTACCTTTTGTGTTCCCAAATGCCTTGTACCACCAGGATTGTTTATTTTGGTCTGGAAGTCCTGGGGACCTCTTGATCTTCCTGCTTCTCCTAGAAGCTGTGCTGTATATTTCTAGAATGCCCAATGTAGTGAATGATTTACATTTTCCATGGAGTATATAATTTAAGAGGTTGTTGTGATCTCCTTTTTCCTGATATGCTATTACAGTCAGAAAAAAGAACTCCTAGGGCTGGGCACGGTGGCTCATGCCTGTAATCCCAGCACTTTGGAAGGCTGAGGTGGGCAAATTGCTTGAGCTCAGGAGTTCAAGACCAGCCTGGGCAACATGGTAAAACCCCATCTCTACTAAAATACAAAAATATTAGCCAAGTGTGGTGGCGTGCACCTGTAGTCCCAGCTACTTGGGAGGCTGAGGCAGGAGAATTGCTTGAACCTGGGAGGCGGAGGTTGCAGTGAGCCGAGACTGTGCCACTGCACTCCAGCCTGGGGGATAAGAGCAAGACTTGATCTCAAAAAAAAAAAAAAAAACAAAACAAACAAAAAAAACTCCTATATAAGTGTTTGTACCTCTCCTCTTACCATTGTCTCATCACTAAACAGTGCCTTAGTTTACTGAGTTAAAAATAATTAAGATTCAATAAGAAGTCATTTGGCCAAGTCTGACTGGCAAGCAGACACTGGAAATAACATGCCATTTTTAAATTAAAATGCCCTACTGTTTGTAATATTTTCATTTTAAAATGTGGAAAAGGGTGACATTTGGCTGTCAGAGATAACATGTTTGACACATTTTGCATTTCTGCCTTTGTGATTTTAGTTTTGGTTATGAACCTGATTTAAAGTATCTTAGAGCATGAGTATAGGATTTATAAAGTAAAAGTTATTTCTTTCACTGTATATATTTAAGACTTGCTGCTTGGTATACTAACTCATAAAATAATTTCTATAATCTAAGTTACCAAATTTACCTCAGTTTTTTTTTCTATTCTTTGAAATATACCGTATTAAATACAATGAGGTTGCATTAAACTTTTACTGTATGTAGTACTGTGGAATAAATCCCCACACCCATATCCCTTTCTACACGCTCTCCCCTACAAAAACCAATCACAAAATACTTCGAATGGTATGGGTTCTGCAAACGTGAAGATTGCATAACATGAGGATGTGCTATGGGGCTGCTTGACTATCCCTGAAAACTGTGTCTTATCCTGACTCAGAGGAGTGTCTCCCTGCAAAGGTGACCAATCGTCCTGGTTTGCCTGGGACTGTCCCAGTTTTATCACTCAAAGTGCCATGTCCTAGGAAACTCTTCAGTTCCAGTTAACCAGAACAACGTGTCCCTGCATCCATGTTCCAGTTCATGCGCCTCCTTAAGGCCCTGATCATCCAGCCAGTGATATACATCTTAGTCACTCTGAAACATTCCATTTCCCTGTCCTTGGGATTCTTCTGCGTTTTGAATTGAGAGAAACCCATTGATACAGGAGTTGTTTGCCCCATAATTATATTAAATGAAGCTCGTTAGAGCAGTTTAAATGTGATTGCACATTAAAATCACCTGAAGCTTGCTTGTTCAATGCTTTCTTGGATTCCTTAACATACTCCAGTATCTTTCCAGTAAGTCATTTAAAGAAAAACATCTACCTTGAATTGTCTATTTTTTTGTTACAATCAGAGGAATCATAAATATTACACAAACACAGTCAATTTTGAACAAGCGAACTTCAGAAATGGCAGAAACCAATCCACTTCCAGAGGCCTCAATACCAGGAGTTTGTTTATCTTCCTTCTAGAGCAGTGGATTGGGCCTTGGCTATATCTTAGAATCACAGATAAGATGTTTTTAAAGTATGGTACCCAGACCCCATCTCAAACCAATCAAGCCAGAGTCTCTGAGGCCAAGGGATACTGAGCAGAAAGTTTGCAGAATCTCAGGTTATTTTAATGATATGTCACAAAATGAAAAATGCTAATAATCATATCAAAATGTTTTCAGCATTACTAGTAGTCAAAGCCAACTAAGCCAGCAATGAGGTACTGTTTTTATGTTTTGTTTTTCAGATAAGGAAAAGATTTTGAAAATATCTGGGTTTGGGAATAATTTTGTACAAAACAGAACTGTTGGTTTAGATCAATAAGGGGAAATGGAACAATATTTCTAGAGGACAATTGAAAACATGGATAAAATATGTGTTAATATAAATTGACACATTTTCACCTTGTGTGTGTATACACGCACATACAATTGATAAAAATTTTGCAGTTGACTCTTGAACAACGTGGGGATTAGGGGCACTGATCCCCTGTGCAGTCAAAAATCTATGTGTCACTTCTGACACCCCAAAAACTATACTACTAACAGCCTACTGTTGACTGGATGCCCTACCAATAACATCAATAGTTGATGAACACATATTTGGTATGTTATATATATCATATACTGTATTCTTACAATAAAGTAGGCTAGAGACAACCAAAAAGAGATAGTTATTCATTAAGTAGAAGTGGATCATCATAAAAGTCTTCATCCTTATCATCTTCATGTCAAGTAGGCTAAGGAGGAGGAGAAAAAGGTGGGCTTGGTCTTGCTGTCTCAGGAGTGGCAGAGGCAGAAGAAAAATCCACATGTAAGTGGACTGTGTAGTTCAAACCAGCATTGCTCAATGGTCCCTGTACTAGCTAATTGATTGGTGCTGCTACATATAGATGATTTTTATTTACCCTGTAATTCCAGCATTTCTTTAATAAATTGATTATTTTAAAAACCTGTAAAACTATATCTAAAAAAGTCAACCAACACATTTAAAAAGTTATTCTCTTTATTTGATACTCTTCTGGAGCGTTCAACCTTTACAGTTATATTACTCATTTCCCAGCAGTGTAATGTTGTTGAGAAATGGGTCATGTTTATGTAGCTGCCATCCTATGATGGAGGCTTGATAGTCTTTGCTAGACTCTAAATCCATTATTAGCAGTTGAAATATATTCATGAATTGGGAAGGAGGAAGTGTGTGAGGGAAGAACCCAACAAAATCATAAATTGTGTACTTTAAAATCCTTTGGATAAGTACAGATGAGTGCTTTGTTATAAACATTGTAGATGATCATACATTATTTATTTTGTCATTTGCTTGTTAGAATTAGTGTTATTAATATCATACCAGATAATTAGGATACAGACTCTAAACATGTTAACCCACAGAAAATCGCTTTTGGGGTTAAAAGTGAATAGTTACATTTTGGAATAGAAGGCATTATTTAAAATTTGGAAATATATTGATCACTCTTTCACTGCGTGTGTTGCCTGTATTTTAGATTAAATATGTTTATGTACATATGATTAACAGAACACAAAAAACCAGGTTTTGTGATAAACGGTTTAATAGGAAGTTGTTATAAATGTATCAATTTTGATATATAATTAAATGCTAGATTTCGGGCTAGGTGCTTTTCATACCATATAACTTAATTCTCTAATCAATCATTCAAGGAATGTAGTATGTAGCATCATTCCCATTACAGATGATGAAAATAAGAAATGTATGGTTTAGGTTGGGTGTGGTGGCTCACACCTGTAATCCCAGCACTTTGGGAGGCTGAGGTGGGTGGATCTTAGGTGTAAGATCAGGAGTTCGAGACCAGCCTGCCCAACATGGTAAAACCTGGTCTCTACTAAAAGTACAAAAATTAGCTGGGTGTGGTGGCAGCGCCTGTAATCCCAGCTACTCCAGGAGGCTGAGGCAGGAGAATCACTTGAACCTGGGAGGCAGAGGTTGCAGTGAGTAGAGGTAATTTTCCCAGTTACTATATGCAAAAGATAGGCTCAAATCCAGACCAAAATTTTTCCCAATTTAATATTTTTCCATTATTTTACAATGTTCCTCCAAGCAGTTACAGTGTACCTAAATTCAATTTTGCTTATAAGTGAAGTAACTTGTATCATCACCTTTATGTTATATTTTAAAAATATATTATTGGAATGTGAAATCTTCTAAGTCCTACAATTGTTTCATATACTTACTTAGTTCAAAAGATTCTTTCATGTAGAAAACACATTTTAGGTGACTATACATTTTCTGTATTTGTGTTAATATATTCTAGTGTAAGTAGATTTTGTGGTTATTCGTTTTGAGTTGTTTCATCATAATTTTACGATGTATACTATAGCAAGTTTATTCCAATTATGAGTAACAAAATTGGTGGGACCTCTGAAGATCTCCGTTAAGTGTGGAACATGCTGGTTCAGACTATTTAAAAACATTAAATATAATACTAAAATAAAATACAAGTGAAAATAAACTATGAAACAATAAATTACCCGCATATTATGTTTGTTTTAAATTAATGACTGTTAGTAGTACTACTATTACTATTAGTAATTACCATTAATATTATAACTAATGAGTTATTTTTTATTTTTTATTTTTTTTTGGAGGCAGAGTCTTGCTCTGTCGCCCAGGCTGGAGTGCAGTGGTGCGATCTCGGCTCACTGCAAGCTCTGCCTCCCAGGTTCATGCCATTCTCCTGCCTCAGCCTCCCGAGTAGCTGGGACTACAGGTACCCGCCACCATGCCTGGCTTATTTTTTTGTATTTTTTAGTGGAGATGGGGTTTCACTGTGTGAGCTAGGATGGTCTAGATCTGTTCTGTTTTACTAGAACCTGAATTTCCAAAAAATTCTCTGGAAAATTTTGATCCAGTCTGTATTATGTTTATTTAAAATCCCTAAGCTGTTAAATGAGTAAATAAGTTTGGAAAGTGCTGGATTAAGTGAAATTAGATCAAGTATTTGGTGTAGGACTTCACAAAATTTTTAAATGGCTGACATAGTTTGTAAATCTCCAAAAGGAACTATAGTATGCATCATTTCTCAAATGTATTTGACCACAAAATCCTTTTTAAAGGAAACATACCATGGAGACCGCGTCCTGTGAAGCACTCTTTGAGAAACAGTTTATGATATTGGACGTATATGATTAGAGTGAAAATAATGAAAACGACTTTATTTTTGGCATTAAGAATGCACCCTCAGATGACAGTACTATCCCCAAATGGGGAAATACTTCTTAGCAATAACATTATACATAACAAACATAGTATGTTTGTCCCTATTGGTTTACTATCTCAATATAAATTTGAATATAAAGGCAATTAGAATGATAAATGTATTAGCATGTGTAAAATGGCCATAGATAAGCAAAACAAAATACATCTAATATGATCCTTCAGTCTATATTGGGTTAACATATATCTCACTAAAGGTGAGTGTCTAATAACATCTTTAACAGCAACAGGTATGTTCTTATCAAAACTCAGCATCAAAAGTGACAAGTACAAAAGATTTTCAGAGCAGTGAAAATGCTCTGTATGATACCATAATGGTGGGTATGTGTCATACATTTGCCAAAATTTATGGAATCTATAACACCAAGAGTGAACCCTAATGTAAACTATGGACCCCAGGCGATAATGATGTGTCAACGGAGGTTCAACAATTGTAACAAATGTACCTCTCTGGTGGGGATGTTGATAGCAGAAGAGCTGTTTACATTGTGGGGGTAGCTGGTATATGGGAAATCTCTGTACCTTTCTCTAAGAATTCTAAAAAATAAAGTCAACTTCTTTTTAAAAAAAGCGTAACATATACACTTCAAAAACATGTATATCTTATTCCTTTATCTTGTAATGGAGGCATAAGGTGAATGAAGATGAAAGAACAGTGTAGGTGGGGATTTTAATGGTTTTATAGAAACTTTATGCTCCAGCACATTTCACATAAAAATAAATCAATAAAAAGTTTTGCACATGGGTGGACAATCACAACACTATTAATACTAGGTGTTTAGGTATCTAAATGGCCCAAAGTTCAGGTGTATTTCATTTTTCATATAGCTATCACCTACCGGTAGGAAAATCAGTTTTTGTTTCAGAGAGGAGCAAACGTGGAAATAAACACACCTTAGAATATTATTGACACTCAAACTTGACATTACTTGAAATTAGATTTATTTTAATGAATTCACAGCTTTTATTTAAAAATACAAGTTTTTTTTTGTAGCTCTTGAGTTATAGAAATGGTAACTTGGAGACTATGATAATGAATTTATAATGAAAGATCATTTAAGGAAGACTGTGGACAAAGTACATGTAATCTGGAAAAGGATTTTACATTCTACCTGATTTAGTCATTTCACATTCTGTGTCTTGCATATAAATGTTCGCATCTTGGGGATGTGTGGCCATCTGTTTTTAGTTAATTTCAAGATATAAGGCATTTGGTTTCCTGAGGATTTATTATTTTCTAGTACTAAACTCAGGAAAATTACTAAATGATGAGGCATAATAAGAAGAAAACAACAAGAAAAAAAAAACCCAGATTATCCCAAACCTTCCTAACTCAGCTGCACAAGTCTGTCAGCTTAAGCCTTCTTAACACCTATGATATTGATGGAGAGAGGTCAATGGAGAGGCCAATGTAGTGGAGTGCAGTGGACAAAGAGGAAAGTGGTATCAAATCGATTATCCTCCCTGCCCCTTATCCCAAGGACAGCGCCCCTGTGACATGAGGATCCTTTTTTGGGGTGACTTTGGCTAGTGATGCGTGTGATGATAAGAACCTGTCTATGATTTTGGCTTACTGCCACTGGTGCCTCACCTCAGAAGCTTGCCTGAGACCTGACTTCACTTTTACTGAAGTATCATGCAAAAAGCAATAGGTACATTTCAGTAACCCTCTTGTCAGTAACCCTCTTCTGAGACTCTTATTACTTTTATGTACATTTGCCTTCAATAGCAGGCTTTTCACTGGCTTATTTCTTCCTAGAATATTGTTACTTCTTTACTTGAATTATGACATCAGTATCTGATGCTTAAATCATGTCAGCTCAAGCATTTCTATATGATTCTTGGTAAAGCAAAGTTCAGCATAATTTTAAGGAAGAATTTTTTTAATCTGTTAACAGCTTGCTAAAGAAAGATTAAGTTTTTAAAAAAGCAGTACTGTCAACGATTAGCCATCTTAAGTTTTTATCTCATTATCATCGAAGACAAGAACACCATAGTAAAAGTTTTAGGGACATGCTCTATGCAATAAGGAAAACTAATTAGTAATAAGTTTAGGAATATTAATTGATAATCACAGATTTGTAGGAAATTGTTAAATTTCCTAGTATTAACTGGCTGCTTAATTTGGTGTCTTGAAACGATGACACCTTCAAATGCTAATACTTCGTTGGGCTGTGGAGAGGATCAGATGTGCTTACTCTCTGACTTAGTGGTTCTCAGGGGAAGTCCTATTGGCATTTGGGTGCAAATAGGACTTGCACCCAAGTAAAATGTTTTTGGTGAAATGTCTAGTTATTGTAGGATGTTTAATCCACTACTTGCAATTATCTCTCTCCAGGCATTCTGACAGTCAGAAACCCACTCCTTTTCACACATTTCCTGATGACCCTTAGGAGACACCTTGCCACTACAGATGAGAAACTTTGCTCTCGGAGGGTTACATTGACCTAATTCATAAGATAATCTACTGTGAAAAAGTGTTGTACAAACTGGCAAATATTTGGTGAATCAGAACCCATCATTGTCAGTCCTTTTGAATGAGAATTAACTATAATTTGTTTCAGAGTGCCAGTAATTTTTATATCTTGTTGTCCTAATGAAGACCAAAGCAATTTCCTTCTCCACAGGTTCCCTTTATCACCCCACTGAAAGTCATGTCAACCTAAGGAAGGTTGCTGGGAGTTTTTTAGATGTTTTCAATGTAAAAATTTCCAGAACATCTGCTAGAGAAATTTCACTTCTTCAATATATATGAGAAGGAAATTGACTTATTCTTTCATGAATGTATTTTAGTATGAAAATCACGAATATTATACATGAGTTTAATTTATTTACTTAAGACCAAAATTTTAATAGGCAGATTAAATCTAAGTAAAAGGTTAAGATCGCATATTATCTTTAAAAAAACAAAAAGGAAAAAGTTAAGTGCAGTAGAAAACATGAGTGGTAAGCCTACTACTGATTAGAAATAAGTACCCGGGGTGACCTGGACTTTATCACCACCTCACCAGGCCTCAGTTTTTTCATGTATCAAATGAGGACTTTCCACGTTATTAAGTAGGTCTAAAATATAATCTTTCTGTAACATCCAGTTTATCTCTACAAAAACAAGTAAATAGCAGAAGCAGCATCTAAATTGGAAATAAGTATCTCCAAAATCATGTTTCAGTAGTCAAAGGAGATATGATTCAGGAGAAATGGACAACTGAATCTTGTTTTTAATCATACAACAACTAAATTAAGGAAAGGCTAGTTTACAGAATGTTAACTTCTTGTGAAATTCTGGGCAAGGTAGCAATGTCATCATTTTTATTTTGGAGTCAGATATCTTGGGAAAGTTACATATGATCATGTGGATTACTGGAGCTCTACTCAGTTCTTTTTTATGGGTTGAATTATGATACACTGTACTGAAAGTCACATGGAGTCCAGATGTGATTTAATACCACAGGCTGCCAAAATCATGCTAGGAGTCCATTTAGTTTCTTGTCAGTTGTGTCTGAAGGGCAACTTAATTCAAAATGGGAGACAAGTGAGATATTATGTGAACTGTTATCTTTTTTGTTCCCCCAGAAGAATGAATTAGTAGTTCTTATCCCAGGAAAGGCTGAGAGTATTCAGCACCTGCCAACAGTGCATTTATGCTCATTCTCTCCATTTCAGTTCTTCTGATGTGGCTAATGAATTCCAGGGATGAAGGACTTTTTCAGTGTTTGACCTAATGTATGTAAAGTTCCAAAAAAGCAATGCTGACATTAATCTGTTTACTTCATTCATTCTCTATGCCTATAGAGATCCAACTTTACACCAGCCTCTGTGTTAGGAGATTTAAAAAAATAGTGAGCTGGACTGCCCACAAGGGTTGTATGGTATACAGAGAGAAACACACATTCAAACAAATAATTGCAATTAAGTTTAATTGTATGATAAAGGACGGTTCAGTAGGAGAATGGAAAATAGAATATCCATTAGAAATATCTAATATCTACTATATTTCCTGCAAGAAAATTTCATTTTGTAAGAAAATATTTTATAGAGAAGATATTAATAGTTAAGCCTCCCTGGAAAATTGGAGGATATGCTGAAGTTCAATTCCACGGACAAGGAGCAGGAGAGTAGAGAGAGCATTTTGTTACTGAAACACCAGGGGTTTAGTCATCAAGCTTGTCCAATCTGTGGCCCACAGGCCTCAGGTGGCCCAGGACGGCTTTGAATGCAGCCCAACACAAATTCATAAATTTTCTTAAAACATTATGAGATTTATTTGCAATTTTTTTTTCTCATCAGTTATCGTTAGTGTATTTTATGTGTGGCCCAAGACAATTCTTCTTCCGATGTGGCCCAGGGTAGCCAAAAGATTGGACACCTTGGTCTACATCCTTGTTGCTCACTACACAGAAGGCCAATCACTGAGACAACACATATTGCCAAGGAAAAAAAAGCTTTATTTGAGTGATGTTGGCAGAGGAGATGGGAACTAAGTCTCAAATTTGTCTCCCCAGCCAACTAAAATTGGGGATTTATATAGCAGGGAAGGAATGAGCCTAAGTGCAGGGAAAACAGGAATTAGGGAGAAGTAAGGAAGAGAAGTTGGTCAGCAGGAAGCAGTTGGTCGTTTAGGAAAGCAGGAATTAGGGAGGGATCTGGCGTCCCATTGTCTGGATGTGGTGATCTGGTGAGTTTCAGTTCTTTGATACTGTCTGGGAGGCCTGATGGTTAGTTTCCTGAGAAAAGAACTCAGGCAGGACAAATGTAAATTTCAAGCCTTAACAACAGGAAGGATTAACTTTTATGCTTATTCAAAAAGACTGTAAACCTCAGTTCTATGGGGAAATTAAACCTGTTTCAATTTTAGGTATAGGAGCCACAGGGTGAAGGCATGGAGGGTGGAGCGCCTGGTAGTGAGTCACTAGAAATGTTTAGGGGGGATTGTAGCTTTGTTGCAACTGGGGAAGTTGAGGTGGAGCATGCCCCAAAAGTCACTCTATGAATATTTTGCATTTCTTGCTTAGAAGGTGAGATTCAATCATATTTGCTTCCCAGTACTGAGTTTAGCTAGCCTTGGGGTTAAATGCAAACTCATCATTGGATTCCTGAGGTTGCTGGATACCAGAACATTATCTTCTTTAAACAGCAATTAAGCTCAATCTTAAGCAATTTGTAAAATGTATTATTTGACATAAATATAGAGTAAGAGCCAGAAAATAAATTTACCATGAAGTTTAGAGATTAAACAGGAGACTGCAATAACATTTCTCTAATAAAAGGGAAAGTCAAAACTTCATGTCCAGAGCCCCAAGCCTTTGCTTTGGCTCTCCTTGGCCAGCAGGGCTCCGTCAGCACAGGAGTTTGTGAAGCTCTTATGGACAGTGATGTGTTACTGTAGTCTGGCTTTCAAAAACAAATATGAAAATGAATGGAGCTATTAGTCACAATGAACTGGAGTTTAGCTTTTCTCTTGCAACAATAAGAAGTATTTCCAGCAAAATACTTACACTTTCTTATTGATATTGAAAGCCTCATCCGTTGTCGTACTTTCTGTGTATTATAATACTTATCAGGCTTAGAGAGTGGAATAAAAGGATCCTTTGTCACGTGAGAAAGTCCAGTAGAGTTTCACATTAGTCTTCAGGACTTGAGAATTAAGTCAGTCCTGAAGGCAGCCACATGCTTCCGTACAGATTTTCCAGTCAGTATAAGTTGATGACTAATATCTAGGCAGTTTTGTCACACTGAAAAATGACATATTTTATCATATTACAACACTATTATAAAGTGGCCAGTGGTTAAATAAAACGCCATCTTAATGTGAAACCAAGAGAGAGATGTGACAATAATGATTATTTTCCCTTGAGTTTCTCTTATTCATGGCTCACGTGGACTTTATTTAATTTTTAAGGGAGTGATTGATGATAATTTTTTATTTAAAAACGATTACTTCACAGGAATTCAGTAACAAATGTCACATTCAGAAAAAATTGAGTTCAATATTACTTAGCTTAATTGAAAATACAACTCAAAGTGGAACATAAACTCATTTAACTCAGTATTGTTTCAACAAACCAACGAGGGAAAAACATTTCAGTTTTAAAAAATCAAGTGTTTATAGTTCCAGTCAATTTAAGAAAAGCCAAAAAGCCTTTGTTTTTTTCTAAAGAGAAAAAGTGTGGTTGGCTGGCACAATAAGGATGTTAACAAAATTCTGCTTTCTGTTCCTACTTCAGACATTTGAAATCTCTTTGACTCTGGCAAAGTTGCTTCATTTCTCAATCTTATTTCTCCAGTTGTGCAAAGGATATAAAAACTTATATTTTTAGTCTACAATCAAATGAGACGTGTATAGACTATGCCGCTTTATGCAAATGTAAGGTAGCATTATTCTGTAGGTTAGTGACTATAAACAGTCTCTTGCAGATTATGGTAATTTTCTGTTCTTTTCATGGAATTTATGTGACCAGTTTTGTGCAGGCAAGCTTTCCATGATTTAGATAGATTCTTTCATGTGTTGAAATTAAATTTTCATATTTTTGAGATTTTCTTATTGCCTTTTCATGATGTTGTGGTTGCCGTGTTTTCACAATTCAGAAATTTACTATCATAAGATAAAAATAAAAGTAATACAAGTGTATTGCCACATTTCTTCCAAATTAAAAAATATGGAAGAGAAAGAAAGAGCAGTCATGTTATTACCATCCAAATACGATGGCTATTAGTAGCTTGTATTTCCTGCCAGTCTTTCTTTCTATGTATTGTAATGTATAACAATGTATATTCATATAATTATTAATGTAATTTTATATCAGAAGGATATTTTTAGGTAGCACTACCTTCTCACTTCCCTCCCCATCATCTAAATCAGAGGTCAGCAAATTCTTTCTACAAAGGACCATGGCTTGCAGGCCATAACATTTCTATCACATCTACTCAACTCTGCTAATGTAGCAGCCATAGACCATATGTAGATGAAGAAGTGTTGCCATGTTCCTATAAAAGTTTATTTACAAACACAGGCTGCATATCGGATTTGACTCATGGGTCCACAGTTTGCTAACCCCCATCTAAATTATTATGTTATTAAATTATTTAACCATTAAATAATTGTATTTCTCTACAGTGGTTTTATATTTCTTTCTGTCTCAATTAGGATTTGTCTTAAATCCTATTTAATTTTATTTCCCCTATAGTAACTCTCCAAGAACATGGCTGGAGTACAGTACTTATAGACACCATGCTATAAACTAGATCACTGGAAGCTATTCATCTCAAAGTGGAAAGTTTGCATCCTTTGGTGCTTTTTCCATTTCTCCCATTTTCCCCACTCCCCAACCCCTGACAACCACAGTTGCTCTGCTTCTGTAAGTTTGACTTTTTTCAATTTCACATGTAAGTGAGATCATACAGGATTTGTCTTTCTGTGTATGTGTTATTTTGCTTAGTATAATGTTCTCTAGGTTTATCTATGTTGCTGTAAATGATAAGATTTCCTTCTTTTTTAAGATTCAATAATATTCCATTGTATACATTCATCACATTTTCTTTACCCATTCATTCTTTGATGGACACTTAGGTAGATTCCATTTCTTGGCTATTGTGAATAGTGCTGCAGTGAACATGGGAGTGCAGACATATCTTTGAGTGATTTTATTAGCCAAAGGAAATAATTCTCTTTTTAATTTTTTGATGAAGTTAAAAATTAACAATAATCTTCTTTTTCATTTTTTAAAGAACCTCCATATTATTTTCCCAAAATACCTATACTGATTTACATTCCCACCAACAATGTACAAGGGCAGTATTTTCTCTACATCCTCACCAATATTTGTTATCTTTTGATTTTTTGATAGTAGCTATCCTAACAAGTGTGAGATGATATCTTCCTGTGGTTTTAATTTGCATTTCTCTGATGATTAGTGATATTAAGCACCTTCTCATATACCTGTTGCACATTTGTAGGTCTTCTTTGGAAAAGCACAGGCAACAAAAGCAAAAATTATAAAGTAAAATGACATCAAACTAAAAAGTTTCTGCACAACAAAGGAAACAATCAATAAAATAAACAGGCACAGGAGAAAATAAGTAAAAATGATATATCTGATAAGGGGCTAATATCCAAAATATACGAAGAACTCATACAACTCAATAGCCAAAAAACAAAAACAAATGACCTGATTAAAATATGGACAAAGGACATCAATACACTTTTTTTTCAAAGTAAGCATACAAATGTCTAAGTTATTTACTTTAACCTATTTTTCACGTGAGGCATAGTTTTCTTTTTGTTTTCAGAAATGTGCTGAATCCTCTGAGGCCTTGAATACCTTATTTTACCTTATCACTTAGATAATTTAACTTTATATAATTCTAGGCTTGACGATTTTATCCCTCAGCACTTTGAATATAAATATATTAATTTAATGTCTCGTTATCTCTCAAGTTGCTTTTAAAAACTGATTTCAATCTAATTTAGTCCTTTGTAGGTGATCTGGTCTCAGTCTCTGGAAGGTTTCAGAATTTTCTGTTCACCCTTGTTTTTTAACATTCTGTGAAATAAACTTAGTTGTAGTTTCCTGTTAATTTTTTCATTCATTTAGTGGCAGTCTATGAGCACTTTTAATTGGATAATAATTTATCACAAATTTGAGAAAATCTTATTTGCTAGTTTAGTAAATATGTCCTTCTTTCCATTTTTTTTAAAATTTGGGCATTCCTATTGCATAAATATACTTCTCCTTCTATATTCTGTATATATTCATTTTGATTTTAGAAATCCTGTCCTTCTATTTTTTCTGAGTGCCTTTTGAAGAGTTACTTTACTTGATGTTTTAGCTTTCTAACAGTTTTCTCTGCCTTTGATCATTCTGTTATTGAAACCACTATTGAGTTCTTTATTTCAATGATTTCATTTTTCATCCTCAGTATCTTCAATTGCTTCTTCCAGCCGATGACCCATTTCTGTGTCTGGAATGCAATGTCTTCCCTTATTTACTTGAGCACATTTATTATGCTTATTTTAAATTTTCTTCTGTCTAGCATAGTAAATCTTTTTCATTATGCTTTTAAAAAATATTCTATTTTTAAAATAACAGTTGAGTATAAATGGTCCAGCAGTTTTCTTCATGAGATTATTTTCCCCAGGGGATAGTAAAGTGTTCTTGGGGAAAATACTGGAAAAATACTAGATTGTATCTCTCCTGAAAATTTTCAGAAGGGGAACATGCTTCAGGGAGGAGACTTTTTTGTACTGCAGTTCACTCTTATTTTCCTCTCCTGGCAATACAATCTTGCTCTAGGAAATTTTACTAAACTTCCAACTCAGTCAGTGCCCTTTGCCAAATACTGAGTCTGTGGGTTGTAATCCTCTAGTCCTCAAGGTATGTAGGTCAGAGGAGGACATGCTCAGGGGCTACAGTGGGCCTACATGTGTTTCTATCTACCTGTTCCCTGACCTGGGCCACATTATTGCTCTCAAGTTATGCTGTAGTTTCCGGCTGGTGTTAGGCTGATATGACAGTGGATCTTATTTTATTTTATTATGTTATTTTTATTATGTATTTTATTTTATTTTATTTTTATATCCTACAGAGGCAATGGAGTGGGCAACAGTGTACCTAAAGTAATGCCAAGGGAACAATGAAAGAATAACTAGAAAACTGTTATGTGGTCTATCCACACCTGTGGCTCCTAGCCTTCTCTCACTTGTGTTCCATTCCTGCCCTTGGAATATGTGCCAGAACCTGGTTCCTTCTATTTTCCTCAGTAAAATAGGTTATCAAGATTCCTATGATAGTTTCTCATGCCCATCAGTCCCCTGACTTCTGTGACTTCTCCAGTATTGCATTAGGGTGGAGGAGGCACCTAATGCCAAGGTAGTTCACCATCTCGTCATGGGCAGAAATGCAATCGTTTCTTTAAGAAGAGTTTATGGAAACTATGGCTCTGAATTTGGACAAGCTGAACATGCTCATCTATTTTATGCTTGAGTGATATTTTGGCTGGGTATATAACTTTAGGACCACAGTTTCCTTCCTTGATGCTTTATAAGTGTAGCTCAACTGCTGGAGGACTTTCTGACAACTGATTATTTTCCCTTTTAAAGTGCCTTGGTTTCTCTGCTTTGATTTTCAAGATTGTTTCTTTATATATAAAGTACACTAGTTTAATGGTTTTGCTATTAGGCCTGGTCATTAATTGTATAATATCATTTTTTTCCCCTGAAATATCAAATGCTTCTTGAAACTGTAGATTCAATCATTTTTAATTTCTGAAGGTTTTTTGAATTAAAAATGAAAGGCTTTTCTGTTTTATTTTTTCCTTCTCTTACCTTTTTCAGGCACCAATTATGCCTGAGTTGAATCACCTTTGTCTATACTGCATACATGCCATTTCCTTTAGAAATGCTTTGATGGCTTGCTCACTTCTGTCAAGTTCTTCTTCTGTGTCCTTCTTAGTCTTCATTTTGCTCTTCCAATGGGGACTTTATTTTGTGACAGTTTTATTATTTGCATCTTGTCTCAAGTTCTGCCAACTCATTTTTCATCCTTTAATCTAATGTCGCCCTATTTCTTTGTTCAAGCCTTTTATCTCTGCATTCATCTCTTATTTCATGGATTTGGTATTTCCTTTAATTTTGTTTGAGTTCTTGGAAATGGCTTAAGTCGTGAACTTTAATCTGCCCTGTAGAAACATGTTTTGAGAGGTGTTCTTCACCATTTGTTTTCTCTGTTTCTTTCTAGCTTTTTGAAGGGACTTTTAAAAATATATATGCTGCACTTGTTTTCTGATTATGACTTATTTTTGAACATGGAAGGATAGTTTGTCCTTGCATTTCTGCCATCTTGAGGTAGTCAAATGAGTTTTTAGATATTACCTTAGCCACTCCTGTTAACTTAGTCTTTTGTTCTGATTAAGAGAACATTGTTTTGGCCCTTCATGTGTGCCACACAGCTAAAGAAATCTGTGCCCCAACACTCTTTCTGGGATTAAAGTTCTGGGCACCTTCACTTTGTTTCATTTTCATCTCTGTCTCTATTTGACTGATACCCAAAGTCTTTTATCATGTATTTCAAGGTTTCAAGGTTACAGTGAGAATAAACTGCCATCTTAAAATGGGAATATATCTATTTATTTTGCAAAACAACTTAACTCCCTTTCTTCCTGTCTCATGGAAACACCATGTTCTAGATATTTTCCTAAAAAAAAAAAAAAAGCCACCTACCAAGATCTCTACCCTTAACCAAAATGGAATTGTCAGAGGCTTTGCAAGTATGACTCTTCTCAACCTTTTCCAAATTAAATTCTTAGGCAGGTCTCCATCTCTCACATATGTCTATTGTCCCGCACTTGGTAAAAAGAGAAAAAAACATGATCTTATTGTTCTTACATTGTTCAAGTATTCCCAGGGTTATTTCTTTCCCTTTTCTTTTCTCATTACACAGATAAATCAAGTCAGATTCATTTAATCAGTGGATTATAAGCCTCACTTTCTCTAACTTCACTGTCAATAATGTTCTTGATCAGTAATTTGATCATCTCAAGACTTGAGGGAAATAAGAAAGCAGCTCTTCTCCATGAAACTATTGGTTGAAAATCCTTCAAATACTAGATAAACCCACTAATTCAGAAGAAGGGTAACTTCATTATGATATAGAGGACTCATAGAGTAAATTTATGATGTTTATTTGCTGCCTCTGAGAAATGATGATGAGATTTTCGGATGTATTCTTGCTGATATACAGCCCACATTGTGAGAACCATGTGCTGTTGTGCCCCTTCTCCCTAAATCACTATCAATATGAGGCCCAAACGTTCAAAACATGATCCAAAATTTATTTTCCATCATGCCAAATCAAGTGATACCTTTGCCTTATGTTTAATACAGTTTTTAAATTTTTCATTAGGCTAAATATTGAGAACTCATAGACACAAAGAAGGAAACAACAAAGAAGGGGCCTACTTGAGGGTAGAGGTTTGCGGGAGAGAGAGGAGCAGAAAAAATAACTATTGAGTACTGGGCTTACTACTTGGGTGATGAAATAATCTGTACAACGAACCTTAGTGACACAAATTTATCTGTGTAACAAACCTGCACATGTACCATTGAACCTAAAATAAAAGTTTAAAAAAAAATTTTCATTACGCTCTAAGTTAAAGGTAAAATTGTTTTTATACCCATTTCCTACAAGGGAAAGAAATGCTTTCTGTATCACCATCAAGACTACATAGGAAAGCCGGGTGCGGTGGCTCACGCCTGTAATCCCAGCACTTTGGGAGGCCGAGGCGGGTGGATCATGAGGTCAGGAGATTGAGACCATCCTGGCCAACGTGGTGAAACCCCATCTCTACTAAAAATACAAATAAAAAAAATTAGCCGGCCGTGGTGGCGGGCACCTGTAGTCCCAGCTACTCAGGAGGTTGAGGCAGGAGAATGGCGTGAACCTGGGAGGCGGAGCTTGCAGTGAGCCGAGATGGTGCCACTGCACTCCAGCCTGGGAGACAGAGTGAGACTCCATTTCAAATAAATAAATAAATAAATAAATAAATAAAAGAGTACACAGGAAATAGGGAATGCTGTTCATTATATTACTTGTTTGGACAAGGGCATTGTTACTATGGAGATCACTGGCATTGTATCAGCATCCACGATCCTTCTGTTTAATGCCAGTCTCCTACTTTGAGTTAAATAGAAGAAATGTCCCAAGGCGTGGAGCCTGCAGTATCTGATAGACAATGCTGATAAACATACAACAAAATCATAAACAGAATATTAATTTCAAAAGTGTTAAAATAGCTCAAAGACAATCAAAAGGATTAAGACTTCTAGGGTCAGATTCATAAGAATTGCATAGTTAGACTGGGTTAGCCCCAGGGGAATTCATTGTTTCTCGTTTGCTTAGATATATCTATGTCCAATGAATCATTCAGGAAATATTTATTGGGCACCTACTGTCTGAGATGTAGCAATGCTGGAGGCAGAGTGACAGAAATAAGATAAATCAGGCATGGATTCCTTGCTCTAGCAATTTACAGTGTAAGAGAGCAAAGACTCTACATAACATAAAACAGAAAGTAGAAGACTGTGAGTGCTATTGGAAAAACTTACGTATAATAACCTGGCCCTCCATGTATTCTTGTGCTCTGTTTTTCCATATCATCAACTCAGTATGAAGTTTAGCCCTTTCTATGAATTCCACATCAGATATGCAATGAACAACAACAACAAAATAACGAAAATACTCCCAGTTTGGGTATTTTGCATATGGTTTGAAGGTTTGTTGGAGATGAAGAATGGATCACATCACGTAAGCAAACGGAACCTTAAATTTCATGTTAGAATTCCAGTTCTTAAAATTTGTTTGGCCATCCCACTATCTTGATACTCATCTAGTCTTTGTATACAAGTACCATTTTCATCAAGAAGTGGTATGCTTTCAGGATTATGCTCTCTATATTCTGTCAACAGCCTGAAGATGAGTGTAATCTCTGGATCTCTAATAAGAAAAAAAATATGTTTTGGGTAAATAGGGAGATTTTATTCTTTCATTATTTTGCATAGCATCCACCAATGCTTAGAGTATACTATTTATGAGGTGTGAGACATACATAGGGTATTGCTTTTCCATGGGGATCCAATTACTTCTGTGTGGACCCTTTATGCGGAACAGGTAACCTGACAACATTTATTCTTAGAAGGAAAATTGGTCATATGAAAAATGGCCCATGCAACAAGTCTAAGAATCTCAGGATATTAGACCTTAAATGATCATAGAGATTCTGAGCTTAACCTCCCTACGTTACAGCTGAGAAACTGAGACACAGAAAGGTCTGTCCAAGGACACCTGCCTATCTTATGAGATCAAGCAATTTATAACCTTCTCTTATAGCTCCTAAGATTTACATGCCATAGAGTGGTGGTGTGAAATCATAATATAGGGTTTGTAGGACAGGATTTCACCCTTGAGAATTGTTTTTAAGACTCTCAGAATTTATGTGATTATTGCATCTCCCCAGATTGATCATTTCTGACACTTTATAGTTGCAAGTTAATGCACAACCCAAATCCAAACAGTTTCCATAAGACAGCAAATATCAATTTGCAAGACAGTATAGAATTCGATTTTAATTTAAAAATTGAAATGAAAACCCTGCTCAGAATTAAGGTCTGTCCTCTTCTAAATTTTCTTAGAACTTACTTGTATCTTAATATTGCTGTTATATCTTTAGGACTTATATTATTATTCATGCATTATATTTTCTTAACTATCAGAACTCTCAAAGTAGAGATGATCATATTGACACATCCCTCCTGGTTTAGCCCAGTGCTTTCACATAGATGTTTGCTCAGTAAGTGTCCACTGCCTTAATGGCTAAATGAAAGGGACTTCTACTTGCTGAATTTTAATTTACTGCTTGCTCTTCCCCTTAAAAAAGATGTATTGTAATAAAGGTAAAACAGAGCAAAGACCTACATCATATGTGAATAACTAGCTTCTCTGGCTGATTGAAATTAGCTTTTGGCACAATGATATATCTAATAATAAGTGAGACTGATTTTTCTATTCATAGCTATGAAACATTTTATTCTTTCCCCTGGTCAAAATGTTTTACTTTTATGATATTTCTTTATTTCAAAGCATTAAATGTACAATGACTTATTATGTGGTTTCCTGGCCTTTTTCTTACATGATACTGTTTCTTTTTTAGACCTGACTTGCAATATGGATTTATTTTGGCAGTCACATCGTGTATTAGTGATGAAGATGATTGTAGGACTTCGTATTTTTTCATACCCCATCGTTATTGCTAATTACTGACTACAAATTATTTGAAAGGATTTTTCATACACTATCTCCCGATTCATCCTTTGGACCACTTTCTACTGTATATGAGGCTGGTAACATCAAACTCATTTTATTAAGATCATCAGGTTTCACTCAAGCATGAATATATTTTAAAAGTGTTATTCCACATTGAGCTTTTGCTTACTTTCATTTTTAATGGAAAAAGCTTAAGGCCCTTTGGGTCAAACACATTTACAATCAATAGCACAAAAAATCATTAAAAAATAAAACAATCCATTATTGATGAAGCTGGATGATGGCATCATCCCATGTTAACATTTATAAGTTCCAACAGTTAATAATAAATCTATAGTGTGGGGAACATAAAATATTTAAAACATGAATAATTGATTTGCTAGAGCATCATTCATTAAGGTTAGAAGTAATTCACCAATATGGAAATGAGCAGATAGAAGCAATATTTTAATTTATTATTGAGAAATTACCATTTGGCTAAAGAATAGGAATGATCCAGAGAGAATAATAGAAAAGTTATTAATCTCAACTAATTTATTCAAAAGAAATATGTAGATTACAAACAAATGTTTTCTTTGCAGGCTGAAGCTTCATTTCTGTTATTAACCACACTTCCGGAGTCTTTTGGGGTGACATATTGCTGTATGGATTAAAATTAGCATAATAGAAATCTACAGTACAAGTAGTAGGTGAGAATGTCTTTATAATCCCCCAAATCACAGTGCAATGATATTTCTTCTTGTAAACTTTTGGGAGTAGCATAAGCTGCCCAAAATTGGCTTTCTATTTTTGGGAAACTACGAACTTTATTTCTAGGAGGGAAGACTATATTTCCCACTACAAAGAAGCCAAAAATGTGTGCAAATGGGAGGAATAGATACATCCTTTTCTTGGCTCTTGACATAGACACAGCTCCTGCCCAGGACTCTGAAGTTAGAAGAAATGATACGAGGTGCAGTGTTAGAGACTTTTTCTGGTGCTGTGTTAAGTTGGGAACCAGGTGGTAGAGCCTTTAGAAGCCAGACTCAACCTCTTTTCTGCAGCAGCCTCCGGGCTAGGTTGGACTCTCCTGTATTCTTTCTCAACCCTAATTTTTTTAACCCTTGCCAAAAATTCTTACCACAATTTCTGACTCAATGACCTACAATTTCTGACTCAATGACTCTCCTCCTACTTTATTTTGATGCTTTGTGACAATATACATAATTCTCCTAAAATATTTTTATTTTACTCATAAAAATATGTACTAAATATTAAAAATAATTTGATATATTGAGAATATAAATATCCATATACTCATTAACCTTCCTTTCTCTTACTCTTTTTCCTTGTAGTATTGATGCATTTGATGTCTCAGTACTACGTTTTCTTCATCTATAAAGTAGAGAATAAGAATTGTCCCTATTTTATAAGATGGCTTTGAGGATTAAATGAGATAATGGGAAAAGGGCTTAGTTATGTGCCATGCTTCATAGTAGACACTTAAGGAATGTTGGCCATTATTTGTATCAATACATACAGTTGGTATCAATTAGATTCCTGCTGAGGTCACTGGGCTAGACCAAATGACCCTTTGTGGCTTCCTTCATTGATTTTGTAAAAGGCTATTTATTTCTCTGTGGCAGCAATAGATTTGGATTCCTGTACAGGATGAGGATGTGGTTCTCAAATTAGCACTACACTTTCAATACATAATAAGATGTCATTAGAAATGTAGTAAATACAGATCACAGGGTAATTTTAGAAATACCCAATCAACGTTCTAGGGCAGAGTTTAGGAAATTTTATGGTTGAGTTTATAATTATATTTCAGTGGATTTGAAATAAACAACCTCTTTGTGACTGGTTTGGGTGGCTTGGCCAAGGTTTCACTTTTTCTGAGGTAGGAGATTGAGTCTGGGAAATGATTGAAGATTCTCTCTGCCTTCCTGAAGTCATGGAGCCATAGGTTCACAGAAGACCAACATTCCCACAGTATTGGGAAGAAAGTTAGATTGTTTCTTTACAGCAGTCACTGTTGAACTCTTTCCTGAGTGCACTCAATATTATTAATAATATCTGCATTATGCTGTTAGTAAAGATGAACATACCAATTAGGCTTATGTAGAAATTAGTATTTTTTGCCTAAAGTACTTTGCATGTTTCAATTAACTCTGTATATCCATGACTAGTAGGAGGGAGTGTTAACTGTTTCTAAGTGGAAGAAATGAGGCATACAAATATTAAGTGATTTCTCCATGTGAGATAATTTTAGAGTAAAGCTGGGAATGAAATATTGGTTTCCTGAAACGAAGCTTAAAGTGTGAGTACATAGTTGTTCTTTGATGAAAAGTGGTCATTTTTCGGTTTAACTTTCGATGGAAACATCTTTTTTTAAAGCTTTGATTTCTGAAGAGCTAATTTTAACTGATGGAATGGTATCATTCTTTTAACTTGAAAACAAGGTCTTTTAACCAAAACCACTTACTTTCATCATCCGTATTCTTCCCTTCCCACCAGGCTTTCTTCCTTCATTCTTATTTTTATTCACTTACGTGTCCCACAGTTTTTGCATGTCCATATATCTACTGTGTGTCATGCACTCTGTTAGTTTCTGGGAATGTCAAGATAAGGAAGGCATCATTATCACCTAAAAATGTCTCAGTTCAATGCAGAGGATGGACAAGTGAATAGATGATTATAATTTAACAATCAATTATTTTATGCCCACCCCATTAACTGCTAAATTATAATCATCTACAAGCTCCAAGAGAGCAGAGACCATCTGGTTTCTAGCTCAATGCCTGGCATACAATAAATACTTAATAAATATTTGTAGAATGGATGAAGTAGAGAAACAAGAGGAGGGACAGCACATCGGAATGGATGGCTAATTTTGTAGTGCCAACTTCCACAAAATTTACCAGAAGATCCCACTGCATGTTGTATTCTGTAATTCTCACAACACATTTCATCCTAATAGGTGGAAATATTTAGTACTTTGTTTCCTCATTGGAAATATGATTTTTATATGCTAGCAAGAGATGTGGGTAAGAAAAAAAGAGTAGTCTCAAGCTCAAGAATACGTGTTTTGTTTTTCAGGTTTATGGTAATGTTGCTATTTATGTCAATCCTAGTTCATAGTATCTCATAGGTGATGTTATTGGAAGTATTTTATTGGAAGTATTTGTTCTTGTCGCTACTGACTTCAGCTAGTACCATGCATATCACTGTTATCCATTATGTTGGCTAGTCTACATCCCTGCAGGTGAAGGATGCTTTTCAGTGATGGATGCTCTAAATCTCTGTCCAGTCTAATATTACAACTCAGCAGATTATGCCCTTTTGCAATCTGACATCTCCCAATGCCAGCAAATTCTTCCTGATATTTAGATGATTGATTTTTCTCCTCCTACTTTATTTTGATGCTTTGTGACAATACACATAAATCTCCTAAAATATTTTTATTTTACTCTTATAAAATATGTACTAAATATTAAAAATAATTTGATATATTGAGAATATAAATATCCATATACTGATTAACCTTCCTTTCTCTTACTCTTTTTCCTTGTAGTATTGATGCAAGTTAAATAGAATTTTTTTCTTAACGTCACAATTAGATGGGTCATTTAAGCTGTTAGGGGATTGGCATAAATAGCAAAAATCACCTTATATCCTAACTCAAAAAAATAACCTTAGTTGTTTTCTTTGTCCGTTACATACTTTTCTTGCCAAACTTAAACCGGAAAACAGATATTCTAGATTTTTTGCTCACTGGATATATGAAATATATAATCCTTTGAATTGGTTTTAACTCATTTGATTATTTCAGTCATTTTCATCTATTCTTCATTCTCCCATATATGCATTTACTCATTCATTCACTCAACAAATATTTACTGATCACTGATAAGACACAAAGCAAACAGGATGTGCTGAGAATAGAACAGAGAAAGACTAATTGCAGGGGGAAAAATCATGAAGATGCAGCTACCAAAGGAAGCATTCATTTTACTTATCAATGTTACTTTTTAAACAATTTGTGCATATTTTCGTTTTACTTACATGTGGATTATCTCACATTTTTGTTTACGGATATTTAGCATGAGTAATCAATAATTGAGTTTTCTTTGTTATTCCTTCCTTTAAAAGATGCCTTATCATGTTTGCTGATGTGCCAAATGTGAATCAAAGTTTTGAGCTCTTTTTTATCCTCGAAGAGGAATATTATTCTAACTTTAACATAACAGCAACTCCATTCTCCCCACTCACAAAATTTGCACATTTCTTTTCACTCCCTTATGTTCTTCATGCCTCAAATTTCAACTTTTCCTTGAGATCTAATGCCTTACTCTAGGAACTGGATTTCTGCTTATGTTAAGATAAGCTAGGATGTGCTTCAGTTAAAAATTAAATCTAGGCCGGGTGCGGTAGCTCACACCTGTGATCTCAGCACTTTGGGAGGCCGAGGCGGGCGGATCATGAGGTCAGGAGTTAGAGACCAGCCTGGCCAAGATGGTGAAACCCCGTCTCTACTAAAAATACAAAAATTAGCTGGGTGTGGTGGCACACACCTGTAATCCCAGCTACTCGGGAGCCTGAGGCAGGAGAATCGCTTGAACTCAGGAGGTGGAGGTTGCAGTGAGCCGAGATCATGCCACTGCACTCTAGCCTAGGTGACAGAGTGAGACTGCATCTCAAAAAAAAAAAAAAAAAAAAAAAAAAAATCTGAAATGTCGGTGGCTTATCACAAGGTTTTATTCTTGCTCACATCACATGCCCAATAGAGTCAACTTGAGGGATGAAGGAAAGCTCTGTTTCACGATCATTCAGAGACCCAGAGTAACATTGCTGCCACTGAGTCAGGGGAAAAGAAATTGGAGAATCACATAATCTTTTTACTGCCCCAACTCAGAAATAATCACATGTTCCAGGACTATGAGTCTATTTCTTTCCTGATACATTTTATATGCTCACTTCCTAGTCTGTATATCCAGTTTTTGCCTTTTTCATGATCTGTAGTCATCCATGAATATTTTTACTTGTATATCCTTTGGTTTCCTTGAACTCCATATTTGGCTTCACAATGTTTCTTTCTCAAGCATCTCTTTTCCTGAATTTCTAATTTGTTAGTCAATTCTCCTAGTCAACCAACTCAAAAACTTGGAGTTGCTTTAAATCCATCTCTCTCTAGCTCTCTCTGCCATTCCTCACATCCTCAAGTTCTAGTGGTGGCTGCCTTGGCATGGTCTCTTTTTTGTCTTCACTCTCCATTCCCATTGCTGTGGTCTAGTCTGGTCTTCTCCACTGTTTCCTGATGCTTAAGCTACTGAAATAGCCTCCTTAAGGCAGCCAGTGAAATCTATGTATAACTACCAGAGTAATCCTTTTTAGCTTTTTGCTTATTCACAAAACTCTCCATCTCTTTATTGATATTGAAACCTAATTTTCTCTGCCCTTCTTTCATGGCTTTTCCTAAATTGTTTAATACCCTAATTGGGATGTATTTCTGAACATGTATCTTCTATTTTCATCAAGCTGGTCAGTTTTCTATTTTACAAAGACACTTGTCTCTTCTTACTTTGGACTTCCTCCTCTCACTTCCAGCTGCTCAAAGCCAAAGCCCTCCCTTTAGGTCTAGCCTAAGCGTATCTTTTCTCAGAGTCTTCCCTGCCTGCTATTCAGTTCATGGATACTTTCCTGCTGTCAGCTACTCAAGTCCTAGTTTAGCACAAGGTTAGCATCAAATCACCGGTTATCTTGAATTCCTTCATTCATTCCTTTGGTATTAATTGACTATGTGTGAGAAAACATGTACATTGCTGTATATGTAGTGGTAAATGAAACAAAGATGTTTCAGCTCTCACAGAGATTACTATGTAATTGGGCAGGCAGGCATTAAAGCAATGATCATATAACATAAATACATAATTGTAAATGACGATTATGGCCATCAGGGAGGGTTGCTCGGTGCTCTCAGAGAGAATAACTAGAAGACCTAATTTGGAAAAGCAGAAGAGTATAGTGCTAAGTGCGAAGACCCTGAGAGAAGGTGTGTGAGTTCAAATCGTAGCCTCCCCACTGGTTAGTTGTGAGATCCTGAGTAAGTTGTTTAACCTTTCTGGGCCACAGTTTCCTTAGCTACATCATGGAGGTGATAATTGTACCCACCTGTGCAGACTGTGTGTGTTAGCTCGCAAAATTCCATTTATTTCTGACTCCATCTCTCTTACTTGTTTTCCCCATGGCTAGAACTAAAGCACAATACTCAATATTGAGCCTTCCTTGCGGCTGGGGCTTTGAGGTCATGTAGGACAGTCTGGTCCTGGATGAAAATACCAGGGGATGTCTAAGAAAGCCTTTGCTTCCCTGATATGAAATAGTGATAAAGACGTACTGGTTCTCTATGAAGTTCAATGTGTGATGGCTAAGGTCATGCCCTGTGGCTTGTCACTCTCCAGTTGAGTCTTACAGAAAAATCCATGAGCTGAGGTCCCTTAAGTACACTTTTCATTATCACAGTGTGGAAATGCCTAACCATGAGAGATAGTGGGCTGAATCTGAGCTCTGTGTGCCTACAGAGTCCTCTCTGTCTACCTCCCCATCAATGCCTCCCTGCATGCACTGTGCCAAGAGATGATACAGTGTTTTATCCTCAGGCTGAGCTGCGGATCCCGTGAGCCCACGCAGAGCTCTGATGGAAGTGCTAATGCTTGAGCATCCGCTTTCTGACATTTTCTTGATAGGCCCATACGGAAAATTGGAAAAAACACTAAAACAGTTTAAATACACAATAATGACTAGTGTCTTCAGGAGAAAACAAGAGAAATCTTTTGTAGTCATCCATGTAGCATTTTGTAGCATTCCCACTGTTGGCATGATCCTAGCTGTGTACTTTCAACTCAAATGTGCCACTGGGCCATGGTATAAATTGCAGAAATTAAAGATGCTTCTGCCCTAGGCAAAATGGTTTCAGGCCTTTGCATGCCCTTTCTGGCACCTCTTATCTCCTCTCTTCCACCCTTCAGCTCACAGGGACTTCTGGCTGTCCAAATAGCCCCATTGTCACCAGCCTAGGCCTGTCCTATTCAGCAGTGCCCAGTGCCCTCAAATTGACTTTGTTCACAAGGTTCACCCAAACAGGCCTTCGGTTCCTCTCAAAACTTTATCCTTGGCTAGAGTTAATAGGTTAAACAAAATCGTTCTCAGGTATTGATGAGATTATAGCTAAAAGCATTGCAGATCCAAATAATTTATTTGTGGGTTAATAAGAACTCCCATAAAACATCTGAAGGAATCAGATTGGATACAAATAACATTTGTTGAATACCTATTATGAGCTAGCACCTCTTATCATGCTTGTATATTATTATGTGCAATGAGGCTTTTGTATACGTCCATGTAATCTTCTCAACCAAATGATATGGGTATTGTTATCACTGAAGTACAAATGAAGAAGTAGTAAAGTTATACAGCTTTCATATAGCCAAGTGGTTTTGACTCCCAGTTCAGTGATATTTCTGTGTTGAAGGTGAAGTACGGTCTAATGGTTAAGTGAGGAATCTGGAGCCATCAACCCAATTTTGATACTGGCTTTGCTGCTAATTAACTGTGTGGCCTGGGACAAGTTATTTAATATCTTTGTGTCCTGTTTTCCTCAAATGTAAAGTGAAGATAATAATCATTTGTAGCCCATAGGATAATTATGTGAGGATTTAATAAGGTGTTCTCTGTAAAGGGATTAGAGTAGTATCTGGCACCTAGTAAATGATCATCAATGTGTTAATTATTACTCTGGGCAACGGGCTTAGTGACTGGGCATTTTTGGATCTCTAAAACAATATAACATGTAAAACTATCTACCAGGTAATGCCTATATGTAGATCTTTAAGAGATATGAGAACATGTTGCTAAAGGACTTTGTAGAATATTCTTCCAGGTACACTCATTATTCTCAGTATATGTGGGATGTTTTAGTTAAGCTATTCAGTGTAGGCTGGGAGAGAGAAGTATCACTTTTAAATAACCTTTCAGCCATGAGTCTGTGACTTCAGCTAGTCAATTAGCTTGTTTTCCACAAGTGTTTCAGGACCTTCCAAAAAAATTTATGTGTCCTTTCCTGAGGTAACCATCTTGGCCTATTACACGTTTACATCCATGAAAAGTTTTTGAACCCATCCTATATTGCTAAATTACAGTTGCATTGATCTTACATACATCACTTTTATGGCACAGACATCTAACTTAGGGTATAAATATCTCGTCCTGCTAATGTGCTTTGTGTGCAGTGTTAGAGAAGAACTTAACTGGGGGCTGGGAAGGCCTGTGGCATATTTCCTAGCATGCAGTGGTGTCCACCGTATTTGTTGCTGATGTGCTCTCGGATGATACCAAAACTAACATTATCAGAGTAAGTCAACCTCCCTTACTTTAGCCTAAAGGTATCCTCTCATCACTTAAATGTGTATCTGCAGACACATGAGGTCGTGAAGACATTGTTGCAGCCAAGCGGCATCACAGAGAAGACCCCTATGATCTGTGCTTCAGAAATCCTACATCTATCAGCAAATTTGAGTTCAATTCAATCCAACAAACATCTATCAAAGAACTTTGCCCTGGAGGTTCTAGTTCTAAAAACAAAGTGGTATAAATAATGATAGCATAACTTATTCATTGTTCTAATTAGAAGTAATACAAAGAGCAATGATATAGGTTTGAAAGGGAACATGGGGAGTTGTCTTACCCAACTGCAAAATGCTAGCTAGCTCCAAAGCTAAGCAGTCCAATCAGGCAATATAGCAATCTCCTATTTAAGTAAAAATGAGAATGAGAGTACCTTACATACATTGTCTCATTTAAGATCTGGACAATACAGGAAGGTGGTATTATTTTCATGCCTTTTTAGAAGAGTAAATGGATACTCAGAAGGTTACGTCACTGGCAAAAGGTCACAGAGCTAATAAACCAGTGAGCCAAGATTGAAGTTCTCAGACTGACTATGCAACACAAATTCTTAAACCCTCTATGCTGTTTATCTTTTATATGACTTCAGCTTTTGCTTTGTACTGCGGAAGACACTACTTTTTTCAATGTCTCTTTTTGCCACTTCTTTTCATCCCATAACAATCAGGAGAAGTATAATAGTTGTTACTACTCTTATTTTAAATTGAGTAGACTGAAGCTTAGAGACATTCAGTAATTTGCCTAAATCAGAAAGTTAGTTAAGACAAGAGCTTAAGTTGTAATCAATCTAATCCTAACTCTAAACATATATATAAAATGTATATTTTTATATATAAAAACATTAATTTTAATATATTTTCTATATTATATATTTATATTTTTATAAAACATGTTTAGAAATATATTTTATAAAATATTTATATTTTTATATAAAAATTTTATATTTTATAAGCATATATACTTTAGGTATATATTTTTTAATACAAAATATATTTTTAGTGAAAAGAATGTCATTATTACATTTATAAAATAATCCAAGTTTGTGTTTGTTGTCTCTATTTACTTTTTGTGGGTCCTGATCCAAATTTTATGAGGTGGTCCTTCATCTCCAGCTAATCAGGACTCTCACTGAGAAATCTAATCCAATAATTAATTTATTCCATGGTGTTATAATTAATATCAGGAGTCAGGCTTTACGAAAGGAATGTATACCTGCTGGTAAAATTCCAGGCACTCAAAGTTATTTTGGACTGGAGACTCTTCTTGGTCCACCTCAAAAAAGTGTAGAAATACCCTGCCCAATTATCAGTCTGTACCACCGTAATTTACTCCCATGACTTGACACTCCATTTGCAGACTCAGCCCACCCCAATCTCTAATACCTCAAGTCTGGCTGCT
This sequence comes from Homo sapiens, assembly GCF_000001405.40. Classification (NCBI taxonomy): domain Eukaryota; kingdom Metazoa; phylum Chordata; class Mammalia; order Primates; family Hominidae; genus Homo; species Homo sapiens. Next base: position 22,433,168 of record NC_000006.12, read on the forward strand.
TCTATGGCTCTGATCTGGTGCCGAGTTCTTACCACTGGGTGTCTACCTGCCCCTCAGAAACAGGCACCCCCCAAAACCACACAACATGCATTTGCCTAAATGGTCTTTCTGTCCTGCAAACTATGTAATTCCTCTCGTCTGGACCTTGAACCTTCCTACCTTGGAAAGTTCTACCCTATTAACAATGAACAAAGTGCTGACAAGAAGCTGAACCTTGCTGTCTGGTGCATTCATTCCCTATGCTGTGTGACAAATTATTAGAATCTTATCAGCTTAAAACAATACACATTTCTTAGGGGACAGTGCCTGTAGGTTGGAAGTCTAGGCACAGCTTCGTTAGGTTCTCAGCCTCAGAGTCTTCCTAGGCTTTAATCTAGGTATTGACCTGCACTGTGTTCTCCTCAGAGACTCAACAGGGAAAGACCTGCTTCCAAGCTCTCTAAAATTATTGGCAGAATTCATCTGCTTGTACTGCAGGAATGAGGTCACAGTTTTCTTACTGGCTGTTGGCTGGAGCAACTCTCAGTTCCTAGAGGGATCTCTAGCTTTTTGTCATGCAACCTTCTGCATAGGCCCCCTCTCAACATGGCAGCTCACATCTTCAAAGCCAGCAAGGAAGAATATTTTGCTTCGACCTATTTAGACAGAGTCCTATGTACTGTAACCTAATCACGGGAATGCCATCCCATCACCTTTGCCATATTGTGTCAGTTAGAAGCAAGGCACAGGTTCTGTCTGGATTCAAGGGGAGAGGGCTATACAAGGGCATGACTCATTGGGTGTCATCTCAGGGTGTGACTGACACACCTAGTAACGGCTTTCTTCAATACCTAAGACTATTCATGTGAACTGCTCGGAACTGTTACTTTGAGATCTCAATTTTCCCTCTTTGTAATCTGCCCATTTGACGGCTGAGTTGGAATAAGCACGGGCCAGATAGGCAACAGGATGAGGCAATGATCTCTACTGGGAGCTAAGCATCACTGAATTAATTATAAATATGAAGAAGGTAAACTTTAATTTTTACATGTGATTTCTTATATAACAATTGAAATGTAATGAGAACCCCCATCGAAATAGATTACCAAACTTTAATGAAAATTTTTGAAAGCTTTTCATCTATTCAGACCTAGCCAAATAAAATTTCAATGCACAAGTAAGAGTGACAAGTGGTTAATTCCCCTGCCCTGAGTAACAGCCTCTTAACTGGCACTTGATATCAAGCGAAATTCTGAAACCAAATAATGCTTGACTTACTGCAATTTGTCATTAATAACTAATTTCTTTGAGTATGTTTTAAGCCATTTTATTGACCCTTCAAATATTCGTCTATTGTACGAAATTGTTGTTTTAGGCTTATTCCTAATAAAATGTTATTTTACGTTAGGTGCATGTCGTGATTTTCTTATTTTGAAGATTAAATATTTTTGTTAACAGACAATAAGTTTTCCCCGGTCCCCTAAATAAATATTTAAATATTTACAAAGATTTAAATATGTTGCTTTCAGGGGCATCAAACTCTCACTCTGACTAGGATGTTTGTAAGTTTCCATAGTGCCATGCCTGTTAGGAACTACTTTTCTTACTTACTCATTTTTTTCTTTGAACTTCTACAAACTTTAATCTGATGCTGTGCCATAAACTAAATTTATTTTTATTATTTTATTTTACTTTATTTTAGATTCAGAGGGTACACATCCAGGTTTGTTACATGGGTTTATTGCATAATGGTGGGGATTGGGCCTCTAGTGTACCCATCACCCAAATAGTTATTCAGTTTTTTTTTTTTTTTTTTTTTTTTTTGAGATGGAGTCTCGCTCTGTTGCCAGGCTGGAGTGCAATGGCGCGATCTCGGCTCACTGGAACTTCCGCCTCCCAGCTTCAAGCAATTCTCCTGCCTCAGCCTCCCGGGTAGCTGGGATTACAGGCATGCACCACCACACCTGGCTAATTTCTTTATATTTTTAGTAGAGACGGGTTTCACCATGTTGGCCAGGCTGGGTCTCAAACTCCTGACCTCAAGTGATCCATCCATGTTGGCCTCCCAAAGTGCTGGGATTATAGGCGTGAGCCGTCACGCCTGGCTGAGTTATTCAGTTTCTTATTACCAATTGCTTGCTTAAGTTGCCACATGTTGGTTATTGTACCTCTTTGGTCCCTATAGTATTTACTACTCTGTTTGTCTTAACTTGCCTCACCTAGTTGCAGGTTTAGCTCATGAGACTTTGCCCATGCTCTTGTTCTGAGTCGTGATTGGAGAGCATATCTTGACTGACATTTTATAGTGCCTTACCATTTATAAGCACTTTACCATGCTTCCTCTCTTTTGCTCTCCACAATGACTCTGGGAGACAGTGTATTTTCAAACCTTGCCTATGATGGACTTCATTTAGATGGGAAGACGGAAATAATATGCTTTGTAATTAACTCTTGTGTCTTTTTATGGAGCAGCAGTGAGCCCTAGAACTGGCCACTCTGTGATTTAACTTTTCTGATATTAAACTGACCTAAATTCCAGGAGATCGAGACCATCCTGGCTAACACAGTGAAACCCCGTCTCTACTAAAAATAGAAAAAATTAGCCGGGTGTGGTGGCGGGCGCCTGTAGTCCCAGCTACTCAGGCAGGAGAATGGCGTGAACCCGGGAGGCGGAGCTTGCAGTGAGCCGAGATGCGCCACTGCACTCCAGCCTGGGCGACAGAGCAAGACTCCGTCTAAAAAAAAAAATAAAAATAAATAAAAAAATAAACTGACCTAAATCCTTGGTAATATCAGTACGTCCAAACTTGTCACAGGTTGAGGGATATAGACTCAAATAAACCATATCTTGACCCCATCTAATCACACTGAAACTCATCTCTGCTCATCTTAGCAAGATTGGTGAGTAATGGTTTTTAAAATTTTTATTTTCACATGACATTAACGATAAGATAATTTAAAAAATTATTTTGGGTGAATAAAAATGTGCATAGATAACAAGTTTAGAATCTTTTACATTCTACCAAAGTAGTAAATTGGAGATTAGAAATGGAGCTAAAACTGATAAAGGATGGAGTTAGACGTAGAATGGGAAAAATATAGATCAGCTGAAGCAAGTTATTAGGAAAGAGGAGGCTAAGCAAATTCAACTTGCCCAGACCTGTCAGGCTGTCAGAAGTACTTTTTCCTGCTAGATATGATATAATGTGATTCATACAGAATGTATGAATTAGTGTTTTCAAACCTGCACATGCTCTGCTTTCATTCTCTCTCTCTCTGTCTCTCGTACACACACACACATATACACACACACACAGAGTCATTTACATATTAAGATTTTGTGTAATTCAAAAACACATTACTATCAGAATGAAACTACAAATTCACTAAAACCTCAGATTCTATTAATTAAATCTTTCAACAATTTTCATTGTCAAATATATGATTTTTTCTATGTTTTATGTTCTGTGGTAGATGCTGTTGGGTATAGAAAGGTGAATAAGAAACTATTCTAGCTCTCATCTATACAAATATATTTCCTTTATTTATATACTTATTCTATAAGCTTTTTTCTATTAATTTTTTTATTTTTATTTTTTAACTTTTTGGTTAAAAATGAAGACACACACACATGAACCTAGGCCTACAGAGGGTCAGGATCATCAATATCACTGTCTTTGACCTTCACATCTTGTCCCACTGGGAGGTCTTCAGGGGCAATAACATGCGTGGAGCTGTCATCTCCTGTGATAACAATGCCTTCTTCTGGAATCCCTACCTCCTGGAGGACCTGCCTGAGGCTATTTTACAGTTAACTTAAAAAATACATATATATTTTATAAAATATTTATATATAAATAAATATTTTATATATATATATATTTTTTTTTTGAGATGGAGTCTCGCTCTGTCGCCCAGGCTGGAGTGCAGTGGTGCAATCTTGGCTCACTGCAAGCTCCACCTCTCAGGTTCATGCCATTCTCCTGCCTCATTCTCCCAAGTAGCTGGAATTACAGGTGCCCGCCAACATGCCCGGCTAATTTTTTTGTATTTTTTTTAGTAGAGATGGGGTTTTACCGTGTTAGCCAGGATGGTCTCGATCTCCTGACCTCATGATCCACCCACCTTGGCCTCCCAAAGTACTGGGATTACAGGCGTGAGCCACCACACTGGACATTTTTTTTTTTTTTTTTTTTTTTTTTGAGACAGAGTCTTGCTCCGTCACCCAGGCTGAAGTACAGTGGCGTGATCTTGGCTCATTGCAACCTCTGCCTCCTGGGTTCAAGCAATTTTCCTGCCTTAGCCTCCCAAGTATCTGGAATTACAGGCACCCACCACCATGCCCAGCTAATTTTTTAATTTTTAGTAGAGATGGGGTTTCACTATTTTGGCCAGGCTGGTCTTGAACTCCTGACCTTGTGATCTGCCTGCCTCAGCCTCCCAAAGTGCTGGGATTACAGGAGTGAGCCACCGCACCCAGTCTATATATTTATAAAAATATATTTTTTAATATCTATCTATCTATATAGAAAGAATACATTCTAAAATAACACTAAGTAGAGTAGTACATACATAAACAAGCAGCATGGCCATTTATTATCATTATCAAGTATTATTTACTGTACATAATTGTATGTGCTAGACTTTTATAAGACTGGTAACACAGTAGGTTTGTTTAGCCAGCCTCACTAAAAACACATGAGTAATGCGTTATACTACTGCATTACAAGGACTATGACATCACTAGGCAATAGGAATTTTCCAGCTTCATTAAAATCTTGTGGGAGCATCATTGTATATGCTGTTTATGGTTAACCAAAACATCATTTTATGCTGTGTGACTGTGTCTCTATAGATTTACAGTTAACCATTCATTCTCTTTTCAATTCCATGCATTCCCATGGCAATCTTGTCAATGCTGCCTGCATCCACTGCTACCTGAATGCCGATGACTGCAAATCAATATCTCCATTTCAGGCTTGTTTCCTTACCTCTTTGCACTCTTAAATATTTTTGGCTCCTTCCTATTAATTGCTAGCAGAATATCCCACAGAAAAATCCATGCATTTAAGCCATAATTATGATCTTTCTCTTTAGACTTACTCTTGTTCTTTTTTACGTACATACCAAAAACCTGTATATAACTAGAAACTTCTACATTTTTGCCAATGCCTAATCTCTTATATCCATCTAGCTATTATAGATGTTCCTCATTTGTAATCTCTCAATCTATCACCCCTTTTCCAATACCAGCACTGCTGCTGTATTTCAGGTCTTTGTCATCTCTCTTTTGTGGACTATTTTAAGTGTTTTCTCATTGATCTTTTCTCCATTCAAGACTATTTTCCATATTGTTGTGGTATGTTTGTATCTTTTAAAGAAAACCATATAATTTTACCCCCATGCTTCAAATTTACTGATTATACAATAAATCAATATCATCTATGCATGCCATCTTAGGTCTTCTATGAATTGACCTTTCTCTACTCGGCCGACTTACTGTCCATTTTCAGCTGCCTTCCAGCTACACTTCCACCATAGGTCCCTGGGTGCACTTGCTCCTTCAGGCTGTCATGCTGTTGTATTTATTCCCTTTGCCTCCAAGGCTTTCTCCTAATGCCCTCTTCTGTGATCTGTCTGGTGACTCTCTACTGACTTTAGGAATCTGCATGAAGCCTCATCCCTTCTGTGAAAAACTCACAGCTATTTTCTCCCAATTCTTCTTCCCAAGGGACATGATAATTTATTTTGTCTGCTACTATCATATTTGTTTCACCTTGTTAGCCTTTAACACAACTGTTTATTTACATAAATAGACATCTATTTTGTTTGTTTGTTTGTTTTGAGATGGAGTTTCACTCTTGATGTCCAGGCTGGAGTGCAGTGGTGCCATCTTGGCTCATTGCAACCTCCACCTCCTGGATTCAAGCGATTCTCCTGCCTCAGCCTCCCAAGCAACTGGGATTACAGGCATGTGCCACCATACCCAGCTAATTTTGTATTTTTAGTAGAGACAGGGTTTCACTATGTTGGTCAGGCTGGTCTCAAACTCCTGAGCTCAAGTGATCCCTCCTTGGCCTCCAATGCTGGGATTACAGGCTGTTTTTTGATTTAATAAACCAAGTATCAGTAATTTCTACCTTCAGGGCCTATTACAAATCTGTGTGATTCAGAGTTGTTTAATAAAGCAGGGGAGAGCAGTGAAAACATTTTATCAAAATACTATAGTATTTTATAGAAAATTAAATGAAAGACAATATTTTGAAAATAGGATAGATTCCAATGGAATTTGCCAGTAGAAAGTAATACCAGTAAGATTTTTGCTGAGATACGAGTGTTCATTGTGGAAGTTGCATAAACATTATATATACCTTTCTTTTTCTGTTTTTTTTTCCCATCTCCTTCCCTTGCTCCTTCCCTGATTTCCTCCTTCTCTCCCTTCCTTTAGGTTTTCCCTTCATTTTTTTCTTTTCTTCATTCATTTTCCATGCTCTCATTGAATTATTATGTCAGTACTTTCCCAAATATTAAGCACTGTGCTTTCTTCATCATTACATATTTATTGGATAATTCTAAAAACCCATTAAAGAAAGTCCATTTTGACATTTTTTTCCTTATTGAATTATACATAGCCATATGCAAACTTATTCTAAACAAAAAGCAGTGAGTCCAGTGAGTGAATAAGATAGTTAGTGTGTCAACATTGCAGCCTAAATGAATTGAAGTCAAGGACGCAGCCATCTTTATGCCTCAGCTCACTTTTGTTTCTCTGTGGACTCTGCTTCTGAAGTCTGGTCTTAAAATTTTATCGTGATGTTTCTGCGTCCATCATGAAGAGGCCTTTCCTTTCCTGTTTGACTGTTTTGTCTTGAGAATTATAGCATCTAATCCAGTGTCATAAACTCAGATATTCTGAGAATTTTAAGCGGTGGCCGGGGAGTGATGACTGAATAACTCCACTGGGTTGAATACAGTCAGTGTGTGAGATGTACACAGCCCTGCGTATAAGGCATTCATCTGGGGCTGTGATGTTATGGAACCATATTATTCTGTGTAGTGATGACAGGCGGGTGCTAAAGTTTCCTTCCTGAAGCAATTTCCGATTCCATTATAAATTTAACCAGAAAACCCAAATCTTACATGCATTCTTTCAGGATAAGTAAAAGAAGCCTTTTTTCAGTTTGCAACCAGAATAAAATATGTCCTGGCAGACAAGGTGGCAGAAAGTGAGTCCTGTGCTATGCAGAAGGTATCATAACACTAGCAAGTAGGTGGTGAGGAGTGGATGCATGCAATTCTAAATTTTCTTCAGAAAATGTCAAATACTTGCACAGAGCCTCAGTGAGGCATTTGACTTTGCATCAGCTGACTCCAAATCAGGCATGTAATGTACACCTTTCCTTCCATCCTCTTCTGTAATTGAAAATGCTAGAGAAAAGAGGCTTATCCTGTGGGAGGAACCACATTTGTTTGATAAATCTCTGACATTGATTTTCTCTGCTTCTTACTATTAAAAACATGAAACGTGGTTGTTTCTGTGTTTCAAAACATTCACGTATTAAACACTGAACTTAAAAACATTAAAACATGTATTTCAGTTTAGTTCCTTCATTTAAACATTGATTACCTAAAACTTCACTATGAAGAACTTTCTTGGTCTCATGAGCCTTGTACATGCTCTATTATCCATAATACTCTCACATATTGCCAATCATCATTCCCTCCCATTTATTGCTTTTTATCTAGTCCTTTATTCATTTGACATATGTCAGAGCTATTATATGTCAGCAACTATACTGCATCCAAAGAAAGATGAAACAGAACCAGAAAGAGTCTCTACCCTCATGGGGTAGACAGTCTAGTGAGAGCAGTCAGCAGTCAAATATTCCATGAACAAATATAAAACTGTGACTGCTATGGGAAGAAGTACATGATACAGAGAGAAATATACAAGGAGAGTATACTGTCAGGAAGATCAAGATGGTATCTCCAAATAAGTGAATCTGGAACTGAAGATATTCAAGGAAGGTAAGCATTAACTAGATGAGGAGGGAAAACTATTTTAGACAGAAGGAACAGCATTTATTTGATTTTAAATACAGATGCTCCTCAATTTACCATGGGGTTATGTCCTGATAAGCCCACCCTAAAGTCATTGTAAGTCAGTAACTATCTTACTTGTTTCTGATGTAGTGTGGAGCAACATCAGTGTGCAAGTTAATCCCACATTTGAATCTTACCTTCAGCAGACTGGCTGAGTGGTCTTGGGAAAGTTTTTGCCCAGAGGTAAAACATACCTTTATGGCTTCTTTTTCTTCTTCTTCTTCTTTCTTTCTTTTTTTTTTTTTTTTGAGACGGAGTCTAGCTTTGTTGCCCAGGCTGGAGTGCAGTGGCGTGATCTCGGTTCACTGCAATCTCCACCTTCCAGGTTCAAGTGATTCTCCTGTATCAGCCTCCCGAGTAGCTGGGAGCGCCCGCCAGTAAGCCCAGCTAATTTTTTGATTTTTAGTAGAGACGGGGTTTCACCATGTTGGTCAGGCTGGTCTCAAACTTCTGAGCTCAAGTGATCCCCCTGCCTTAGCCTCCTAAAGTGCTGGGATTACGGGTGTGAGCCACTGCAACTGGCTTCATCTTTGTATTTTTTTAGAGACAAGGTTTTGCTAGATTACCCAGGCTGTTGTGAACTCCTGTCCTCATGTGATCCTTCTGCCTCAGCCTCCCAAATTGCTAGAATTACAGGCATGAGCCATTCCACCTGGCCTGTGGCCTGTTTTAAGAACAATAAAGTGAGCTGAAATCACTAGTTGTGTTTTATTTATTTTCTTTTCCACTTTCTTCAGATCAATTGTACTAAATACAAACCTCTTCCCTTAGCTATTAAGAAAAAAGGGACTCAGAAATCAGGAAATATGCCATCCTACTGTAGGCTATAGAGGAAATGTTTTGGGGAAAAGAAAACTTCTTGATTTTTCAATATCTGCTTTGTTCTATTAATTTACTGTCCACTTTTTCTTTTCTGTGTTACTGATGGGGTTCAGGACATACTACTCCAAAATACAGCAACTTGGAACTTGAAAAAAAGCAGAAGCAGGAAGGTCTCCATTGTCTTCCCCTTGGCCTTCTCCCCTGAAGCAGGTCACAAGGCCCTCATTGCAGAGGTGCCCTCCCTATACCTGGAGGAAAGGAACACACGTATCTCTGAAGATTCAGGGACACAGAGAAGAATCTGTGTCTTCTTTGAGGAAGACATTCATAGATTCTGTCTTCTGTGATTGAAGGCAGAATCCGTGTCTGTCTTCTTCAAACAGGCCTTGCTAGGTACCCCCAGTTATTACCAATAGACCCCCATATTTGTCCAGTCATGCTTTTCCATGACTGTCCACTTTATCAAACCTAGCATAAAAATACATAGATTTTCCTGCTTTTTTTTTTTTTTTGGCTGGCAGGGTGAGGGCTACTTTCCTTTTGAAGGCCCCTGTGTCACATAAAACTTATATTAAATAAATTTGTATGTTCTTCTCTTGCTAACCTGTCTTTTGTTATAGCTGCCTCAGCTGTGAGCCTACAAATAGGTGAGGAAAGAAATCTTTTTCCTCCCACAAGTGCTTTAGAATATTGAACCCAATTTCCTCTCAAAAATCTGATATACCTTGGTTATTTTTGATTGTCATTATTTTTATTGTCATTTAAGAATATAAGATTGGGGTAGATTAGTTGTATTAATGACTCCAATTCTTCACCCCTCCCTGTGGCCATGCTTTGGGCTATGTGACTTGGCAGTTCTCACTACAAGGGTGGAGGCTATTTCCCTATCCTTGAATCTGAGCTGGGCTTGCAACTTGCTTTGGCTAATGAGACTTACTTAGCAGACACAGCACAAGCAGAGCTGGAAAACACCCTGTGTATTTCTGCTGGCCTCTTGCTCCTCTGAAATTGTCAGGAGAACATGCCCAGGCTAGCCTGCTGGAAGGCAAGCCACGTGGGGGAAAGTCAGATCATCTCAGTTGTCCTGACTGATGCCATCCTCATTACCAGCAGAGGGGTGAACTACAGACATGCTAGTGAACCCAGCTAAGACCAGAACTGTCTGGCCAACCCTGTCTGAGCCCACCAAAATCGCTGACCTGGAGGCTTGTCAGCAAAGTGCTTATTGTTTTAAACCATTGAGTTTTGGGGTGATTTGTTATGCAGCATTGTTGTGGCAATAGAAAACTGATACAAGGCTAAGTTCTAATTTTTTTTGTTTGTTTTTTGTTTTTTGGGTTTTTTTCTTTGGGACAGGATCTTGCTCTGTTGCCTGGGCTGGAGTGTGGTTGTGTGATCTCAACTCACTACAACCTCCACTTCCCAGGCTTAAGCGATTCTCCCACCTCCCAGTTAGGTGGGCGTGGTGGCATGTGCTTGTAGTCCCAGCTACTAGTAGCACACACCACCACGCCTAGCTAATTTTTGTATTTTTTGTAGAGATGGGGTCTTGCCATGTTGCTCAGGTGGGTCTCAAACTCCTGGGCTCAAGTGATCTTCCCACCTTGGCCTCCCAAAGTGCTGGGATTACAGGCGTAAGCCACCATGCCTGGCCTAAATTCTTCTTTGTAGCTTTGTGATTTCTTCATAATTTTCTTCAGTTATACGTATTTGTATGTCTAATGGAAGCCAATGGGAAAATTGTAAAACACCGGGATGCAGTGGCTTCCAGCACTTTGGGAGGCCCAAGAGGGCAGATTACAAGGTCAGAAGTTTGAGGCCAGTCTGGCCAATATGGTGAAACCCCGTCTCTACTAAAAATACAAAAATTAGCCAGGTGTGGTGGTGGGCATCTGTAGTCCCAGCTACTTGGGAGGTTGAGACAGGAGAGTCGCTTGAACCTGGGAGGCGGAGGTTGCAGTGAGCCAAGATTGCACCACTGCACTCCAGCCTGAGCAACATGGTGAGACTCCATCTCAAAAAAAAAAAAAAATTGTAAAACAGATGTTTGGATATTAGTAACTTTTCAAGAGACTTTATATTCCATGAAATGTGATATACCTAGTGTTGAACACTGGACGTTTCAGGGGAAAAAACTTCCGCTTTTCCCCATAAATATGAGAAAATACATAGTTTGTTCCAATGATTTCTTTTGTTTACCTGTGAAGAAATTGAGATGACCACATGACTATGTTCTAGAAATGAAAATGCCATATGGGGAGAGCACAACCATTTGCTTTTTAATGACAGGTGCATAAAACTATGCTGGTTCGAAACATTATTGCATATAAACCCATGTTACTTTTGTTAGTTATAAAGAAGGTTTCTCATAGTCCTACTCTTTTAGAAAGGTATCTGCCTTCTTAAGCATGGAAACATGACTGCAGTGCCAAGTTTGACAGCTGATTCTGTATAACCACTTAATTCCACATCCTTGGAAGGAAGTGACTCTAAAAACAAACAAATGGACACGCTCTGAGTTATACAAGTAAGCGTGGCATACATAACCAGCAAAATCACCATTGTTTGAGTATTACTTACATCTTTAACTAGTTTATATTAAAGACAGTTGTGAGTTTATTAAGAGAACATTAGGTTTAATTGGGATTTTTTTTTCTAGCTACTCACATGGCCTTCTCTCTGCCATGAGTCCTAGAAGATGGGAAAACTGCCTAAGCAGTAAAGCCCTCCAGCTCTCAGGGAAAAGGTAGCAGAAGGAGAATATAGGGGAAGGAGGCCATGGGATATGTGAGAGTTCCTGGCTGACTTTGAGGGTTGCTTTATTTTAACACAGCCCATGCTATGTAGGTCATGGCAATTGAATATATAAAGGTGGCCTGCTTCTCCGAGGAGTGATTCCCTTTATCCCGCACACCATCTCTGTGGGATATACATCAATTTACAGTGTCTTTAGTAGTTAGTCAAAGATTCATCTTCATCTTTCGGTAATGTTGAAGCGATTGTTTCATAGACTATGCCTATGAGAGAACAGCATACAACATTTAAGATGATTCCTTCAAAGAAATTTTACTGGCTTGAGAAAAGTTTTATTATATCCATGAACAAGGCCAATTAATGGTATTATCATGATTATATTGCATTTGCATTTATTTATTTGTCCTATGAGAAAGATCAGAGACATGTATACCAGAGTGGTTTTCTCTGTGTGGCAGGTTTATCACTGTTTCATTAATCTTTTGTGTAACGTTTTGAATTTTCCAATTTGGGAAAGTAAATATATAAGAATATATTATTAGAAAAATCAAAATATTAATTAAAATATTCTGGTTTAAGGTACACTTTGAGGACAAGGAATGTGTCTTATTTATTTCTAAATTCCTAACACTTCAGTACTCGGTGCTTGGGAGGTGGTAGGGGAAAAAATGTCAAAAAACCACATTTGATGAATGAGTGACTGAAGTCGGATTCAGCAGGTTGAATAGGGCCTCAGTTGATGAGACAGAACACCAGTGTTATCTTAAGGTGCAGTTATTAAAAAGCAGGAAATATTTTTTAATAGTTACTGTCATTCTTATTCTAAAATAAATAGCTACCTAGGAAACACTTTCATCAGACAGTTGATAACCATTGGATTGTCTCTTGCTCTTTTTAAAAAATTTGTATGACAAGCATAATTATTTCTGAATCCAGCATTTTCCTGTCATACTCTAATAAGTATACAATATAAGAGGGACTGTGAATAACCCAAAGAGAACCAAGGAAGCATTTATTCCTATTTTGATGAAAATTTCATTCCTTTCCTACAAGAAGTGTTCCTTGATTACTGCAATGACTTTTCTACTTAACTGTCTTCACTACCTATTGTCATTCAGCCAAACAATATGCCAAAATCATACTTTGTTTTCCATCTGTTCACTTTGGTGTGGTTCCCCCAGGCAGGAGTCATGGCATAGAACTTTATTTTTCTATCATAAAGTGGAAGCTCGTCTGTGGACTAACATGCATGCAGTGGCTTTGCTATGCATAGAGCATTCATGTGAGCGTTTTGCATGTGTTGGCTCATACCATTCTCTCAACAGCCACAGGAAGCATGTGATTCTTCTTCCTGTTTTCCAGATGAGAAAGCTGGACAGAGAGGTTAAGGATCTTGCCAAGGTCACATAGCTCATAAAGAGTAGAGCTACCTGGGTGAGGTGGCACAGCTACTTGGGAGGCTGAGGTGGGAGGACTGCTTGAGCCCAAGAGGTTGAGGCTGCAGTGAACTGTGATCATGCCACTGCACTCCAGCCTGGCTGACAGAGCAAGATCCTGTCTCAAATATATATGTGTTATATATACATATATATAAAACATACATAACATATATAACCTTGCCTGATGATATATATAGATATATATATCTATATATAGTAGATATATATCTATATATATATAGTAGAGCTTTGCCTCAAAGTCCCTTCTCTTAATCACAAGTTTATATAGCCTCTTTAATATTAGAAAGTGCTTAGCAATGTGTGCCAGTTGCTTAGAAAGAAGGCCCAGGTAACTCTGTGATTCCAAAATCATCTTAGACTATAAATGGAGAAAAGTCATAGTATTTCTGATATGTTTGATAGGAAACTTTGAAAGATTAGTTTTAGTTTAAATGAGAAATAACAAGCAAATGACAAGTTAGTTATTGTTTGAATTACTCAGGGGAATATGAGAAGCTGTACCTTTGGGATGAGTGTGTTTATGAGTATACATTACACCACCTGCTTGTGCTAGTGGGAGGAGTAAACATTTCTGCCCGCTTTTCTTAATTCTACATTTTGTTTTGGTTTTTATTTTGCAATTCTAGCAGATTTTAATGGATTAAATTAAAAAGCAACAGAAACAGTAAAGACGACCCTTATCTGTTTAAATCAGAAGGTAAGTTAGTGGGATATGAAGGCTTTAAAACAATACATGGAGTACAGAGAGTCTTGCCCAGCCTCTGCAGTTCCTGAGAACAGAGCAGTCAGTCTTTTAGGAAGTAGGCCCCCGTGGAGTTGAAAAATACTCTGAGGACCAGAATGTGACCTGGGAGGGTGGGCTTCAGTTCTTTCTTTCAGTTTTGTCCAACTCATATGTGCTCTCTGGGCCTAATCATTCTCCCTCTCTCAGCCTGAGTTGTCTTATCTGTCATTTGGGGAATTAATAGCAGGCTTTTCCTTGGAAAGCATTTTGAGCCCTTTCCCTGAAAGGTTTTAATGTCCCTGTTGTTATTAATATGACCGTATCACCGTTACAGGCCAGCCCTGACTTGGAATGGAAAAAGTGAGCCGACCTTGTCTGATGTGATTGTCGCCCTATGAGCCAGTCAGCTTGCTTTTATATGTGACCCTGATGGCCTCCTGCTACTCGACGGAGCTCAGCCTTTTGACAGCTGGCCCAGCTGGCCTAGTTCAGAGCAAAAGTGGGCCCTGCGGACACAACACGTTGAGGGCTTTTTGAATGATCCAGCTGGGGTGGGTCTAGGTTCTTTTTGTGCCAAATGGAAAATGAAGTCTGCGTCCATCCTAGGGAAGCACAGTGTGGGAGAGCATTGCACTCTGTTCTTCCCTTTTCCCTGAAATTCATATTTAGTCTGAGCTGCTGCGTTTATATCCTTTCTTACCTACCACTAACCACGAACATTTCCAAAGCCCGTGTACTTTGCCTGTTGGCTTTGAACCTTTCAGCTATGATGGAAACTTTATATTTTTATGTCTGCTTGGCTGAAACTGACTCCTCTGAGAGAGAAGACAGTAATTGCCTTTTGGGTGATTTCACCTCCACTAACTCTTTTCACATTCTTGGAGGGTTTTTGATAGAACCTGAAGAAACAAAGCCTGCATCCTGGGCTGCTTCAACATAAGAAGAACAGACTTCAATGGCAACAGCCTGTTTATAATCTCTTGGGCCCATTTCTGTTTTCATTGTCCTGTAGATTGAAGTGGATGTAGTGCAGAAAACAATAGCAGGATAATACTGTAATCCTCTTGGTTCTCACACGTGTTGCTCACTAGCATGCATTCCCGGGTGCATGTAAGAATCTTCCATCCTTATACCCACGGGTAAACAAAGGATCCCACGGGCTGTTGCCTATCCCTAGGGAATTAAAAACAAATGTATATACTATAATATTCCTGAAGATTAAGTTATTTGAAAGGCATTTTATTTTATAATCATGCAAATACATCTGTTCTTGTTTTTCAGGCTGGTAACCAGATCTCAAAGGGCCAGTAAATAATCCCTCTTTTCCTTTCTTCCTGGCTACTCTACCGGCTCTCCCATACCCTTTGCTCTTTGATGCATAAGATGAGATGGGCGGGTAATCAGGCACTGAAAATCCACAGTTGGCGGGGGTCATTTTTCATTTATTATTTCTTCTGGTGCCTTGACTTTGCCTGACTTTCCATGGTTAAGGAAAGGGGAGGGGAAGAGGTTGATGAGAAGGTCAGTCTATTGTGTTGCTTCTCAGTCTCGCGTATCTGCGCTTCCTAAGTCTGTTTACACTCTGAATCACTTGACATGCTGCACATTCTTCTATAAAATCTGGCTTTGAGCAGCAGTCTTCAAGCACTGGGGAGGCCCACTGAGTAAGATCTGAACAGCTGAAAGAACTGGGGGACACTTTTTTAAATGACCCGAAGCCTAGGAGAAGATAGCTTCCTCAATTAGTGGTAATCACTTGGAATGAATGATTCTGTAGTTTTTCTTTGACATAGACTAAGATATATAGTATGCATAATATTTGGAAGTGTTGTTTCTTTATAGTAATAAAGTTCACATAGGGTAAGTCCATTTCTGGTTTACTGAAAGGAAATGGCCATTATAAATGCTAAGCACTGCCTTTATTTGAATAAATATTACAAATGGTAGAATTAAATATTATAATAGACCTCTGGAGATGATCTGATTTATTGTTGGAACGCCAGTAAAATTACATTGAAGGGGTTTGAAAAGAAAGGGCCTTTATTTAAGACCACCTTAACATATTTTTCGTGTATATATATACTACAACTAAAGACTATTAGTAATTCATAAAACGTACCTACCTATTTGCAGATTTGAAAATTAGGATTAGTACTTGGTTCATGTTTTAGAACATAATCAAGTGCTATTGTAAGTTGATTTTAGGTATCAGGATTTGATGGATGTTAAGCAAACTTGTGATTAAAATGCGTTGTTGAGCAGTGAGCTGAGATCATGCCACTGCACTCCAGCCTGGGCGACAGAACGTGACTGTGTCTCAAAAACATGCATTGTTGATTTTTAAAATTATTAATAATGATGAGTAGACAGAAATTTCTAGGCAAAATGTCTTTTACAAGGAAGAAAATCATTGTGTTTCTAAAACAAATTTCTTTTAATCATTTAGGAGGTCATACATATCTGTATTACCTCATTATAAAATAATCCATAATTTGACTATTTTAAAAAATCCTTAACCCAGTCTAATCTGTCCAGAGTCATTACAGTCTGAGTACAAAAGAGTGACTTTTTACAAAACCTGGATCTTTTAGCTCTTTTTTTTTCTTTTTTTTTTGAGACAGAGTTTCGCTCTTGTTGCCCAGGCTGGAGTGCAATGGCGCCATCTCAGCTCACCACAACCTCTGTCTCCCAGGATCAAGTGATTCTCCTGCCTCAGCCTCCCGAGTAGCTGGGATTACAGGCATGTGCCACCATGCCCGGCCAATTTTGTATTTTTAGAAAAGATGGGGTTTCTCCCTGTTGGTCAGACTGGTCTCGAGCTCCCGACCTCAGGTGACCCACCTGCCTTAGCCTCCTAAAGTGCTGGGATTACAGGCGTGAGCCACTGCGCTGGCCTCTTTTAGCTTACTCTTGATTCTGGCTCTAATTGACATTTTTCTGGGTGAGTCCACCAAAGGTTTATCCTCCAAATCTGTTTCCCTTCTGAACTGGAGTTATATAAAGCCAAATGATGTTTGTGAAGCAGACTATGGGTTTTGTTTCTGATGACCATTTCAACGATCATGGACACAGGTCTTTACTAAAATCTTTTTTTCTTTCTTTCTTTCTTTCTTTTCTTTTTTTTTTTTTTTAACAGGGTCTCACTGTGTCACCCAGGCTGGAATGCAGTGATGTGATCTCTACCTCCCAGGCTCAGATGATCCTCCCACCTCAGCCTCCTGAATAGCTAGGATCATCTGAGCCTGGGAGGCAGAGGTTGCAGTGAGCTGAGACCACAGGGACCATAGGTACCACAGGCGTGCAGCACCACACCTGGCTAACTTTTCTGTATTTTTTTTTATAGAGACAGGGTTTTTCCACCTTGCTCTGGCTGGTCTCAAACTCCTGGACTCATGCGATCCACCCACTTCAGCCTTCCAAAGTGCTGGGATTACAGGCGTGAGCCACTGCACCTGGCCTAAATTTTCATTTGTGTGTTTTGTTTATACAGCTGTGTCTTTATTCTTACATCTTTTAAAAACGTTACCACTGATTAACCTAAGTGCTTAATATAAACTTCTGGTGCCAAATTATGAGTACGGGCCAATTTATTACCACACTTTTGAAGATGATTCTAACAGTAGCATGAACTAATTGACTGAATCTTTCCTCAAACCTGTTTTACCTATCTCTATCTGTGGTTTTGGTCATACCATATCTTCTCATCTGTCTTCTGGTAAAATATTATTTAAATTTCTTCTGAAAAACCATCTCTGGAAGACACTTCAAGACTTGCCTTTAAGGGGTGTGAATACCATTTTTTTTTCTTAAATTTTAGGTTTAGGGGTGTATTAGGTCATTCTTGTGTTGCTATAAAGAAATACCTCACGCCTGTAATCCCAGCACTTTGGGAGGCCGAGGTGAGTGGATCACAAGGTCAGGAGTTTGAGACCAGCCTGGCCAACATGGTGAAACCCTGCCTCTACTAAAAATACAAAAACTAGCCAGGCGTGATGGCGGGCGCATGTAATCCCAGCTACTTGGGAGGCTGAGGCAGGAGAATTGCTTGAACTCGGGAGTTGGAGGTTGCAGTGAGCCGAGATCACTCCACTGTACTGTAGCCTGGGTGACAGGGTGAGACTCCATCTCAAAAAAAAAATAATGCTTGAGGCTGGATAATTTATAAGGAAAAGAGGTTGAATTGGCTCACAGTTCTGCAGGCGATACGGGAAACATGGTCCTGGCATCCACTGGGCTTCTAGGGAGGCCTCAGGAAGCTGCCAATCATGGCCAAAGGTAAAGAGAGAAGTTGGTGTCTCACATGGCGAGACAGGGAACAAGTGTGGGGGAGGTGTCACACACTTTTAAACAACCAGATCCCCTGAGAACTCACACATTATCAAGAGGACAGCACCAAGCCATGAAGAATCTGCCCCCATAACCCAAACACTTCTCACCAGGCCCCACCTCCAGCACTGGGGATTGCATTTCAATATGATATTTGGATGGGGACAGATATCCAAACTATACAAGGGGGTACCTGTACAGGTTTGTTACATTGATATATTGCCTGTTGCTTAGGTTTAGTGTATGAATAATCCCATCACATCAGGTAGTCAGCATTAGTATCTGATAGTTAGCTTTTCGACCCTCGCCCCACTTCCACTCTCCCCAGTCTAGTAGTTCCCAGTGTCTATTGTTTTCATCTTTGTGTCCAGGGGTACTTACTGTTTAGCTCCTACTTATAAGTGAGAACATGCGGCATTTGGTTTTCTGTTCCTGCATTAATTTGCTTAAGACAGTGGCCTCCAGCTGCATCCATGTTGCTGCAAAGGACATGACATTGTTCATTTTTATGGTTGCATAATGTACATGCATGGCATGGTGTATATGCCATGGTGCCACATTTTCTTTATCCAGTCATCTGGATTATGTTTAGTCCTTAGCCATGGCATTCAGAGTCATCTGGGCATCTAGGTTGAGTCTTTATCTTTGCTATTATGAATGGTGCTGTGATGAACATACGAGTGCATGTGTCTTTTTGGTAGAAGGATTTAACGGAATTGCTGGCTCGAATGGCAGCTCTGTTTTAAATTCTTTGAGAAATCGCCACATCGCTTTCCACAAAGCTGAACTAGTTTACACTCCCACCAACAGTTTATAAGCATTCCGTTTTCTCTGTAACCTCGTCAACATCTGTTATTTTTAGACTTTTTAATAATAGCCATTCTTACTGGTGTGAGATGGTATTTCATTGTGGTTTTGATTTGCATTTCTCTAATGACTCAAATCTTTGGTATTTACTTGATCACTTCTTTTTTATTGCAATTTTATTGGATTCAAATTTATTATTTCACAGCTTACATTTTATTTGTTCTCTGTGTTTTTAAAAAGATAATGCTTTCCATTACCTTTAATTAATAATTACACTTGGTTCTTTTAATAATGGCTTATATTCCATTTTACCACACTACTTTGAGAAATTTTGAAAGAAACATTCTCTTGCTTTACAATTCTGCCTAATACGTCCCAAAGCTTATTTGATCGGGCTTATTAATATGGCTGGGAGGATAGATAGAGGAACGTTGAAACCAAAAGCTGAATGGAATCATTTTTTTCAGTTCAAATTGTACTTGAATCATTAAATACTTTATATTTGTATTCTTAACAATAGAAAAATATATGAGATTAGAGTGAATGAGTGATAGGTTGTAATTGCTTTTCCCTGCAATATATAGTATTTTATGTTTAGTCCTTCGCCATGGCATTCATTTAGAGCGTCAGTTCCCAACTTTGGGGATGGGGAGTGAAGTAGAAGAAATGACATATCAGAATCTCCAGGAAAGAGGTTTGAGTTGGGGGTTGAGTTTAAAAAAATATGTTTACCTTTTTGAGAATCAATTCCATGGGGAGACTCTGTCACTTATAGGACTGTACTGGGTGAAAGTGGCAGACCTGCGACCATTGATTAAAAGCATTTGCAGGAGGGTCAATTTAAGTGGATGCAGAGACCTCCTCCCCTCCCAGGGCATCTATTTTCATCAGTTGATGTGCAAGGAGGAATTGTGTGTCCGTGTGTGTGTGTGTGTGAAGCAAGTTTGAGAAGGGGGTGATGCTATTATCCAACTGCACAGGGGATGATATGAATGGCAGAAAGCTGGAGAGCAAGGTGGTTGATTTCCTGTCCTATGCTCAGAGGCCAGCTTGACTCTGATGCTCACCTGTGGCATACATCTAAAGATTCTCAGGATACTTGGAAACTCCTCAGTGGTAGTCTGAGATCCTCCATTATTCAATTCTCAGAGGTAAACCTGTGAAATGCAGATATTAATGTCAACATTTCACTTTGTCACATGCTTCTGAGACAAAAGAAGATTTGGGTAACTTTTTTTTTTTTTTTTTTTTTTTTTTTTTTTTGTGAGACGCAGTCTTACCCTGTTGCCCAGGCTGGAGTGCAGTGGCGTGATATCGGCTCACTGCAACCTCCACCTTCCAGGTTCAAGCGATTCTCCTGCCTCAACCTCCTGAGTAGCTGGGACTACAGGCACGTGCCACCACATCTGGCTAATTTTTTGTATCTTTAGTAGAGACGTGGTTTCACCATGTTGGCCAGGCTGGTCTTGAAGTCCTGACCTTGTGATCTGCCCACCTTTGCCTCCCAAAGTGCTGGGATTACATTTTTTAAAACTTTATAATGAAAACTAAGGTAATTGGTACACTAATAATTCCAAAGTCGATGTCAGCGTCATACCCTAAAGGATGAACTCCTAGGCATAGAGAATTATTGCTATCAAGAAGATATAATCATCCTGACTTTTTTAATGAAAAGGGGTGCCTATAGGAAGCCAAACAGCAAAATAACATTTTCTGAGAAACTTTTCATGTGTGGATTATAACCAGTGAGTATTATAAACCCTTAGTAAATATCAATGACTGGGATTGTTTCTGACTCCAATAAGCCACTGACTATGTGACTTTTGACAAGTCTTTTAACCCTCTGTCCACAGTTACTCCATCAGTGGAACTAATTTGATACTCACTGCTCTATAAACTTCAAGAAGACTGCCTTCATAATATTTTATTTTCATTTACTGTGTTAGTGCCTCTACAAGCAAGTTAAAACTTATTTGTGAGTTATTTATCAGGAAACTGAGAAACCAGTTTTTAGGAAATCAGTTGCATTTCCTAATGCCCTTGCTCTCCTGACAAAACACCTGTGATGTCGTTGAATTCATGCATCTATTATGATGAAAAGGATAACTTCTTTTTGTCAGCAGATATAAATATTTATATTTCTAAAATTTCTGAATGCAAATAAGGTCAGCCCTTTTTGCCTGGAAGAAACTCCCTGCAGTGCAGGGAAGGGGAACCTAAACATAATCTGAACATCTTGCAGAGCTGAGGAGATAGAGATTGGAGCTCAGGAAGTCAGGGAGTCTAGAGTTTCTGTGATATAGTACCGAGAGGAGGGAATTACACAGAGAAGGAGCTCCAGAAATGTGCAGAGGGGTCTTCTTGAGCCGTTGGTTGAATAACAGTTTGCAACATGCGTAAGGTGAAACTATACAAGACCAGATAAGAACAACTTCCAAGGAAGTGACTATTACTTGGGACAAAATTCCCAGAGCTCACACAGGACTAAGAATATTTTGTGTTCCCTCTAAATGAAGAGACCTCATTGAATCACTGGGCATTCACTAGCTATCCTAAAAATGGCACAACTTAGAAGTGGGGCTGAATTAGGCTAGTATGAAACTGCTCTAAGCATGCCCCAAAAGAGTTTAAAACCATATAACAAATAGATCAAACTAGCTCACAATTAATTACCTTCAAGAAAAAGTACAAAAGTCTTTAAAGAAATACAATGAGATCCATCATTCAAAAACCAGAAAAATCTAAATGAATAGTCTTCAATAAAGAAATCACGGCTGGGTGCAGTGGCTCACACCTGTAATCCCAGCAATTTGGGAGGCCAAGGTGGGTGGATCACCTGAGGTCAGGAGTTCAAGACCAGCCTGGCCAACATGGAGAAACCCCGTCTCTATTAAAAATACAAAAATTAGCCAGGTGTGGTGGCGCGTTCCTGTAGTCCCAGCTACTCAGGAGGCTGAGGTGGTAGGATTGCTTGAGTCTGGGAGGTGGAGGTTGTAGTGAGCCAAGATCGAGCACTGCATTCCAGCCTGGGTGACAGAGCAAGACTTTGTCTCAAACAACAACAACAACAAAAAGAAGTCACTAGATATTTGAAGAAGTAGAAAATATAATCCATAACCAGGAGGGAATCTGTCAATGAAAACAGATCAATAAATGACATAAATGAAGAAATTAAGACACAAGGACATTAAAACATCTACTATAAATCTAATTCATATGCACATGAAGTTAGAAAAATACAAACATGATGAGCAGAGAGATGAGATAAAAATAATGAAAATGTAACTTCTAATGATGAAAAAATGCAATATCTGAAATAAAAAATGTAGGTAAAAATAATAGTAGCTTGTATATGTAAGAAAAATAAAAAGCAGTGAAATTGAAGGCATAAATAGGAAAACAGAAAAAAAATCAAAGCATGAAAAAAACTGAAGAATAAGTCATCAATGACCTATTGCCAATATCCAGTGATATAACATACATTTAATTGGAGTCTTAGACTCCAATTAGGTTAAACAATATTTGAAGAAATAATAAAATTTTTCAAATTGATAAAAATAATAAAATCCCATATTCCAGAAACTCAATAAATCCAAAGCAGAGTAAATATTTTCAAAAACGTAGACAAATGCACATCATAATTAACTTGCAGAGAACAAGTAATAGGTGTAAAATCTTAAAACTAGCTGAAATAAATCACTTTATGTATGGAGAGAAAAAGATAAAAATTACAGCGGACCTCTATGAGAACCTATGCAAGCTCCAAGAAAACGAAATGACATCTTTTGAGATATTGAAATCAAAAAAATACAAAAATGTCAAATTAATATTCAATATCCAGTAAAAATGCCTTTGTAAAGTGACTTTTTCTACACAAAGAAATAAAGTTTGTCAGGAATGATAAATACGTTGGTGAGTATAAAAGATATTTTCTCATTTGTAAATTTCTTCAAAAAATAATGGTCTAGAGCAAAACCAATAACAGAATATAGTGAGATCTATAACATAAAGCAGGGTAGGGCAAAAATAGTGCATGTTATTATAAGAGTCTTATACTATATGTTAGTAGTGTAATATTTGAAGATAGATTATGAAAAGATAAAGATGCATATTATAAATATATATAAAGCAACCTCTCAATAGATTTAATAAGCAAAAGAGGAGGTAATATGGGATAAAATAATGATAATAATAATAATGATAATAAAATAGGCCCCATTAATCCAAAAGGAGATAGAAAATGAAAGAATAGAGGAAAAAACATTGAAAACAAATAGCAAAATGGTAGATTTACTAAACCGTACTGAAAATTACATTGCATATAAATGGTTGAAAATGGCAATTAAAGACAGAAATTTTCTAGGGAAATAAAAGCAAAGAAGTTCCTACTATATGCAGTCTATAACAAACCCACTTTAAACATAAATATAAAAGGGTTAAAAGTAAAAGGATGGGCAGAAATAGACTATCCAAACACTAATTAAAAGTAATCTGGAGTGTATATATTAACACTAGATGAAATAGATTTTAGAATAAACAATTACCAGTGATGAAGAGGGTCATTTTCTAATAATAAAGAAGTCATCAAGAAGACACAGTAATCCTAAAAGTGTAGGCAGAGTTTCAAAGTACATGACATAGTTGAAAGAAATAAAAGAATAGATAAATTAAATTTTAGAATAGATGATGTCAACACTTTTTTTTCAGTAATTGATAGACCAACTAGATAAAAAATTAATAAGAATACAGAATAGTTGGGCAACATTATCGACAATTTGATCTATTGATGTTTACAGATTACTCCACTGCAAAACAGCATAATACAAACATTTTTAAAGCACACATGGAATTTTCATCAAATAGACCATTTTCTGAGGATTTAACAAAATTCAATACATCAATAAGATTTAAATAATATAAATATATTACTAACCACAATAGAATTAAATTAGAAACAAATAGCAAGAGGACAACTGCAAAAATTCCCAAATATTTGGAAAAAACGTATTTCTACATATCCCATGGGTCAATGAAAACATGACAAAATAATTTGCATTAAAACAAAAATACATCATGTCATAATTCATTGAATGAAGCTAAGGCGGTGCTTAGGGGAGAAATTAATAGTATTAAATGCTCATATAAAAAAAGAAAATGGTCTAAAATCAATGATTTATGTTTCTGCCTTGATCAAATTTGGCTCAACATAAGCAATAGGAAGAAAATAATAAAAAAGAGTATAGAAATCAATGAAATAGAAATGGCAAAATAACAAGGTCGAAGAAAGTTCAATATGATTCTTTACAGAGATTAATAAAATTGCTACACCTTGAGCCAGATTAATATAGGAAAAAATACCTATTACCGAAAATGAAGGAGAGAACATAAATACAGATCCTAAAAATCATAAATGGATAAGGAAGTGTTCTAAATAAGTTTTTGCCAATTTTCACAAGTGTGATGAAATAGACAAATTCCTTGAAAGAACAAAAATAGACACAAAGCTTACCTAGAAATAGATGACATGAATAGATTTTATAATTGGATTTATAATTAAAATTCTCACAAAGAAAATCCAGGCACAGTTGGCTTTAACTGCTGAGATCAAATAAACATTTAAGAAAGATATAACACCCAATACTATATAAACTTCTCAAGAAAATTGACACACAATACTTTCATTTTATTAAGCCAGTATCACCCTGATACAAATACATTACTTATATATTTATGTATTCCTCAAAAAAAGGAAAATTGCAAACCAATAAATTTCATTTTCATAACTACAAAACCTTTCACGAAACAGCAAATCAAACCCAGCAATATGTTGAAAGGATAATACCTTATGACCACTTGGAGCTATTCCCAGTAAAGTCAAGTTGGTTTGACATTTTAAAAAAAGTAATCAATATAAATTATCAACTAAAACTGCAATGAGATGCCTCTACTCATACTCTGGAACAGTTACAATTAAAAAGACTGACATTACCAAGAGCTGATGTGGCTATGGGGCAACTGGAACTATCATACATTGCTGTTGGCAACGTCAAGTGCTATAGCCCCATTTAGGAAAATAGTTTGGAAGTTTACCATCAAGTTAAATATATAACTATTATATGACTCAACCATTCCATTCCTATGTATTTTCCCAAGAGAAATGAAAATATACAAAATTTATATGAGAATGTTCATAGCAGCTTTATTCATAATAGCAAAAACCCCAAAAATTCAAATGGGTTGGCAGATGATTGAATAAACAAAATTAACAGGTAAATAGATAACAGACTATGGTACATTTTAATAAAGGAATATTACTCAGGAATTAAAAGGAACAAATTGCTGACAGACCCAATAACTTGGGTAAATCTCAAAAGCATTACGCTAAGTGAAAGAAGTGAGACATAAAAGGCTAATTATTTTCTGTATGATTTCATTTATATGACATTCTAGAAAAGGAAAAATTATAGTGACAAAAAGTACCTGAATGGTTTCCTGGGTGTGAGGGTGGATGTAGTGGGTTGATGACAAAGATATGGGTAATAAAATGTTTCCATATCATGAGTATGGTGGTAGTTATAGGACTGTATATACTTGCCCAAACTAATCAAATGATATATTTAAATTGGGTGAGTTTTGTTATAAGCAAATTATGCCTCAATTTATCTAATTTTAAAAAAGAGTTTTTTCAACCACAGTGTAGCTTACTATACACTTATTTATTCACTCACTTATTCACTTAACTAGTTATATGACTGAGACTCTGATGACTGGGGCCACTGGTAAATGGAACATGGTCAACACGACTTGGCAATGAAGAAGCTTACAGTTCAATTGAGGAGAAAGACAATGGAACCAATGTAGCACAGCATCCAGAAGTGTCTAATATGGGGCCATGCAGGAGGACTGTTGTTACCAGATTTGTGGGATAACAGGCTTATCGGTGGTAGTGACAGCCAAGTGGGAAACCTGAAGGCCTTCTAAATATTGTACCGTATGTTGACTGCCCTTCTGGACTTCAGGCCATGTAGCTTTTTCAACTTTTGCTAGGCTATACTTCAAAGCCAAAAAATCAGGACTGCACCACAAAGTGATTTCCTCTCTGGTGAGAGGAAGGTAGTGAAATAGACAATGGTGTGAACGGTGAGCCTCATCACAAGACAAGACATATTTGCGTCTTGCTTACCATATCTTTTTTCTATGTGTATGCTTAATGAGCCATAGAATATTTGAATTAAGCAGAGAAGTGCTCTGTAAATTATCTGTTGAATAAAGAATGAAGGGACGGCTGGGCAATACCTAAACCAGGAACCCAGTGGCAACGAGGCATAGTGGACTGTCTGGGGACCCTGGGCCTCTGTGTGAACTGCAGCTGCCACTGTTGATAATGGGAGTTAGTTGCTCTGGTGGCAGCATTGCATCTGACAGGATGGCTTTTAAGTGCTAGGTTTTCAGGTAAAATGCATGGTGACCTACCTCTGCCTGTTGTTCTGCTTCTCGAGAAAACAAGTAGTAAGCCTGGAGAAAAGCTTTCTAGCATTTTTAAAGCTGTAACAGTAGAGAAAACTCATGTCTCTTTAGGTTTTTTTTTTCTGTTTTTTTTTTTTTTTTTTTTTATACTTTAAGTTTCAGGGTACATGTGCACAATGTGCAGGTTAGTGACATATGTATACATGTGACATGCTGGTGCGCTGCACCCACTAACTCACCATG
Organism: Homo sapiens; assembly: GCF_000001405.40. Lineage (NCBI taxonomy): Eukaryota > Metazoa > Chordata > Mammalia > Primates > Hominidae > Homo > Homo sapiens. The sequence goes on from NC_000006.12 coordinate 22,459,853, forward strand.
TAGCATTAGGTATGTCTCCCAATGCTAGCCCTCCCCTCTCCCCCCACCCCGCAACAGTCCCCAGAGTGTGATGTTCCCCTTCCTGTGTCCATGTGTTCTCATTGTTCAATTCCCACCTATGAGTGAGAATATGCGGTGTTTGGTTTTTTGTTCTTGCGATAGTTTACTAAGAATGATGATTTCCAATTTCATCCATGTCCCTACAAAGGACATGAACTCATCATTTTTTATGGCTGCATATAGTATTCCATGGTGTATATGTGCCATATTTTCTTAATCCAGTCTATCATTGTTGGACATTTGGGTTGGTTCCAAGTCTTTGCTATTGTGAATAGTGCCGCAATAAACATAAGTGTGCATGTGTCTTTATAGCAGCATGATTTATAGGCCTTTGGGTATATACCCAGTAATGGGATGGCTGGGTCAAATGGTATTTCTAGTTCTAGATCCCTGAGGAATCGCCACACTGACTTCCACAATGGTTGAACTAGTTTACAGTCCCACCAACAGTGTAAAAGTGTTCCTGTTTCTCCACATCCTCTCCAGCACCTGTTGTTTCCTGACTTTTTAATGATCGCCATTCTAACTGGTGTGAGATGGTATCTCATTGTGGTTTTGATTTGCATTTCTCTGATGGCCAGTGATGGTGAGCATTTTTTCATGTGTTTTTTGGCTGCATAAATGTCTTCTTTTGAGAAGTGTCTGTTCATGTCCTTCGCCCACTTTCTGATGGGGTTGTTTGTTTTTTTCTTGTAAATTTGTTTGAGTTCATTGTAGATTCTGGATATTAGCCCTTTGTCAGATGAGTAGGTTGTGAAAATTTTCTCCCATTTTGTGGGTTGCCTGTTCACTCTGATGGTAGTTTCTTTTGCTGTGCAGAAGCTCTTTAGTTTAATTAGATCCCATTTGTCAATTTTGGCTTTTGTTGCCATTGCTTTTGGTGTTTTAGACATGAAGCTCTTGCCCGTGCCTATGTCCTGAATGGTAATGCCTAGGTTTTCTTCTAGGGTTTTTATGGTTTTAGGTCTAACGTTTAAGTCTTTAATCCATCTTGAATTGATTTTTGTTTAAGGTGTAAGGAAGGGATCCAGTTTCAGCTTTCTACATATGGCTAGCCAGTTTTCCCAGCACCATTTATTAAATAGGGAATCCTTTCCCCATTGCTTGTTTTTGTCAAGTTTGTCAAAGATCAGATAGTTGTAGATATGCGGTGTTATTTCTGAGGGCTCTGTTCTGTTCCATTGATCTATATCTCTGTTTTGGTACCAGTACTATGCTGTTTTGGTTACTGTAGCCTTGTAATATAGTTTGAAGTCAGGTAGCGTGATGTCTCCAGCTTTGTTCTTTTGACTTAGGATTGACTTGGTGATGTGGGCTCTTTTTTGGTTCCATATGAACTTTAAAGTAGTTTTTTCCAATTCTGTGAAGAAAGTCATTGGTAGCTTGGTGGGGATGGCATTGAATCTGTAAATTACCTTGGGCAGTATGGCCATTTTCATGATATTGATTCTTCCTACCCATGAGCATGGAATGTTTTTCCATTTGTTTGTATCCTCTTTTATTTCCTTGAGCAGTGGTTTGTAGTTCTCCATGAAGAGGTCCTTCATGTCCCTTATAAGTTGGATTCCTAGGTATTTTATTCTCTTTGAAGCAATTGTGAATGGGAGTTCACTCATGATTTGGCTCTCTGTTTGTCTGTTATTGGTGTATAAGAATGCTTGTGATTTTTGTACATTGATTTTGTATCCTGAGACTTTGCTGAAGTTGCTTATCAGCTTAAGGAGATTTTGGGCTGAGACAATGGGGTTTTCTAGATATACAATCATGTCGTCTGCAAACAGGGACAATTTGACTTCCTCTTTTCCTAATTGAATACCCTTTATTTCCTTCTTCTGCCTAATTGCCCTGGCCAGAACTTCCAACACTATGTTGAATAGGAGTGGTGAGAGAGGGCATCCCTGTCTTGTGCCAGTTTTCAAAGGGAATGCTTCCAGTTTTTGCCCATTCAGTATGATATTGGCTGTGGGTTTGTCATAGACAGCTCTTATTATTTTGAGATACGTCCCATCAATACCTAATTTATTGAGAGTTTTTAGCATGAAGGGTTGTTGAATTTTGTCAAAGGCCTTTTCTGCATCTATTGAGATAATCATGTGGTTTTTGTCTTTGGTTCTGTTTATATGCTGGATTACATTTATTGATTTGCGTATATTGAACCAGCCTTGCATCCCAGGGATGAAGCCCACTTGATCACGGCGGATAAGCTTTTTGATGTGCTGCTGGATTCGTTTTGCCAGTATTTTATTGAGGATTTTTGCATCAATGTTCATCAAGGATATTGGTATAAAATTCTCTTTTTTGGTTGCGTCTCTGCCCAGCTTTGGTATCAGGATGATGCTGGCCTCATAAAATGAGTTAAGGAGGATTCCCTCTTTTTCTATTGATTGGAATAGTTTCAGAAGGAATGGTACCAGTTCCTCCTTGTACCTCTGGTAGAATTCGGCTGTGAATCCATCTGGTCCTGGACTCTTTTTGGTTGGTAAGCTATTGATTATTGCCACAATTTCAGCCCCTGTTATTGGTCTATTCAGAGATTCAACTTCTTCCTGGTTTAGTCTTGGGAGAGTGTACGTGTCCAGGAATTTATCCATTTCTTCTAGATTTTCTAGTTTATTTGCGTAGAGGTGTTTGTAGTATTCTCTGATGGTAGTTTGTATTTCTGTGGGATCGGTGGTGATATCCCCTTTATCATTTTTTATTGCATCTATTTGATTCTTCTCTCTTTTTTTCTTTATTAGTCTTGCTAGCTGTCTATCAATTTTGTTGATCCTTTCAAAAAACCAGCTCCTGGATTCATTGATTTTTTGAAGGGTTTTTTGTGTCTCTATTTCCTTCAGTTCTGCTCTGATTTTAGTTATTTCTTGCCTTCTGCTAGCTTTTGAATGTGTTTGCTCTTGCTTTTCTAGTTCTTTTAATTGTGATGTTAGGGTGTCAATTTTGGATCTTTCCTGCTTTCTCTTGTGGGCATTTAGTGCTATAAATTTCCCTCTACACACTGCTTTGAATGCGTCCCAGAGATTCTGGTATGTTGTGTCTTTGTTCTCGTTGGTTTCAAAGAACATCTTTATTTCTGCCTTCATTTCGTTATGTACCCAGTACTCATTCAGGAGCAGGTTGTTCAGTTGCCATGTAGTTGAGCGGTTTTGAGTGAGTTTCTTAATCCTGAGTTCTAGTTTGATTGCACTGTTGTCTGAGAGATAGTTTGTTATAATTTCTGTTCTTTTACATTTGCTGAGGAGAGCTTTACTTCCAAGTATGTGGTCAATTTTGGAATAGGTGTGGTGTGGTGCTGAAAAAAATGTATATTCTGTTGATTTGGGGTGGAGAGTTCTGTAGATGTCTATTAGGTCCGCTTGTTGCAGAGGTGAGTTCAATTCCTGGGTATCCTTGTTGACTTTCTGTCTCGTTGATCTGTCTAATGTTGACAGTGGGGTGTTAAAGTCTCCCATTATTAATGTGTGGGAGTCTAAGTCTCTTTGTAAGTCACTCAGGACTTGCTTTATGAATCTGGGTGCTCCTGTATTGGGTGCTTATATATTTAGGATAGTTAGCTCTTCTTGTTGAATTGATCCCTTTACCATTATGTAATGGCCTTCTTTGTCTCTTTTGATCTTTGTTGATTTAAAGTCTGTTTTATCAGAGACTAGGATCGCAACCCCTGCCTTTTTTTGTTTTCCATTTGCTTGGTAGATCTTCCTTCATCCTTTTATTTTGAGCCTATGTGTGTCTCTGCATGTGAGATGGGTTTCCTGAATACAACACACTGATGGGTGTTGACTCTTTATCCAATTTGCCAGTCTGTGTCTTTTAATTGGAGCATTTAGTCCATTTACATTTAAAGTTAATATTGTTATGTGTGAATTTGATCCTGTCATTATGATGTTAGCTGGTTATTTTGCTCGTTAGTTGATGCAGTTTCTTCCTAGTCTCAATGGTCTTTACATTTTGGCATGATTTTGCAGCGGCTGGTACCGGTTGTTCCTTTCCATGTTTAGTGCTTCCTTCAGGAGCTCTATTAGGGCAGGCCTGGTGGTGACAAAATCTCTCAGCATTTGCTTGTCTGTAAAGTATTTTATTTCTCCGTCACTTATGAAGCTTAGTTTAGCTGGATATGAAATTCTGGGTTGAAAATTCTTTTCTTTAAGAATGTTGAATATTGGCCCCCACTTTCTTCTGGCTTGTAGAGTTTCTGCCGAGAGATCCGCTGTTAGTCTGATGGGCTTCCCCTTGTGGGTAACTCGACCTTTCTCTCTGGCTGCCCTTAACATTTTTTCCTTCATTTCAACTTTGGTGAATCTGACAATTATGTGTCTTGGAGTTGCTCTTCTCGAGGAGTATCTTTGTGGCGTTCTCTGTATTTCCTGAATCTGAATGTTGGCCTGCCTTGCTAGATTGGGGAAGTTCTCCTGGATAATATCCTGCAGAGTGTTTTCCAACTTGGTTCCATTCTCCGCATCACTTTCAGGTACACCAATCAGATGTAGATTTGGTCTTTTCACATAGTCCCATATTTCTTGGAGGCTTTGTTCGTTTCTTTTTATTCTTTTTTCTCTAAACTTCCCTTCTCGCTTCATTTCATTCATTGCATCCTCCATCACTGATACCCTTTCTTCCAGTTGATCGCATCGGCTCCTGAGACTTCGTTAGGTTATTTTTAATCCACCTTACTAGGCTGAAGGGTCCTTGATACACATACACACACACACACACACACAGACACACACACAGACACACACAAGTGTATATATATATATATATATATATACACACACACACATATATACATATACACACACACACAGAGATTTTTTTTTCCTCTAAGAACACAGGAAGTATGCATTATTTTAAACTGCTTAGATGCAATCAAATAACAGGGGTTCTTATTAACAATCAGTGATTTTAAAATAAAATTTCTGGTTATTGTAATTTTAAATCTCAATATTGTAAAATTTTATTTTAAAATATATTATAATTTATAAATATATTTATATATATAAATATATTATATCTATAATATATTATAATTATAATATATTAAATTTATAATATAATTATAGTATATTAAATTCATAAATATATTAAAATTATAAATATATTAAATTTATATATTTATATTTATAAAATAAAATATTTATATTTATTTTATTCGAGTTGTCTTAACAGAGAAAAAAATATATTATTTGGTGTCTAAGAAACAATGACAGAATACAAAACTCGTTAAATAACCCAAGGTACAGTGGTCATGAAAGGAAAAACATCGGATTTGGTCTTTTGTTCTTTTTTTTCTATAATAGAAATCTCTTTCTGTTCTCTTTCATATTGTCCTTTATTACCTCATTTTATCTTTCCATTTTTCTGAATTAAAGTGGTTTTGTTTCCCCTTTTTCTGTCTTCATATTCCTTAGATTGTGGAGTTCTCATGTTCTGTGCTTAAATCAATGGTGCTCAAAGTTGGGCACACGTGAGAATCATGTAGAATCACTGTGCTTGGTAAACGTAGATTGCTGGGCTCCAGCTCTGGAATCTAGTTTGATTCAGCTTGAGGAGGGAAGGGATGTGTATGAGAGTCCGTATTTGTAACAAGTTCCCAGGTGATGCTGCAGGCCCAGTAACCACACTTTGAGAAACACTGACTTATAAGTCGTTCTGTTGATAGTGATCAAAAGACATCATGAGTGTTCTTCTACAATGGGCTAAAATGGAAGTTAGGTGGACTGGAAGACTTGCTGCATGAGATCCATGCAATACATCTTCAATCTCAAGGTTAATGGCTGATGTCGCTTTTACCCTGGAGATTAGAGATATTGTAGAATCTTTTTATGTTATTCCAGTAAAATTATAAATTCAGAAAGTGAATAGTCTTGGATCTTATATCATTGTTGCCCCTTCTCCCTGATAGATTCCTTTTCTTAATTTACATAATCATCTTGCAGCAATTTTAAAAGTTTTACTGAATATTTTCTACAGAAAACATTATAAAATACACATCATCAAATGGTTCTGGTATCTGAAAAAAATGAAAAAGAATATTTCTATGTTTTTAGCAGGTCAAGAATGGAAGAGCGATTGGATAATAAGAATGAAAAATAAGAATATTTATTGTCGGTATAATTTGCATTTGACAGAATTGTTACCAACATATCTTTACTTGCAGGATTTGTAGTTATGCCTTTTCCACATGATTTCCCAAAGGTAAAAAAATTAATAATTAAAAAGCCTCTGAAAAGGCAGACTCTTAGTATTTTCTTTAGGCTTCAGAAAGTCCCTTTTTTTTCCTATTATTTCCTTCATTCCAGTTTTTCTTTCTTCATACGATTTTCCTGAATGTAATTATGCGTGTGGATTTACCATCCAGTGTTTTTCTTATTCACCCTTGTTCCTTTGTTTATCCTTCACAGTGAAGCTGGCTTCTCTTTTTATTGAAATTCATTCTAAGCTTCCAGGTTACTTTTTATTCCTGTGGTCTTTTTAATCTTGTACCTGAAGGGAGTATTGTGTGTTCTGTGTAAAGCATTGATAGCTGGTAACAATCAAGTCCCTATTAGCCAATTAACGCTGGCAAGATGTGGCCTGTTGCCCAAGCTCTAGGACCTTTTGATTCAGACATGCAGTGCATACCGTTTGAACTTAAGAAAATTCTGTGCTTCTTGCCCAGCTGTCTCATTATTTTTGTTGAACTGGGTAGGGGACCACGATGATAGCATGGGTGAATGAGAGGAGGCTCTGGAAGAAACACAAGCTGTACATCCAGAATCTTAGGATACTTTGCTTACCATTAAGAAGCAAGCCCACTCATGATTAGGGCTTACTCTTTATTCTCCAAATGCTTTTTGATTCCTTGTTCACCTAAAAATCAAGTCAACTACTAAAGAGGGCCATGTCACAAACACTTGAATGTGTTTGACTGTGTGCTTAGGAAAGGGCGGCCAGTGCATACCAACCATACCGACAAACACGTTACACCTTGGGCCCTTTTTGGAGCTATTCAGGAAAGTCAATGGGAGCTTTGTGTAAACAGGCAGCAAAGAACTGCACTCATTGTATTTGCTTCTTTGCCTTCAGTCACCTGCGTTTGGATTTTAATCTGCAGTAAACCTTGGGAGTCATTATGGCTTGATTATAGCCTCATTCTATTTATCCCCCTTCCTTGGGGATACCTTAGTAATTTTTATTTTGAGAGTTCAAATTGGCAAGTGCTCCTGTTCCTGGATAAGTATTAGAGATTAATAAATGATGCCTGAGACTGGCATTGTTTAGGAGCTAGCAGATGTTCAGAGATTAGTAGTATGAAGAGAATTAGAGGGAAATGAGTATAGAGAAGAGTTGGTAATTGTAATGTGGAGGGGTCCTATTATAGGCTTGATAGAATGCTTTTAGGCCAAAGAGCTCTAGAAATCCATTTTCAATTCTAATCAACCCAATATGTTTTATATTGACATGTTGCACGAAGACATTGATATATTAGAGCCTTCTTAACATTCTTTGATCTTTGTGTGGAATTTCTCTCTTCAATCTGATATTACCATTTATTTTTCTTTTTCCTTTTTTTGCCATGAGGAAGTTTTGTTTGGCCTGGAATAAATGAAACTCGGAGCCCAAAAGGCTCAGTTAAATTGAGCTTGAAACCGAAAACCCATGACGCTCTAGTGAGCACTGAGTGCAAAGAAGAATATTTGCTATGCTTCACCCCCAGTGGATTCCTCTGACTTTTCTATTTCTATTTTCTCTTTGCCTTCCAAACTAGAAGATAGAAAAATTATAAATGTGTGCAACTAAGCCTTCTAAGATATGAAATTCTTATAAACTAGAACTTTTAATAATTGACTCAGTGATTCCGATTAAACCATTGTTGACTGTGAGCAAATTTATTGACCTAGTTGCAATGAAATACCCTGGCATATTATGTCAGCTTCCAACTGGCCAACACACAGATGCCATGCTTGCTGCTGACGGCTATCAGACGTGTGCCAGTTGGCAGCTTCAGCCACAAGCCATAGATCAAATGGAGATGGAGAAAACATTGCTCTCCATTTTGCCTGCTAAGCCAGTCCTGTTCTCAATTCAAGACTGGAACAGCCCAGTGCAAATCCTTGATAAATTCAGTGAAACTCATATTAAAGGCACCTCTTTATGAACTTCAGTAGCATTGATTACTAATACACCTGTCAACTCCCTGCAATAATTTTGTTTTCATTAATGTTTCTCTACTATAACGTTAAATCTGATAGAAAATCCCAGTTGAAATCAGGACATAGCAACTTTGACATTTTCCTCATTGTCAACTAAGATTGGGGTGCAGAAGAAATGTTTTAGGGAAAAACTTTGAAGCTGGCATTTAAACATTTGTCTCTATTAGTTTGGTTCACTCCTTATCATAAACCTTGGTAATTACATTTTGTACATCCCTCGAGGCTTCAAGACTGACAAGACTCTGTTTAAAGAGAAGGAATGGAAAACTAACATACTTGAATTCAGCTTACTTGATTCGGCTTACTTGGCTGCATGAATTATGACAACATCTTTCATCACTGAAGTAATCTCATATAGTAATGTTGGACAGCATGACAATAAATTGCTTTTATCTTGCCTTTTTTCAGTTTAGAGATTTTCCTTATAGCAAACATTTTTCTGTAGAAACCACATACATTTTTCTTAGTGTTTTTTTTTTTCCCCCAGTAAAAAAAAAAAAGAAGAAAATTGAGTAAATGGATGTTTTTGCATCTACTTGGTATTTTGTATTTCCATGAAGAAAATAAATGTTCACATTTCCTAGGCTTTTCTTGATTCTGGACATTTATTCTTACCACATGCACAGAGAGTTCTTTATAGTATTTCTCTTAAAAGGGCCTAACCTTCTGCTAAATATAGGAAGTGAGGGATGAGTCAGGATGAGAGAACAAGAAAAGAGATAAGATGAAAATATTATGCTACCTAAAATATTTTAGGCAAGGTTTCTGTACAGTATAGTCTTGGTAGCTTTTGATGCTGTTAGCTTTTACTATAGTATGAGCTGGTTCTGTTTGTATAGGAAGGATTTTGCTTTGTTCCCCTATTGCTTGAACTAAGAGAGAAATTCTAGTTTATTTGTGTGTGAATTAGAAGTAGCAAAAGCACCACTCAACATTAAATCAGACTCTCTTTGTATGAAACGGCCATTTTGATTCTAATTTTCTTTGACCAGGATGAGGCATTCATTCACAGCAAAGTGAGTAAATCTCATAATAATAAAAATGACAGATGTTAAAGTATCCAGTTAAAATAAAGTGAGTGCAATTGATTCTTTTTTCCATTTGGACCTTTGGTGCTTTGACACATTTGGGACCTGTTAAAGTTGTTAAAATACTAGTATGTTTTAGGTGTTTTAAATATGTTACCTTATTAATTCTAATGATAATTCTCAAGGCAAACATGGTACTGTTTTCATCCCCATTTGTAGATGAGAAAACGGAAGCAAAGAAAAGTTAAGTGTTTCTTCAACTTAACAAGTTGATTACTGGTGAATTGAATCTAGGGAATCTGACTCCAGATATCTCGCTTTTAAATGGATGCTTTATGGCTAAGGTTCACTTGCTTCTTTGCAAACAAACAAATCCAGTGTTTCTGTTTCCTCTTGTAGGTAACTGTCTATTGACTTAATATTACAACAATCCACATTATTTCAACATTTCTTAACTTTTCTTTTCGATCCTTCTTGAGTGGCAGGATTGTTGAGTAGATAAACAAAATGTAATATGTTCATACAATGAAATATTACTCAGCGATGAAAAGGAATGAAGTACTGATACATGCTACAACATGAATGAACCTTGAATACATTATGCAAAGTAAAAGAAGCCAGGCACAAAAGGATACATATTGTATGATTCCATTAGTATGAAATGTTCAGAATAGACAAATCTAGAGACAGAAAGTAGATAAATGGTTGGCAGAGGCTGTGGGGAGGGAGGCAATAGGGATTGGCTGCTAATGAGGATGGGTTTTTTTTTGGTAAGACAACTACTATTAGGTCCCTGCTCCAGTCTTTGTCTCAGAACCAAGTTTTGGTATCAAGACAACCAGAAAGAAATATCATCCTTCTGTGGCCTCACGCAGTGAAACTTCTGCGAGTGACAAACTTTCCCAAAGAACCCACGGTAGTCTTTGCATCTATATACTTATACTAAAGTTTCCCAAATAATTAATAAGCATTTCTCACCCACAGGTTACTCATCTTAGGGCTTAATTTGTAAAGCTTCTTGAAAGCTTTGGTATCCAAAGTGTGGCTCTAGGCCTACACGGCCACTGCTTAGAAGCATGTTACAAATGTAAATTCTGGGGCCTCACTTAGGCCTATTGAATTAGAGTCTGCATTTTAACAAGGTCCTTAGGTGATTCCTGAGCATCATGAAGTATGAGAAGCTCTGCTTTAAAGAACAGACATGCCTACACTGCCAGAATGTGATTCAAAGACCAAAATCCCACCTCTGCCAAATATTGGCCATGTAAATGTGAGCAAGTCGTATAGAGACTGTGAGCTTCAGTTTCTGCATCTGTAAAAGAGATCACATAACCAACAGCACAGGGTTGTTGAAGGATGATAGTAGAACCCATGAAAAGTATTTGAAATGGTGCTGGGTATACGTTGTCAAAGCAAGGCTGACCCTGTGTGGACGTGACTTTTGATGTCAGGATGAACTCCAGAGCAAGGGCAACCTCGTCTTTTTGGTCCTGCCCTGGGACTTCCCCAGGCCAGAGTGGCATGGGTGGCAGTGGAAGTGGGAGGTGAGGCGGTCATGCATTTGTGGTGGCCAGGGGCCTGGAAAATCTGATGTCAAGGAATGTCCCAGAAGCAGGAGGAAGGTTGACAGGGCTCAGGGAGAGACCCGCTTCCTTTAGCTTTATCAGTATATTCACACACAAGGATTTTTGCACATCTAGCCTCAAACCAAGGGACAGTCCAATGAGAGAATTGAAAAGGGGAAATGTAAGTCAGCAATAAAGGACTTAAAACATAAGAGAGAGAACTAAGAAGGTAGGAAAAAAGGAGTGATAACCACACCCAGACTCTAAAAGAGCTCTGAGGATAATCAGTTTAGCCCGCAGCAGAACCTATTGTACAGGCAGATCTTCCCGGTCTCTGCCCCTGTGGGGTTTGCAGGTGAATGCATTGATAGAGGGGGAATTTTCCTATTGCCACTAACAGGCTCAGGACACATTTTCAGAATGCATTATAAAAACAGCACTTCCTCAGCGTCCCTCACTGTGGTCACACTTCCTGATCAACATGGATTTTGTTATAATAGTTTCTCTCTGTTGACAGAAATGTAGCTGGCAAACTCAGGCAGCCTGCAGCTGGATCCTGAGCCAAAACAAACACACCCTTTGGCTCCTCCTAGCTCCAGATGATTGTAGTTTTTGACTAGGTGCCCTGGCAGCCTCCATGGCTATCATTGTTATTATTTCAACTTATTGTAAACTTTCTAAAATAATTCGAGTAAAGATATATATTCCATGATAGGACAAGGGTCAGCTAAGTTCACTGTAAGAGGAGAAAACACAGAGCGAGGTGTAAAGCTGCCTGGGGCAGTGTTCTTTAGAAATAGAGATTCATGACCTTCTAGATCCCCTTTCCAGTGTCCTGTTGCCTGAACTGTTTTTCACATTATAGGGGCGACATGATACACTGAGTGTAAAATATGCCAACATGATCTAGAATCTACTGGTTATTTTTGCACCTGGTTTTAATTCTGGCCACCAGAAAGTAAAATAAAATAAATAGGATCTTCAGTTTCATTTTTTAAAATTTATATTATTTCTTTTTTTCATATTTCTATTTCTATCTCTACTTTCGTTTTGACATTTCTATGTATTAGATATTACCATGAACTCCTGAAATTGTGGCAAATTGAGTGGGTAGTAGAGTTAAAGTCTCTCTCTGCCTTTTTCCAATCTGCTCTCATTTTCACTTATTTATGTGCTTCTTCCCCCTGTCTCTGACACACGCCAGTGCCTCCCAGACTCCTAAGCAGGTGTGTATGTGCTGGAAACTTCCACCAGGGCTTCCCCATTGTGTCCTAAATCCCACTTTCCGCCGCGCTGCTTCCTCACCCTCTCTGTCTGTTTCCTGCATCTATTTCTGTAACTTTCATTAAACACTTGTTGTCTGCCTTGGGTTGTTAAGATGCTGGCTTCTCTGACCAAAAGGTGTTGTCACTTTTAAATCTTCCTTGTTTGCATCCTCATTTGTCCTGGCAATGTTATTTTGCACTAAAGAGACTGTGAAGATGAGTTTATAGAATTCCTTAATTCCATGATATCTTGCTCTGGGCCACTAAAAGGGGGATGAAAGAATGTGATAATACATCTTTATTATTTTCCAAATGCTAAAAGAGGTAACCAAGCTCATGATATTTCATAGAAATCCTCTACTGAAGTAAACGGAGACAGTGCCACGCAAACCGACAATTAGTTCCCAAAGACCTGAGTCCTCAAGTTGGCTTGTCTTCCTTTTACTCTATGTCTTAAGTTTGTGGTACATATACACCATAGAATACTATGCAGCCGTAAAAAAAATGAGATCATATCCTTTCCAGGAACATGGATGGAGCTGGTAGCCATTATTCTTAGCAAACTAATGCAGGAGCCAAAAACAAAACACTGCACGTTCTCACTTATAAGTGGGAGCTAAATGATGAGAACATATGGACACATAGAGGGGAAAAACACACACTGGGGCTTACTAGAGGGTGGAAGATGGGAGGAGGGAGAAGATCAGGAAAAACAACAAATGGTTACTAGGCTTAATACCTGGGTGACAAAATAATCTGTACAACAAACCCCCATGGCACAAGCTTATCTATATAACAAACCTGAACATGTGCCCCTGAACTTAAAATAAAAGTTAAAGTTAAAAAATGAGCTAATTTAAATAAGCAACAATTATGTCATTTTGCCCCTCATGACCTATGGCTTTTGTCAACATCGTCAGGATATATGTCAGGTTTTTCCTTCAGTCAAAAGACAAAATTACAGCACATTTACTTGAACAATCTATTTTTTCATTATATTTTAAGTTTTCGGGTACATGTGCAGAACGTGCAGTTTTGTTTCGTAGGTATACACATGCCATGGTGGTTTGCTGCACCCATCAACCTGTCATCTACATTAGGTATTTCTCCTAATGCTGTCCCTCCCCTACCCCCAACCCCCCTACAGGCCCCGGAGTGTTATGTTCCCCTCCCTGTGTCCATGTGTTCTCATTGGTGAACAATCTATTTGGCTTGTAGTTGTGATTCTAAGATTGGGCAACATTGGCCAGGCGCGGTGGCTCACGCCTGTAATCCCAGCACTTTGGGAGGCTGAGGCGGGCGCATCATGAGGTCAGGAGATCCAGACAATCCTGGCTAACACGGTGAAACCCCGTCTCTACTAAAAATACAAAAAATTAGCCAGGCGTGGTGGCGGGCGCCTGTAGTCCCAGCTACTCGGGAGGCTGAGGCAGGAGAATGGCATGAAGCCCAGAGGCGGAGCTTGCAGTGAGCCGAGATTGCGCCACTGCACTCCAGCCTGGGCGACAGAGCGAGACTCCGTCTCAAATTAAAAAAAAAAAAAAATTGGGCAACACCTCATTCTACAAAACAGAATTCTATACAATAGAGAGTGTGTTGCAATGAGCTGAGCAGAGGAGAGTGGCTTTCAGTTAGAAAAAGGTTGAAGAAGGCAGAGACAAAGAATGAAAAGTGGATTGATCATTCCAGAATGACTTTCTTTATAGGTTTCAGCAGTGGGAAATTCCTTAATATGCCAGCTCAGGTAAACTAGGTTTCTTCTGGTTGATTGCTGTCAATCTCCTGGTTTTGTGTTTGTTTGCTTATTTTTATTTATTTTTTAAAATTTTTGAAAACTGGCCTGTTTCAGAGTTTAGTTTAATTATGTGGTATTTAGCGTGAGTGACTTCATTCTGGTTTAGTTTGGTTGGCTGGGGCCCAGTGTAGGAGCACAGTCCCAATACTGACCTCACGTAACTTGGTTTAGTACCTCCAAAAACGGGAGTGAGGAGCAGAGCACCCCATAGATAACCTTTCTTCACCCATCAGGACTCTCAGGTAGAGGGTGACACCCATTAACCATCACAGTGCTCAGCCGCTTGCCACACAGGACTAACTTGTATAGTTGCCAAGAGAAATTGGCCAAAGAACTCAGGATCGTCTCTTCCCTGCTGTGCTCTGGGTTGTTCGGTCACATTGTCATGACAGTTCTTCCCACTTGTTCTTTGGGTGCCCATGGAAACTTAGTTTACTTTGTCAGTTTTCTTATCTGGCAGAAAACTAGTCTCCATGGTGACTAAGAGCCTCAGACATAAGGAGGGCAAAAATCAGTAATGGAAACAGTAATTGAGTTTGAGAGTTCTTTGGGGGAGACTGAAAGGTATTGGTAATTATAGTGCAGTTGTAATACCTGCTGGAGTATGGGGGAGACTGAAAGGTATTGGTAATTATAGTGCAGTTGTAATACCTGCTGGAGTATGGGCGAGCCTGGGAGATGTTGTACTCAACATTTTGTTGAAGTGTTTTTGAACCTTCTTGAAGCTCTTAGGGCAATGCTATCTCACAGAACTTCCTGTGGTGATGAAAACGCTCTGTATCTGCACTGCCATATGGTAGCCACTAGCCACATATGCCTACGGAGCACTTGAAATATGAGAGTGCAACTGAGGAACGGAATTTTGTTTCTATTTAATGTTATTGAAGTTATACTTAAATTGAAATAGCCACATAGACTATTGGGCTGTGTAGGGGACAGTGCAATTCTAGGTATCTGGCGTGTGCACACCTTGGTAGCCCATCTTTACTTCTAGTTTTCTGGAAGAAAGGAAGGCCACGAGCATGCATGACACACTCCTCTCTCCAGCATCAGCAAAGTCATCATTAAGAAGCCTCTAGATGTGTACCTATATGTTCCCACTAGACTGTATACTCTAAAGAAAGGGACTTTTCAGCAAACTAACACAGGAACAAAAAACCAAACACCGCATGTTCTCACTCATAAGTGGGAGTTGAACAATGAGAACACATGGACACAGAGAGGGGAACATCACACACCGGGACCTGTCGGGGGGTGGGGGGCAAAAGGAGGGAGAGCATTAGGACAAATACCTAATATGTGTGGGGCTTAAAACCTAGATGACAGGTTGATAGGTGCAGCAAACCACCATGGGACATGTATACCTATGGAACAAACCTGCAGGTTCTGCACATGTATCCCAGAACTTAAAGTAAAATACAAAAAAAAAAAAGAAAGGAACTATTTTTATCTCATTCACTGCTGTACATTGAGTGTAAACTATTGTGCCTACCAGAGAGGTTTCAAAAACTACTAGTTGAACCATTTTCCACATGGATTAGTCATAGGATCATAAAGTGTCAAAGCCAAAGGGACTTTTGTGATTGCAGTGGATCTACCCTCAATCACTTTATTTCTTCCTTCTGGCCAAACTCAATGCTATTGGCATGTCCATGACTCTCCACTATGACTCAGTGAAATGTGGCCCTCTCTCTTCAAATGTAGGGGTAAGTCCTGATTGGTAAAAAACAAATCATGGCTGTTAGGCCTTATTCCTTGGACAATAAAGGATTTAAAGGTAGGCATATACCCTAGTTCCAATCAGTAAGACATGAGGGATTTCTTCTGGGAGTGATGTTGGGAAAGATTTACTCATAAAAGGGACATAAAGAAGAGGCAGCCCTTTTTTTTGTTTGTTTTTTTTTTTTTTTTTTTTTTTGCTTCTAGGTATTCTTGGGTCTGGATGTGAAGTCTGGAACCGCTGCAGCCATTTTGTGAACACTGGGGGAATTGAGCTGAGAAGAGGGAGTTGTGAAGGATATAGAATCGTTGATGCTTAATGGCTTAATCAACTAACCCTGAAATCTGCCCAATATCTGGACATTTTGTTATGGGGGATAATACATTTCTTTATTTTTAAAGCCCATAGGATAAAGATTTTCACAGACTGACATCTGGGCAAGGTTTAGCCGAGTCCTCTGCAAAGCTATAATCAATGAGTTAGCAAAGACTGCGTTCTCATCTGAAGCCTGACTGGAGAAGAATTTAATTCCAAGCTCAGCTGGTTGTTGTCAGCATTCAGTTCTTTACAACCTATCAGAGGTCTTTACTTTTTTGCTAGTTTTTGGCCAGAAGCTACTGTCACCTCCTTTCTGTATAACCTTCCCTATGATGAAGCTCACATTTCAGCTCGCTTCTTCAAAACCATCAACAGAGGATCTCATCACATGATGGGTGTTACAGTCTTATGCAATGTAATGATGTACATCTTACCGTGTTTGCTGTATTCTCTTAGAAGTAAGTCTTAGATCTTGCCCATGCTCCAGAGCAGAGGGTCACACAAGGGCATGAACATGAGGACCACCCTAGAGTCCATTCGCCACAACGTCATTATTTTAAAGGTGAAGAAATTGGCCTAGGGGAGTGGTTTGCTTTCCAAAGATATAGCTGCATGGTAGAAAAACTAGGAGGAGACTCTCCACATTTTTATTTCAACCCAGGACATACTCCATTAAGTAGCTCTGTGAAGTGATCCATGTGACTTAACCTCTCTGAGCTTCTGTTTTCTGATTTCTAAGACAAGGCTAATGAGATCCCTCTTTAAGAAATTGTTTGGAGTGTTTCATACGGTAGCACTTGTAAGTGCCTATCTTGGTTTCTGCAGATATTAGATGTTAAAAAATATTAGTTTCTATATGCTCCCTTCTGTTTTATCATGTAGTCTCATTTATTTCTTTAGTGGGGAGGACTAGAGTGTTTAGTTTACTGTGATTTACTTTTAAAGTTTAGAAGTAATCTGTTAGGTTGAAAATAATGGTAAGCAAAGGTTTTTCAAACCCTCTCAGGGGTAGAAATCTAGATCCAAAGTTAAACAGGGATCCCTGATTTAAGAGGTGCTAACCTAATCGTGTCTGCTTTGGCCACAATCTGTGAACTCAAAGTCACAGAAATTGTATTGCAGAACCGAGCTCTTTAGTATTTTTCTGTTTAAAATTAAGGTCAACCACTTCCACTGGAGAGCATTTTTTCATGCAAGTTGACTGTTATAAATAGTACACCAATAAATGCTTTAAAGGGAGGCTGTAGGCTCGATGGTTAATGAAAATTCTTAAAGTGCTGCTGTTAGGCTGTGATTCCTGAAATGAAATTCAGAAATTTCCATGGGTTCAATGTAAGTTCACTTTATCAAGTCTGCATGAATATTCTCATTCCTTCTTCCTGACCCACGCTGAATTGTTTTATAGCAGAAGGTCAAACAGGGTATGTGTTCTTTCTCACTACAGTATCAGACTGTTGTCCTCTGGGGACAAGAGTCCTTATATACAGGTGAACTGTCATGTGTGATATGAAAGTAATGTCTTATGATAGACTTTGACAGAATTAAGAGCCAGACTTTTGTCCTCTTATTTATTAAGTTAAGCTCCTGAGGGAGAGATGTGTATTACAAGTGTTCCAACAATACTCATGGATATTTCTCTAAGGTCTTAGTTCCATGGTGCCATTCTGGCCTTTATCTGAAGTCTGAATTGCTTTAACTATAATTATTTTGTAGTCTCGGTCTTCTTATAATAAAAATAATTAAGAGTTATTGAGATCTCACCATGTGCCAGGCCAAACTTTGTCCTAAGTTCTTTACATATCCTGAGTCACGTAATCCTCTCAAATACCCTTGATGTAGATACTACAATCACTGTGGATATATTCTTAGAACAGGTATAGATAAAATATATGTGGCTAACTTAAGTTTACCTCTGATTTTGTCTGCAAAATGCAGGATATCATTAATGATATTAGAGGGTAGAAGCAAACCTGTTTTTCTTCTTATCTGCACTTGTCTAACAGAACATCTAACTGTTTAATTTACTCTAGCCTTTGCTAAAGTAAGAGGGCCAAGACATTCAGAGTCTCATAGTTTACTCTGAAGACATCCCCAGGTCTTCAAGCGTAAGGATCATCTTATAACACTTATTTTTTTCTGAAATACCTGGCCCATGAAGATTACTCACTGAAAATTATAGAATTAGAATTTAATTTAATATTAATATGCCTTCTGAATTATAATTATCTGAAATATTGCTATGTAATAAATGTGTTTATTATGCACAAATATTTTACACATAAGTAAAAGAAGAAAAAACACTTAACTAAGATTTACTTGAACACAATAATGAAAATAATAATAAGTGTATAATAGTCATTCCAAATAGCCTATGAATATTTGTCAACAAATTTTTTTTTTTTTTCTTGAGATGGAGTCTCACTCTTACTCACCCAGGCTGGAGTGCAGTGGCATGATCTTGGCTCACCGTAACCTCCATCTCCTGGGTTGAAGCGGTTCTCCCACCTCAGCCTTGTGAGTAGCTGGGATTACAGGTGTGCACCACCACGCCTGGATAATTTTTTTATTTTTAGTAGAGATGGGGTTTTGCCATATTGGCCAGGCTGGTCTCGAACTCCTGGCCTCAAGTGGTCGGCCTGCCTTGGCCTCCCAAAGTGCTAGAATTACAGGCATGTGCCACCATGCCCAGCCTGATTTGTCAATAGTTAATATATTTTAACATTTTTACTTTCATGTGCTTTCAGAGAAGATGAGCAGTTTGTGCTGGCATCAGCAGCACTCTGCCTTCTTCTCTTGGCTGATTTTTATCACAGGAGAGGCACTTACTCATGGCTTCTGTATTGGACACAACACTACCATCATGTATTTTTATTGGATTACAACTAATTAGAGCAGACTTGTAATTTCTACCCTTGAGGAGTGCAACAGGATCATACACTTCTATTTTCAAATCCAGAACAACTACCAAATTTTATGGTTTGAGTAACCATGTTTTAGTGGACCTCAGCTAATCAAGCACCACCAGGATTAAAAAAAGACCACTGAGACTCTATATATTCTATGTCCAGTGGATTTTTGAATGAAGAAGTTGTTTAATTATTTATGAAGGTTTTTATGTATTTATTTTTGCCAATAGCTTATGGCTGACTCTTTAAGGCTAACCAATGGTTTTGAGTTGAGGTCAGGGGCTTTCTGACATAACAGACTGCTAAATCTCACCTGGTTTAAGTATCTTAGCATCATCAGAGGTCATATAGAAATTAAAATATAGTGTCAGAAACTCTTTCAAGGAAATAAGACACATATTATTTTGAGAAGAACTATTAAGAGAATCTAGATCCTGTAGAGTTTCCAAATATTACATATCAGTAACTTGATAATTTGTTTTAGTCTCATCACTGGCAGATTAACTGTGTAACACAGAACAATGGATTTACTTGAAAAGTTTTATTCCTCCCATATGCATGAGAATCAGAAACATAGACATGGATGTGATTCTTTGCATGGCATGTTCATAGCCAATCAACAACTGACATTTAACTGAACAGATAGGTTCATAAGTAGTTTGGGTGCTAACATATGGTGACATTTCCAATTATAGGTCCCTACTGTAACAGTGGAATTTCTCTTCATTTAAAACAAATGTAATAACACAAAAGAAAGCTCACTTGATGTCCATTTCATATGTCTGAATAAGTGGAAGTGTTTGATATAACTAAAGGAAAATAATTTGTTGCCTTAGACAGTCAAAAATGTGTTATACTTAGAAAAAATAAAGGCATATGTATTATGGAAGAGATTTGCAGCCTTATATCAGGTTTTTCTTAGATCTCAGATGACTGGATTAAATTAATGTATCTCACAGGAGAAATAAGCAGAGTATATTACACTCTGGATTGAAAAATCCTAGGAAAAGAAGCTTGCAAGCCACCCAACCGTCCTAAACCAAATAAAAAGTTGAAAAAACTGAAAATTTAATGATTCTTAGATCTGTAGGAGAAGGGAAGTCATAGGGCAACCTGCTGACCCCAAAATTGGGGAGACAGAAGGGCAGACCCAGAGAATCATAATTTACCTGAGTAGAATCACAAGCAGATACTTCCATGGTCACCACCACTGCTGTGGTAGAAAAATCTTAACTGTAATTGATGAATTGCTTGAGGCTCAGTGTGGACAACTCTGAAAGTCAAAAACTCCAGGGAGACTCTGTCACAGATGGGCCCCTGCACTTTGGTGAGTTTTACTTTTAGGTGCATGACCTGGGTCTCCCAGTGAATATCCGAGAAGAATTAGCTAGTGCTTCTAGTGCTTCTAGCAGAGGGAGGGGAAAGGGAGCCATTCTGAAGGCACTCCATTCTTCTTAACGAGGTCTGCCCTCAGTAGAAGCTAGTTAACTAGAGCCTAATTTGCTGGGGTTTTATCAGAGCCTAAGCTGACCTGGATGAAGGAAAATCACCAACACCAGCCACCTCTAGCTGCCCACATAGAAAGGAAATACCTAACACTAGCCCACTTTAGCCATTCTGTCCCACCTATGGAAGTGAAGACTGAGAAGCAGTTATGAAGTTCACAGTCCAGAGCCACAGGCTCACTGAAAGACTGAGACCTAATCATAGAACTCTAGCACACTTATCCCCATCCCTCTCCGCACCTTACTATCTATCATATGACTAAAGTCCTACTTACAGAAGTTTCTTTTACCCAGCACATCATGTGCAGCTACGAAGAAAAATCACAAGGCATACCAGAGGGCAAAAAACCCCACAGTATGAAGTGACAAAAGCAACCATCAGAACTACACGCGTATATGGCAGGATGTTGGAATTATCAGATGGTGAATTTAAAACAACTATGATAAACATGCTAAGAGATCTAATGGATAAAGTGGGAACAGCATGCAAAAACAAATGGGTAATGTATGCAGGTGGGAAATTCTAAGAACCAATATAAAATGTTAGAGATCAAAAACACTATAACAGAAATTAAGAACAACTTTGATAAGTTTATTAGTAGACTGGACATGGCCTAGGCAAGAATTTCTCAGAGTGAGGGGGTTTCTTAATAGAAAACTCTAAATTTAAAAAGTGAAGAGAGAAGACTGAAAGAATCAGAATATCCAAGAACTGTGAGACAACTACCAAAGTTGTAACATACATGGAATAGAAATGCCAGAAGAATAAGAAAGAAAGAAAGGAGCAAAAGAAATATTAGAAACAATAATGACTGAGAATTTCTCCTAAATTAATGTCAAGCAAGAAACTACAGGTTTAGGAAGCTCAAGCAGAACAAGTGCCAAAAAATACACCTAAGCGTATTATTAAAACTACAGAAAATCAAATATTTTTTAAAAATCCTGAAAGATATATATACTTATAGAAAAACAAAAGTAAGAATTTTATCCAAGTTTTACTCAGAAACCATGCAAGCAAGAAAAGAGTGAAGTGAAATATTTAAAGTAAGAGAGAGAACAAAACCCACCAACCTAGAATTTTGTGCCCTGTGAAACCGTCCTTCAAAAGTGCAGAAGAAACAGGAGTTTCTCAGACAAACAGAAAGGGAAGGAATTTTTTGCCTATAGACTTGCCTTGAAAGAAATGTTAAAAGAAATTGTTTAGGGAGAAGGAAAATGATAGAGGTTTAAAGATTAGATTTATATAAAGAAAGGAATAGCATGAAATAAAGAATAAATGTAAATAGAAATTTTCTTTTACTCTTGTTATCTGTTAAATCAACTACTCTTAATTGATCTAACATAAAACAATTTGTTAAAAATAATTAATAGTGGTAATGTATTTTATTATGTATGAATATATGTATATATAAATATGTGTGTATATATGTGTGTATATATATATATATATATATATATATATATAGCACATACTTGTGTATGCTTATCTATAAGTGAAATAGAAGCCAACAATAAAACAAGAGACAGAAGGAGAAAGGAATTGGGATTATTTTGTTATTATAAGGTATTCATACAACCACACAACCTGTGAAGTGGTATAGTGTTATTTAAAAATGGACTTGGATTGTTTGTAAATGTATATTGCAAACTCTGGGGCAAACCACTAAAAAAAGAAGTTTCACTGATATCCTAAGAAAGGAGAGAAAATGGAATAATATAAAATGCTTAATTGAAGCCACAAAAGGCATAACAGAGTGGAAGATAAAATCAGAAAATAAAGAACACAGGCAGCAAATATAAAATAGTAACAAATACAGTAGATATTAACCTAATTATAGCAATAATCATTTTAAACATAAATGATCTAGGTGCACCAATTTCAAATCAGAGATTGGCAAAATGGACCAAAAAACAAGACTCAAATATGTATTCTATATAAGAAACTCACTTTGAATATAAAGAGAAGCATAGATTAAAAGTAAATGGATTGAGAAAGATATACTATACCAACAACAATTAAAATAAAGTGGGAGTCACTATGTTAATTTGAGATTGAGCAAACTTCAGAGCCTGGGAATTATCAGGGATAAAAAGTAGTGTTACCTAATGATAAATGGGTAATTCTCCAAGAAGATATAATAGTATTTAAGGTGCCTGAACCTAACAATAGAAGATCAAACTATCTGAGACAAAAACTGATAGAACTGTAAGGAAAAATGGACAAACCCATTACTTTTTAGTTGAAAACTTCAATACCCATTCTATCAGAAATGGACAGATCCAACAGGCAGAAAATCAGTAAAGGGCATAGTTGAACTCAACAACACCATCTATCAATTGCATATAATTAACATTTATAGATTATTTCATCCAACCAAAGCAAAATACATATTTTTCTCAAACTCACATGGAACATTCACCAAGATGGACCACATCCTGGACCATAAAACATACCTTAACAAATTTAAAAAATAGAAATTATGCAATGTCTGCTCTCACAGCATAATGAAATTAACCTAGAAAATAACAAAATACTTGATGATTAAACAAGAATCTAAATATTGCTAAGAAGAACCCTTAAGAGAAATTTAAAAATATTTTAATTAAATGAAAATGAAAACACAACTCATTAAAATGTGCAGAATGCAATGAAAGCAGTGCTTAGAGGGACATTCTATAGTATTGAATAGGTTTATTAGAAAAGAAGAATAATCTAAGATAAATCATCTAAATTCCCACCTTAGGATATTAGATAAAGACGGGCAAATTGAATCCAAAGTAAGCAAAGAAAAGAACTAATAAGAATTAGAGCAGAAATCAATGAAATTGAAAATAGGAAATCAGTAGAGAAATTCAACAACGCCAAAAGCTGATTCTTTGAAAAAATAAATAAAATCAGTGAGTCTCTTGTAAACCTAACTAAAAGACCGAGAGAGAGAGAAATATTATAAATAAAAAGGGAACATCACTACAGATCCCATTGATATTAAGGGATAAGCAAGAAATTTTATTATATTTATTTACTTATATACATATATAATTCTACTTATACATTCATTATATATAGTATTTATTGTATTATTATGTTATGAACAAATCTATGCCTGCAAATTTGATAACCTAGATGAAATGGACCAATACCTTAAAAGACAAAATCTACCAAAACTTACACAAGATAGACAATCAAGTAGACCTATATCTATTAAATAAATTGAATCAATAATTAAAACAATTTCAAAACAGAAATCACCAGTCCCAGATGGGTTCACTAGTGTATTTTACCAATATTTAAGAAATAAATTATACCAATTATCTACAATCTCTTTCAGAAGATAGAAGCAGATAAAATGTTTTCTACTTTGTTCTGTGAGGCCAGCATTACCCTAATAACAAAATCAGATAAAGACATTACGAGAAAACTAGAGACCAATATTTCTCATGCACATAGATGAAAAAATCCTCAATAAAATATTAGAAAGTCAAATCCAACAAAGTATAAAAAGAATTAAACACCACTACCAAGTGGAATTTATCCCAAGTATTTAAGGCTAGTTTAACATTTGAAAATTGACTGATGTAATCCATCATGTGAACAGGTTGAAGGAAAATTACATTATATCAATAGATTCAGGACAAACATCTGACATATTCCAACAGCCATTTATAATGAAAAAACTTTCAGTAAACTAGAAAGAGAGGGGAGCTTTCTCAACTTGATAAAAAGAATCTACAAAAACCCCGTAGCCAAAATTTTTCTTAATGGTGAGAAACTAGAAACTTTCCTGTTAAGAACAGGAAGAAACAATCATGCCCCCTCTCAGCACTCCTTTTCAATGTTGTACTAAAATTCCTTGCTAATGCAATAGGATGAGAAAAGGAATAAATGTATACTGATTAAGAAGGAAGAATAAACGTCTCTTTGTTCACAAATGACATGATCATCTATGTGGAAAACCAAAAAGAATTGATGAGAAAAACAAAAATAATTGATTAAAAAAAACAAAAACGATTCCCCAAAACTTCTGATATTAATAAAATA